>NC_000017.11:15339595-15642626 GCF_000001405.40 Homo sapiens | reverse complement strand
ACAAATGAGAATTGTAGGTACAGTTGACTACACCATGCGGTAGCCTCACCTTGATGTCAGGATTTGTTATGAAATTAGTTTAAGTTTTAAACCTGGCAAGTGATTTGCTTTTTAATAATATAAATTAGAACCAAGACTAATCCTGTAATAACAACATTCTTATTTCTACATTTGCTTATGCTGTCTTGACAGGGTGTATGTGTGTGGGGGGCTGGGAGTTTAGTCAGAGGTCCAAAAACTATACGTTATCTTGGCTTCTTCCATTATATGAGGGTGTTCTGCATGTGAGTCTCACCAGTCCTATGACCTGGCAGCTGGAAAAAAGGAGTTGAGAACTCAGGATTACTGATGGTATTTGAGAAGGCCATGGTGTGCCAGGCTAAGTAGGCAGTAAATGGTCTCCAAGTGGATTCTGAGGAGTTCTACAAATGCCTCTCATCAGTGGCAAGCCAGTAACCACCACTCAGAAGAGAATGCAAAACAGGCCGGGCACAGTGGCTCACACCTGTAATCCCAACACTTTGAGAGGCTGAAGTGGGTGGATCACTTGAGGTCAGGAGTTCGAGACCAGTCTGGCCAACACGGTGAAACCCTGACTCTACTAAAAAATACAAAAATTAGCCAGGCATGGTGGTGCACACCTGTAGTCCCAGTTACTCAGGAGGCTGAGGCAGGAGAATTGCTTGAACTCAGGAGGTGGAGGCTGCAGTGAGCTGAGTTTGCACCATTGTACTCCAGCCTGGGTAACAGAGTAAGACTCTGTTTCAAAAAAAGAGAGAATGCAAAACACCTACCCTATGGAAGTGAATCAGCATTGTCATCTTTATATCCTGAGAATAAATGATTCCATCCATCATCCATCCATCCATTCATCTACCCCTAATGCATGTATTCATTTCAACTTAATTTTCACCTCCTGGGTGTTTACAACCAACTAGCTACTGAAGGATGAAACACCTCTTTCTTACCCACAATATCTTATTAAAGGAAGAAAGAGAATTATCCCTTTAAAGCCTTATAAACCTTCAGAGATAATGGATTTCCAGGCTCAAGATAACCTGTAGAACCACATGGAGGGTCTTGTGTTTCCCAGCTCTTTAATTTTCAGACACTTTGATCCCTCCTCAGTTCTCATAAGTACATGATGACCAGGGGAGGTAGTTATTACAATAGCTACCATGCACAAGGGGCATGAAGACATGGAGAGATGACAATACTTGTCTAGGGCCATCTAGATTGATGGAATGTGAGAACCTAGAGTTGTTGCTCCCTTGACTTAAGAATGACTCAGTATATTGATAGGCATGTACACCATCCTCAAATCTTTAAACCATTACCTGCTGGCTCCTTGAATGTATTGAGGCCTCTCCTCTCTGTACTGTTTCTGCTTGTCATCATTTTCATGGTAAGTAATGCCCTTTGCACATTACATTTACATGCAAGAAAGAAGTGTTTCTCAATGGGAGGGTTTAGGAATGAGGGCCAGGCCACAGCAGAAGTCAACCTCAATCCACCAATATCATCTGACACCTCCCTTCCACTATCCTTTCTCAGGATGGCCTCAGTTGGGGCCGGGGGTGAGGATTTGGATCCTGAGTTTGTCTTTAGTCTCATCCTCTTAGCCTCATGGTATCGTGCTTCTATGAGGAACTTACAGGTCATAATTGTAGACAGGATTCTGCTCCTTTCCCACAACACCCTCATGCTGGTTCCCATGCTGTGTCCTGCTCCTGCTTTCTGGAGGTCATCGGGAGCGGGCAGTACAGGCAGGGAGCACTCTGTGGCCTCTGTGACTCCTAGAGCCTGGCTACCTGGAGCCTGAGTGGGCATGAAGGGTGAGTAAGCCGGGGAACTAGGACACGTTAGCTAATGCAGAGCCTGGATCAAACACCATCACCACCATTTGCCCCCGCTCCCAAATGGTTATAAGCAAAACTCTCCTGTCTTCTGAGGTAGATTTCTTCATCATTACTTCTTTGCCATATGGAAATGTAATTTGGCTTTTAGATTTAAATCTAGTAATGATTAATATATCAGAATTTACAGTGTTTGCAATGTCAAGGAGGCAACACCTGTAAACAGTTGGTTCAGGAATTGCTGGGAGTCTTGGCCTCTTTCCCTCTTGGTCGCCTGCTCAGCAGCAGCCTGTGTATTTATAGTCCATTATGGGCATAGGATGTTACCCTAACTGGTGCCCACAGTGAACAAGGGGCTAAGCCCTGTCTCTCATCTGGTCTTGGGAGGGCTTCTGTTTAATGGGCTGAACTTAAAGGTCCTTCCCTGCAACCCCCACACAGCCACAGCCCATGGGCTGAAAGCTCAGCTGAACTCCCATTGTACCTCCCCAGCTCATCCTAGTGAATGTGCCAGGGCCCAGAGGGAGAGGTCAGGCTGTGCCAGCTCAGTGCTATACTGCAGGCACATGGATCCCCAACCCTGGGCCCTATTTTGAGGCAGTGTGGAATGGTGGTCAAAGGGATGGACTCCAGAGACAGACAGTCTTGGTTCAAACCTTGGCTGTGTGATCTTGGGCAAATCAGTCCATTTATCACTGTCTTAGTTTCCTTATCTAAGAAATGGAGACCCTAATAGTACCTACCTTTTAGGGTTGCTAGGAGAAAAGTGCCTGGCACATAGTAAGAACTTACTACATGTTGGTTGTTTTTATGATTATTGTTATATAATTGGAAGAGTGACCAGGCTAGCAGCAGAGGGTCCTCATTCTCAGGAGAGTGGGAAGAGGGAGAGAGGTGAAGTGTCAGAGGGCTGCAGAGCCTATACCTGGCAGAGCCCCAGGCAGCAGGTTTGCCACTTGGGGGGCCTGGGTGGGGCCCAGGTAGCTTTCCTGGTTCTCAGGTCTTCATTTCAGACAGTGCTCTGAGCCTCCCATCCACAGTCCAGAGCCCATTCTCTGCCTGCCTCCTTCTCTACTATTGTCCCCACCTGCAGTCTTTCTGAGCAGCTGGTTAAGGTGCTACTATTCCTCCTCCCAAGGGTGAGGGCCAGCTCTGGACAACAGGGCTCCGGAGGGAGCCACAAAACCAGATAGCCTCAGGTTTCCCAAATCGCCTCTCCTGCTGCCCTGGCTTCTCAACACCGTCACCTGTCTAAAAGCTTTTCTTGGTGTGGGCTGGAAGAATTTGGATAAAGTCTACCATCCCCGCTCTTCCTTAATCCTGTTACCACAGCTTCTTTGCTCCCAGCTCTGTCCAGCTACCTAACCTCAAGGAAGCCAACAGGCAACGGAAAAGTTGGCATAAAAATGAGAATGTAGGCTGGACGTAATCCCACCTGTAATAACACCTGTAATCCCAGCACTTTGGGAGGCCAAGGACGGCAGATTGCTTGAGGCCAGGAGTTTGAGACCAGCCTGGGCAACGTAGTAAGCTCCTATCTCTACAAAAAATATAAAAATTAGTTGGGCATGAAGGCATGCACCTGTGGTTTCTGCTACTTCGGAGGCTGAGGTGGAAGATCGTTTGAGCCTGGGATGTCAAAGCTGCAGTGAGCCAAGACTGTGCCACTCCAACCTGGCAACAGAGGAGACCTTGTCTAAAAAAAAAAAAAAAAAAAAAAAAAAAGAGAGAGAGAATGTAGGGAGATTGTCTGTGTCTTCCCACCATCCCCCTCCAGTAGGGATACCCCTTGCTTTCTTTCCCCTGCTTATTCTTCCCTTTGCCACCAGATTGAAGACTGATCAGAGACCATTCTCGTGGAGTGAATTGCTGAGCCCTGGCCTAAGCCAGGGCCTGAGCCAGGCAGAAGACCTATCTGGTGTCATCATTTTTTCTTCCCATCTCCCTCCAAACCTCTAGGTTCCCACTAAGCCTGGGCCCAGAATCCCATCCTTTCTGAGTCCTTTCCTTACTGTGCTCCCCTTTTTGATCTGGGTCTCATTCTCCCTCCCTCTCTCCCTCTCTCCTTCCTTGCCAGGGATGGGAGGTGCCCCTGAAGCCTCTGCCCAAGGATATCTGCTATTTGACTCACTTTGGAGCCCTGATGTTCAGAGCTGGCCCTTAACATTGGGAGGAGTGAGAGAAAACAGCACCTGGAGGGGTGCTCAGAAAGTCTCAGATGGGATAGGGCTGGAGTGCAGTGGCGCAATCTCAGCTCACTGCAAGCTCCGCTTCCTAGGTTCATGCCATTCTCCCGCCTCAGCCTCTGAGTAGCTGGGACTACAGGCGCCCGCCACCACACCCGGCTAATTTTTGTATTTTTAGTAGAGACAGGGTTTCACCATGTTAGCCAGGATGGTCTCGATCTCCTGACCTCATGATCTGCCCACCTCAGCCTCCCAAAGTGCTGAGATTACAGGCATGAGCCACCGCACCCGGCTGTCTACACCAATTCTTTTTTTTTTTTTTTTTTAAATTTATTTTTTTATTGATAATTCTTGGGTGTTTCTCACAGAGGGGGATTTGGCAGGGTCATGGGACAATAGTGGAGGGAAGGTCAGCAGATAAACAAGTGAACAAAGGTCTCTGGTTTTCCTAGGCAGAGGACCCTGCGGCCTTCCGCAGTGTTTGTGTCCCTGATTACTTGAGATTAGGGAGTGGTGATGACTCTTAACGAGCATGCTGCCTTCAAGCATCTGTTTAACAAAGCACATCTTGCACCGCCCTTAATCCATTTAACTCTGAGTGGACACAGCACATGTTTCAGAGAGCACAGGGTTGGGGGTAAGGTCACAGATCAACAGGATCCCAAAGCAGAGGAATTTTTCTTAGTGCAGAACAAAATGAAAAGTCTCCCATGTCTACTTCTTTCTACACAGACACGGCAACCATCCGATTTCTCAATCTTTTCCCCACCTTTCCCGCCTTTCTATTCCACAAAGCCGCCATTGTCATCCTGGCCCGTTCTCAATGAGCTGTTGGGCACACCTCCCAGACGGGGTGGTGGCCGGGCAGAGGGGCTCCTCACTTCCCAGTAGGGGCGGCCGGGCAGAGGCGCCCCTCACCTCCCGGACGGGGCGGCTGGCCGGGCGGGGGGGCTGACCCCCCCCCACCTCCCTCCCGGACGGGGCGGCTGGCCGGGCGGGGGGCTGACCCCCCCACCTCCCTCCCGGACGGGGCGGCTGGCCGGGCGGGGGGCTGACCCCCCCACCTCCCTCCCGGACGGGGCGGCTGGCCGGGCAGAGGGGCTCCTCACTTCCCAGTAGGGGCGGCCGGGCAGAGGCGCCCCTCACCTCCCAGATGGGGCGGCTGGCCGGGCGGAGGGCTGACCCCCCCACCTCCCTCCCGGACGGGGCGGCTGGCCGGGTAGGGGGGCTGACCCCCCCATCTCCCTCCCGGACGGGGTGGCTGGCCGGGCTGAGGGGCTCCTCACTTCCCAGTAGGGGCGGCCGGGCAGAGGCGCCCCTCACCTCCCGGACGGGGCGGCTGGCCGGGCGGGGGGCTGACCCCCCCACCTCCCTCCCGGACGGCACGGCTGGCCAGGCGGGGGGCTGACCCCCCCACCTCCCTCCCGGATGGGGCGGCTGGCCGGGCGGGGGGCTGACCCCCCCCCCCCACCTCCCTCCCGGACGGGGTGGCTGCCGGGCGGAGACGCTCCTCACTTCCCAGATGGGGTGGCTACCGGGCGGAGAGGCTCCTACCAATTCTTAAGAATACCAGAGAAGAGGAAACCTTCAGAACTTGGAAAGATGTTGTAAACATGATATTGATTGAAGGCATTCATAGAGGATGCTTACCATGCAAAAGAGTCCACATGCATGTGCCCCATCATTCAAACCCTTAATGTTTCTCACATGGGTTTTCTTTTATATTTTATTTGAATGTCACATTCTGTTCTGCATATACATGCTTGTCCTGGAATTGCTTGGGTGCCATGGTCGTCTGCACCCTAAACATTTTATGGGGATTCTGTATGTGGTAGAGACAGTATCATCTTAGACATGCATTTGGCTCTGATGGACTCAGTGGTCAGTTTAACCGGGCATAATGAAATGCTAAGAAAGCTAATTCATGCTGATTATACAAAAAAAAAAAAAAAAAGCCAAATTCTTTACCTCTTGAAATATGACTATCAAGTAGACTGAATACACACATTGCTCTGGTAGGAAAATCAATTTCGGAAACTTGACTAACAATCCCGGAGTGTCAGAGTTGTGAGGGATCTCAGAGGTCATAGAGGAATTCACTCTCTCATCAAATGGATGAGGAGACCAAGTTAATACGTAAATCCTTTTTCCAGGAACCTGGAATTCACATGAGAATAAAGGATTCCTTTTACAATAGGGAACTGCTCCCTAATATATGTGTTTCTCAAGCTGACATTTCTGTATGTTGAGTTTCTATCAAGTTGGATGCCTCACTAAGAAATGTTTGGCTGCCTTCCACCCCCACCCCCTGCCAGGTGTCGGTGTCAGAGGTCAAAGCGGTGGCTGAAATGCAGTTTGGGGAACTCCTTGCTGCTGTGAGGAAGGCCCAGGCCAATGTGATGCTCTTCTTAGAGGAGAAGGAGCAAGCTGCGCTGAGCCAGGCCAACGGTATCAAGGCCCACCTGGAGTACAGGAGTGCCGAGATGGAGAAGAGCAAGCAGGAGCTGGAGAGGATGGCGGCCATCAGCAACACTGTCCAGTTCTTGGAGGTATGGGGGTTGCGGGGGCAGAGGCATCCCACAGCTGCCCCATGAAGCACCCTCTCTTTGCTAGGCCCATGGCCATCTGTGAATGGAACTGTTTTTTGTTAAATGGTGTGCACAGGGAGCAGTGGGAACAGAGAGAAGCAGATTCTTCATTCAGCAGAGTATAGGAGGGGTAGGGAGGGAGAACTGCTCAGAGCAGGGAAGCTTGAAGCAGGTCCCGGAAGATGAGTCAGGTTCAACGTGCAGTATGTTCCAGGTAGAGGGAACAACATATGCAAAGGCAGAGAGGTTTGAGGAAGCACAGCTGATTTGGGGAGCCAAGGTACTTTAATAGGGGTGGAGCCTGGGGTACTGGGTGCAGAGTGATGAGACTGGCACGGCCAGGCAGGTGTATGGCTGGGAAGGGTTTCAGATGGGAGAATGATGGAGTCAGTGAGTATGTTTTATAAACCGCTCCAGCAGTCCACTGCATGGAGGTTTGCTTGGTAGGGATGAGACTGGAGCCTGCTGCTTTTCAGAGAGGGCTGTGGCTGGAGTAATTGAGGAGGGCTCAGAAGAGCAAATGCTTTTCATTACAATGTATCATTAGACATTAAAGGTAAGCAGTTGGAACCAGGAAATGCTTTTCATTACAATGTATCATTAGACATCAAACCGTAAGCCATTGGAACGAGATCTAAAGAACATGTAACCTTTCGAGGAAGGAACACTAGGTTGGGGGTAAACTGCAACATCCTGAATCTGTCAGAAAACAGCTCTGTTAACAGCTCTTCACATCCCTGAGTCTCAAATTTCTCATTTATCAACAAGCCCACTGGAGTAAATAATTCAGAAGGCTCCATCCAAGCTCTGATATTCTGAAATACAATTTTTTCTTGCTTGCATTTTTGAAAAAATTCTCTGCTAGTTACAAAAAACAAATGTTTATTGTGAAAAACTTGGAAAGTACAAAAAAAGAAGAAAAAAAATCCATAATCCTTACACAAGTACAACATAGTTAACTTTTGAATGAGTAAAAGAGAAAGACAGACAAAAACACCAACAAAGCGTCTGTCAGTTTCTTTGCTTTTCAGTATCAAAACACGAAGAAAATATGAATAACCATTTAATAACCATTTGGCTTCCCGCCTCACAAGTTTCCCTTAAGATCTACCCAAAGAGTATATAAATTATTTCTCTTTTCTCGTTTTGTAACTTTATTTATTTTTGTGTGTGTGTGTTGTTTTTTGAGATGGAGTCTTGCTCTGTCACCCAGGCTGGAGTGCAGTGGCACGATCTCGGCTCACTGCAACCTCCGCCTCCCGGATTCAAGCAATTCTCTGCCTCAGCCTCCCGAGTAGCTGGGATTACAGGCACCCGCCACCACACCTGGCTAATTTTTATTTTTATTTGTTTTTTTTTTTTTTTGAGACTGAGTTTCACTCTTGTTGCCCAGGCTGGAGTGCAATGGCACGATCTCTGCTCACTGCAAGCTCCACCTCCCGGGTTCAAGCGATTCTCCTGCCTCAGCCTCCTGAGTAGCTGGGATTACAAGCATGGGCCACCATGCCCGGCTAATTTTTTGTATTTTTAGTAGAGACGGGGTTTCTCCGTGTTGGTCAGGCTGGTCTTGAACTCCCAACCTTAGGTGATCTGCCCGCCTCGGCCTCCCAAAGTGTTGCGATTACAGGAGTGAGCCACCGCGCCCGGCCAATTTTTTTTGTTTTTTCGAGACGGAGTCTTGCTCTTTTCGCCCAGGCCAGAGTGCAATGGCACGATCTTGGCTCACTGAAAGCTCCACCTCCTGGGTTCACGCCATTCTCCTGCCTCAGCCTTCCAAGTAGCTGGGACTACAGGCGCCCGCCACCGCGCCCGGCTAATTTTTTGTATTTTTAGTAGAGATGGGGTTTCACCGTGTTAGCCAGAATGGTCTCGATCTCCTGACCTCGTGATCCACCCGCCTCGGCCCCACAAAGTGCTGGGATTACAGGCATGAGCCACCGTGCCTGGCCAAATTTTTTTTATTTTTAGTAGAGATGGGGTTTCACCATCTTGGCCAGGCTGGTCTCGAACTCCTGACCTCGTGATCCACCCACCTCGGCCCCCCAAAGTGCTGGGATTGCAGGCATGAGCCACTGCACCCAGCCTGTAAGTTTATTTTTAACATAAAAGACTTTAACACATATAAAATAAATTCTAGTGTATGATAACTTATTTATTGGCCGGGCACGGTGGCTCACACCTGTAATCCCAGCACTTTGGGAGGCCATGGCCGGCAGATCATGAGGTCAGGAGTTTGAGACCAGCCTGACCAACATGGTGAAACCCTGTCTCTACTAAAAATAAAAAAAATTAGCCAGGCATGGTGGTGCACACCTGTAGTCCCAGCCACTTGGGAGGCTGAGGCAGGAGAATCGCTTGAACCTAGCAGGCAAGAGGTTGCAGTGAGCCGAGATTGCGCCATTGCACTCCAGCCTGGGTGACAAAGCAAGACTATGTCTCAAAAAAAAAAAAAAAAAGATATTTATTTATTTTGGCAAAAGATAACGTTTTCCCCCAAATTTTTGGTTAGGCATTCAAAACAAGATTTATTGAATAACTTATCCGAATAACTTATCCTTTCTCCCACTGATTTAAAATGCTACTTTTGTCATGTACAGTATATAGCATTAAAATGTTGAATTACCCTTTTCTCTATCAATTCTCTGGTTTTGATTTCCATGGCTCTATCTAATCATTTTCATACAACTGTTTTCATTGCTATGTTTTCTGCTGTACCTGGTCTGCTTTTTAATGCTTCAGTTGCAGCTGAAGTTTGATACTGTGTTATATCTGAAAGCATCTTTCCTGATCACACGTTATTTCAAAACTTACATGAAACTATGTGATTATCAGTGTGAAAACACTTTCCAAATACTAAAGCAAGGTACAAGAATTACAGAAATTTATGCATTGGATGAAACTGACAAGGAAGAGGCAGCACTCCTGCCTGAGAGCTCCTCCATTTTCTACCATGGCTTGTGTTTAAATTGTCAAAAAACAAGTACTGACGGAATGAACAAAGCAAGAATGTTCTTTATTTTTTGGTCCCCAGTCTGGACTGTGTATTGGAGCTGTTCATGGCCATCTAGTACATCTTGATTTTTAAAATCCCATGTTCTCACTTGTTTTTTTTAAAATCCCACTTATTCTGAGGGTCTAGCAGCTAGAGAAGTGCTTTCTATTTTGTTAGACCCTGAGCTTGACACTTCACATGTACTTTCTTTGTGAAGGACACATTACCGTCAGCCCATTTTACAGATGCAAAAAGTGACTTAATGAGGAGAGAAGCCCGAGTTTAGAAATACAGAAACCACAGCAAGTTCTGCTGTTTCCTTTTCTGCAGGAGTACTGCAAGTTTAAGAACACTGAAGACATCACCTTCCCTAGTGTTTACGTAGGGCTGAAGGATAAACTCTCGGGCATCCGCAAAGTTATCACGGAATCCACTGTACACTTAATCCAGTTGCTGGAGAACTATAAGAAAAAGCTCCAGGAGTTTTCCAAGGAAGGTGAGACGCATTCTGGGCCATGGACTATAGTGAGTGTGTCTCTAGCAGTAGATGATAGGAAGGTGAGAGAGAGTCAGGGAAGGGAGGATGAAATCAGGGGAATGTTTCATTTTCTTTTTTTTTTCTTTTTCTGTGAGACAGTCTTGCTCTGTCACCCAGGCTGGAGTGCAATGGCGCAATCTCAGCTCACTGCAACCTCTGCCTCCCGGGTTCAAGAGATTCTTCTTCCTCAGCCTCCCTAGTAGCTGAGATTACAGGCACCTGGCTAATTTTTGTATTTTTAGTAGAGACGGGGTTTCACCATGTTGGTCAGGCTGGTCTCGAACTCCTGACCTCAAATGATCTGCCCACCTCAGCCTCCCAAAGTGCTGGGATTACAGGTGTGAGCCACCGTGCCCAGTCAAATGTCTCATTTTCAAAGCCATGCTTCAGACAGGGTATGTTACTAATGGACTCTCATCTCGATGATTTTCTTTTACAATTGAGACCCAAAGAAGGACAATTAGTCATGCTTATATTATGCGATCGGCTGGCATTTCTGTGACTAGCTTCCCAGGTTGCTGATGCCTATACTTTTAAGTTAAATCCAAGATGGTCTGGATCACTTTTTCAGTGGTTTATGCCTTACCTATGAAAGAAATGTAGTCTATTGAGCGTATTTCTGTGAAACATTACCAGGCTTCAGCCCCTTCTTTCCCCAGGAAGCCCAGGGAAGGGTGGCTGGGAAGTCCTGATTTGCAGATTCTCCTGACCACCTGGACAGGTGTGCATTCACAACTCTCTTGATTTTCTAGAGGAGTATGACATCAGAACTCAAGTGTCTGCCGTTGTTCAGCGCAAATATTGGACTTCCAAACCTGAGCCCAGCACCAGGGAACAGTTCCTCCAATGTAAGTTGTGAACGGCACCCGCTTCTCCAGTTGTTGATATCAGTGCAGTGCTTTGCTAAGTCAGAACCGCCATCTCTCATCTAGGTTTCAGGTTCTTGCAACTTCATATCTATCTCTAAATGATACATTTCTTAAAATTTAATTTAAACAATTTTTTTAACTTTTCATTTTGAAATAATATGAAACTTACAAAAATATTACAGAACTAAGACAAAGAATTCCCATATATCTTTCACTCAGTTTCTCCTAATGTTAACACATTACATAACTACAATACATTGATGAAAACCAGGGAATAACATTGCTACAATGCTATCAACTAATCTACAGAATTTATTCAGCTTTCACCAAGTCTTTCATCAATGCCCTTTTTTTCTGGCCCAAAGTCCAATCCAAGGTCACAGATGTTTCCATGTCTTCTTAGTCTCCTTCAGTCTGGATCAGTCTTTCAATCCTTGTGTTTCATGACCATAGCACTTTGAAGAGTCCTGGCTAGTTACCAAGTGATTCATTTCTATGTATGACTTGGCCAGAATTGCATAACTCATTGACCTATCATTAAGTGTTATTGACTTGGTCCATTAGCATTTTTAAAACACTGCACAGTTGACCCTTGAACAATGTAGGGGTTGGGATACCAATCCCTCGTATTGTTGAACATCCACGTGTAGCTTTTGATTCCTCAAGAACTTAACTAGTAATAGCCTTCTGTTAATTGACATAAACAGTCACTAAACACATATTTTGTATGTTTACATATATATACATGTAGACATATATATATGTATGTATGTATATTTTTTGAGACAGGGTCTCTGTTGCCCAGACTGGGGTACAGTGGCTTGATCATGGCTCACTGCAGGCTTGACCTCCCACACTCAAGCAGTCCTCCTCCCTCAGTCTCCTGAGTAGCTGGGACCACAGGCGCATGCCACCACATCTGGCTAATTAAAAAAAAAATTTTTAAACAATTGTAGAGATGGAGCCTTGCTGTGTTGCCCAGGCTGGTCTCAAACTATTGGCCTCAAGTGATTCTCCCATCTCAGCTTCCCAAAGTGTTGGCATAAGCCTCTGCACCAGTGAGAACTTTTTTAATTATGGGATTGTTTTAATAGCCTTTAATATGCTAATTCATTTGGCAAGTATATACTGAGCATCTTCTCTGAGTTAGAGAAGAATCCCATGCAAAATGTGAAGCTGATAGATTAGAGGGAGGACAAGCAGGAAACAAACACTCACATGAATATATATTATTACAAATGGAGAGGGGTGCCAAGTTTAAAACACCATGGTGCTCTGGGAGAGAGTGAGTTAGAGTCACAAAGGGCCTCTTCGAGGACATGAACTCTCAGTTGTAGCCTGAATGGATCGGTAGGATTCACCAGACTCAGAGTAGGGCGTGATCACATCTCGGAGGGAACAGGCTGTACCAAAGGCTCAAAGAGGATTGAGTGTTGAGTAGGTCTGAGGTCAGCACGGTGGAAATGTAGTAATCAAGGGAGAGAGTCAGAGACACAGGAAAGGACCAGGGACGTGGGGCCTGGTAGGCCAGGGCAAGGGGTTGCTGCTTTATCATAAGAGCAAGGGACACCATGAAAGGGTTTTAAGCTAGAATAACACGACTGGCCTCAGCCTACAGCTGGAAACAAGCAGCATGGCTCTGTTGTGGAGAAGGTCTTGAAGGGGGCAAGAGAGAACAGCGAACGACCAGTCAGAAACCCGCTGAACTAGTCTGAGTGAGATGAGTGGTGGCTTAGGTCGGGGGTAAAGCAGGGGGCTGGAGAGAAGTGGTAGAATCCGTAGGAGTTACTGCTTCCTGTGTGTGTAGTGAGGATAGGGGAAGAGGATGAGGGCAAAACAAATGTCAGAAATGACATAGAGCTTGACTTGAGCAATGGGGTGCATGAGACCCTATTATTCTTTGGGAGTGGGAGGAGAATATGAGGGCGTGTTTGAGAGTTCTTCATGCTCCATTTGATCCATTCATTCATTTTTAAGATGTTGGTCAAATATTTTAAAAAATGAATGAATGGATCAAATATGGGTATAGGAGTACCTGCTTCCCCAAACACTTGCCAACACTGGGTAGGATAATGCCAGGCATTCAATACATGTTTGTTGAATGAATGAATGAATGCATGAATGAGTAAATTAATATATTTCTTGATTCGGTTCATCAAATAATATCATCAATGTCAAGCAACTTGAGCTTCATAAGGGAAGGGAGTAGATGATTTGTGCTCTCTGTTTTCTGGTCTTCACTCACCTCATTTCCTAGGGAAACAGCAGCCTGGGTAAATAGAGAACAGAGAAATGGATGTTTTCTCATATGTGCTTTGGAGCCCAGCTGGGTTTAAAGCATTCTGTCTGAATCAGCTGTCAGTTCCTGAACCACTCTCCTGCCTTCTGTGTCTCCTCAGATGCGTATGACATCACGTTTGACCCGGACACAGCACACAAGTATCTCCGGCTGCAGGAGGAGAACCGCAAGGTCACCAACACCACGCCCTGGGAGCATCCCTACCCGGACCTCCCCAGCAGGTTCCTGCACTGGCGGCAGGTGCTGTCCCAGCAGAGTCTGTACCTGCACAGGTACTATTTTGAGGTGGAGATCTTCGGGGCAGGCACCTATGTTGGCCTGACCTGCAAAGGCATCGACCGGAAAGGGGAGGAGCGCAACAGTTGCATTTCCGGAAACAACTTCTCCTGGAGCCTCCAATGGAACGGGAAGGAGTTCACGGCCTGGTACAGTGACATGGAGACCCCACTCAAAGCTGGCCCTTTCCGGAGGCTCGGGGTCTATATCGACTTCCCGGGAGGGATCCTTTCCTTCTATGGCGTAGAGTATGATACCATGACTCTGGTTCACAAGTTTGCCTGCAAATTTTCAGAACCAGTCTATGCTGCCTTCTGGCTTTCCAAGAAGGAAAACGCCATCCGGATTGTAGATCTGGGAGAGGAACCCGAGAAGCCAGCACCGTCCTTGGTGGGGACTGCTCCCTAGACTCCAGGAGCCATATCCCAGACCTTTGCCAGCTACAGTGATGGGATTTGCATTTTAGGGTGATTTGGGGGCAGAAATAACTGCTGATGGTAGCTGGCTTTTGAAATCCTATGGGGTCTCTGAATGAAAACATTCTCCAGCTGCTCTCTTTTGCTCCATATGGTGCTGTTCTCTATGTGTTTGCAGTAATTCTTTTTTTTTTTTTTGAGACGGAGTCTCGCACTGTTGCCCAGGCTGGAGAGCAGTGGCGCGATCTTGGCTCACTGCAAGCTCCGCCTCCCGAGTTCAAGCAATTCTCCTGCCTCAGCCTCCCGAGTAGCTGGGATTACAGGTGCCTGCCACCACACCCAGCTAATGTTTTGTATTTTTAGTAGAGATGGGGTTTCACCATGTTGGCCAGGCAGATCTCAAACTCCTGACCTCGTGATGCACCCACCTCGGCCTCCCAAAGTGCTGGGATTACATGCGTGAGCCACTGCGCCCTGCCTGTTTGTAGTAATTTTTAGGCACCAAATCTCCCTCATCTTCTAGTGCCATTCTCCTCTCTGTTCAGGTAAATGTCACACTGTGCCCAGAATGGATGACCAGGAACCTTAAAGAGTGGCTGAAAAGATTGCAGAGTTATCATAATAAATTGCTAACTTGCGTATTTCCTATGTGCCAGATACCGTTCTTATGCTTCCTGCACATTAACTCAGTCCTCACAGAACACCCATTGGGTAGATGCTTATATCATCCTTATTTTGCAGATGGAGAAACTGCGGTCCGGGGCAGTTAGCTAATTTGTTCAAGGTCACTCTGGTCACATGGTGAGTGAGGGGCAGAGCTGGGATTCAAGTGTGGGTAGAATGACACTGGACTTTTTTTTTTTTTTTTTTTTTTTGAGACGGAGTCTCGCTCTGTCGCCCAGGCTGGAGTGCAGTGGCGCGATCTCGGCTCACTGCAAGCTCCGCCTCCCAGGTTCACACCATTCTCCTGCCTCAGCCTCCCGAGTAGCTGGGACTACAGGCGCCCGCTACCACGCCCGGCTAATTTTTTGTATTTTTAGTAGAGACGGGGTTTCACCGTGTTAGCCAGGATGGTCTCGATCTCCTGACCTCGTGATCCGCCCGCCTCGGCCTCCCAAAGTGCTGGGATTACAGGCGTGAGCCACCGCCCCCGGCCGACACTGGACTTTTAACCACCACATCATATTGCCTTCCTTTATTTTATTTTATTTTATTTTTTTTTTTTTTGAGACGGAGTCTCGCTCTGTTGCGCAGGCTGGAGTGCAGTGGCACAATCTCGGCTCACTGCAAGCTCCGCCTCCCAGGTTCACACCATTCTCCTGCCTCAGCCTCCCGAGTAGCTGGGACTACAGGCACCCGTCACCAAGCCTGGCTAATTTTTTGTATTTTTAGTAGAGACGGGGTTTCACTGTGTTAGCCAGAATGATCTCGATCTCCTGACCTCGTGATCCACCCGCCTCGGCCTCCCAAAGTCCTGGGATTACAGGCGTGAGCCACCGCACCCGGCCACCTTCCTTATTAGATCATGGACATTGTATAAAAGGCAATAAAATGCATAGCAGAGAAACTTCTTGAAGTTTGCAAATCCACACACAACATCTGACTCAGCCATCCTGCCTTGCACTAGCTCACTGCCTCACTGCCTCACACAGCAGTCCTTTCTATTTGGGGACAGCAAGGATTAGAAGAAATGTCTTAACAGTGTCTGAGTTTTAGTCCCTGTGACCTCTGGAAAGGGGCCCTACTCCTCTCCTCTAAAGTAACCTGGAATATGTGGACTTGTCTGATTTCTCATTCAAAGAATGGTTCTTTTAAGAACTGTCACGTAATACCCACGCCCCAGGTGTTCTTGTTTTCATATGAAATTTTCCACCTTCCTTTATGGTTCTCAGTCCTTTCCCCCTGATTATTTCATTCTTCTTTTGACAGATAAGCTTCCTAAGATTAATCATCAGCATTCATCAAGTCTTTAGGCAAATGGCAAACTGTCTTTAAATGGGTTTCTGAAGCTATAACCTGAAGTTTCTGGTGGGATTCACCAGAAATATAAATTTTGAGTCTGTTCCTGTGACCTTTGTCAAGGCAAATCTTTTTTTCTCCAATCAGTCTGATTGGCCTGTCTCAAGAGTATATTACTTTAGCATAACTTGACTTGTTACCTATATTTGTATCTAAGGATGTTTACAGTATAGGATTTAAAATGATTTTACTTTAATTTCATCACATCATTGCTTTATGCTGAGATACTTGAGATTCATGATTCCTTATCCAGTATATTGGCTCTCCTTCCTAGCTTAGTGTCACCTGCACAATTGGTAACCCTTCTTTTTTTTGAGACGGAGTCTCGCTTTGTCCCCCAGGCTGGAGTGCAATGGCACGATCTCGGCTCACTGCAAGCTCCGCCTCCTGGGTTCACACCATTCTCCTGCCTCAGCTTCCCGAGTAGCTGGGACTACAGGCGCCCACCACCACGCCCGGCTAATTTTTTGTATTTTTAGTAGAGGCGGGGTTTCACCGTGTTAACCAGGATGGTCTCAATCTCCTGACCTTGTGATCTGCCTGTCTCGGCCTCCCAAAGTGCTGGGATTACAGGCGTGAGCCACCCCGCCCGGCCATAACCCTTTCTTCTTAAGTCTTATCCTTGTTGATAAATATATCGAGGAGATTAGGACCAAATCTAGAATCTTGTGGCACTCAGTCAGTAGCTTCTAGGTTTAATTACATGCAAATTATGCACGGGTGGAACTGTGCAATAATGTAGCCCCACCTTTTTCACCTTTATCCACTGAACATGATGAAAGACATTTTCAGTGGCAGAAATCAAGATATACTATGTTTAGGCTGGGTGTGGGGGCTCATGCCTGTAATCCCAGCACTTTGGGACGCTGAGGCAGGAGGATTACCTGAAGTCAGAAGTTCGACACCAGCCTGGCCAACATGGTGAAACCCTGACTCTACTAAAAATACAAAAATTAGCCGGCCATGGTGACACGTGCCTGCGATCCCAGCTACTCAGAAGGCTGAGGCTGGAAAATTGCTTGAACCCAGGAGGTGGAGGTTGAAGTGAGCTGAGATCGTGCCACTGCACTCCAGCCGGGGCGACAGAGCAAGAAAAAAAAAAAAAAAAGATATGCTATGTCTGAACTTCTTTGATCTATCTGTCTAATAATGAGCTCAAGACAAATTGAGATCAGCTTGGACTGCCTTATTTTATTGAATCCCTGCGGGTTGTTGGTGCTTGGTCATGGTCATTTTCTTTTCTAAATGTTCACAAAATATTTGATAAACCACTTTAGATTTCTGCTGTGGGTTAATACCATGTTTACCAGTCTGTTGTTTCCAGAATCTATCTTATTTTTATTTTTAAAAAAATCGAGATGCCTGTCTGCATTCGATACAATTTGGATATTTGTCCCCTCCAAATCTTATGCAGAAATTTGATCTCCCATGTTGGAGGTGGAGCTGGGTGGGAGGTGTTTGGATAATGGGTTGGATCCCTCATGAATGGCCATGACGACACCATGCTTCTTGTATAGCCTGCATAACCATGAGACAAATCAATTTCTTTTCTTCATAAATTACCCAGCTTCAGGTATTCCTTTATAGCAACACAATGGGACTAAGACACCGTCCTCTCTCATTCTCCCTAGTTTCTCAAAGATTCCCACCTGATTTGCAGTCATGTCATTAAGTTGTGTCAGATTCCTGAAATGTAATTTACTTAGACCAGAATACTTGAGCTTATATAAAAGGAACCATTTAGGTGTCTCTTTACTTGTCTTGAACTTCATTTTCCTGTTAACTTTTTGTCTATTAGCTTTCAAGTTCAAGACCTTTCTTCTTGATATGAAAGAGCAAAGCAGAATTAAGAGTTGGGCATATTTGGGCCGGGCGCGGTGGCTCATGCCTGTAATCCCAGCACTTTGGGAGGCCATGCCTGTAATCCCAGCACTTTGGGAGGCCAAGGCGGGCGGATCATCAGGTCAGGAGTTCGAGAGCAGCCTGACCAACATGGTGAAACTCCATCTCTACTGAAAATAGAAAAAAATTAGCTGGGCATGGTGGTGTGTGCCTGTAATCCCAGCTACTCAGGAGGCTGAGGCAGGAGAATTGCATGAACCCAGAGGCAGAGGTTGCAGTGAGCCGAGACTGCACGACTGCACTCCAGCCTGGGTGACAGAGCAAGACTCCGTCTCAAAAAAAAAAAGAGTTGGGCATATTTGCCTTCTGTCACTGCCTCAAGCAGTGGGCACATCTTTTTTCTTTTTCTTGGTCTAAAAACTGAAAAATGACTAAAACAAATAGAAAAAAAAATAGAACAAGGGTTTATTTTATATTCTCTGGCATTTTCCTTAGCTGTGTGTATGCCACTCTTTTGTATTCACCCATCCTTATCTTTTCTTCCATTATGTAGACTTACAAAAAAAAAAAACAAAAAAAACACTGAACAAAAATCTGAATTCACCAAGAGCTCACTTTGGTGCCACATGGTTCTGCTCCATTACCAGACCATTTGTAATTGCAGAGTCAGAATGTAATTTTAACCACCATGTCCATAATTTATTCTTGTCTCAACTTTTTGAAATCTGAGTGTATATAGCATTCCTTTCTGAGTATCTTATGAATTATAAGTAAATTCCCACTTTCTCCCAAGAGGCATGATGAAATGATGACATAACGGGATTGGCCCAATCACAGAGCTCTTATCCCCTCAGTCTGGCTCAGCATGTTTTTGGAATGATGTCCCTAAATTAAGTAGTCTAAATATACGTGGCACTTATAATGTGCAAGCTGCTGTGCTAGACGCTAAGAAAGAGTAACCCAGAAACTAACTAGCTGTGTCATTTGATCACAAGAAGGGGATTTAAACTGAAGTAAAACTGTTCATATGTGAAGAGCTAAATAGGAATCTGCTCTTCAAGAGAATAATAGACAAGGTGATGTATAAAACAGGTTTCTCACTCTGTGTCCTAGGGTGCTGCTGCGTTTTCGCAGGCCATCTTTAGGGACTGGCTTCTGTCTTGTGTCCTTGAGTGACCTACTCCCTGGTTTCCCCCCATCTCTGCAGCCACTGCCTCCATTCCAGGGGCCACCACTCCAGCCCCAGATGAAAGATGGAAGAAAAGGTAGTGCATGTATTTCCTGCTTCTCCTGGCTTCCTCAGATTTCAGCACCGACTCCCTCCCTCTGCACCTGTGATTAGACATCTTGGCAGCTGGGGAGGAGGCCCTTGCAGGGCAACCTGCTGTTGATATGCCCCCAATATGTCCATGCAGGGCACAGACTGTGCATGGCTCGGGTAGAGTGTTGGCCATCCCTGCCTTGCTGGAATGTGCCTAGTTTTTAATCTCTATTTCTGGCTTGCTCTGTAGTCTTGTTGGGAAAATCCCACTGTCTCCCAGAAGGAAGTAGTCCAAGTACTGGAAAAGGAGGGAGAACAGATCATTTCATAAGGACCAAGGGTCAATATAGCAGTGGTCAGTCATTTTAGGTGAAAAACCTTTCCCCCACATTAATAACTTAAGTAGTGACCCTGATGATCACCTGAAAGAAAGTGTGTATATATGTGCATGCTCTGGTTTCTCATGAACAAAAGCTTTTTAAATTTTTTTTTCTTTTTTTTTTGAGATGGAGTCTCACTCTGTCGCCTAGGCTGGAGTGCAGTGGCGCTGTCTCGGCTCACTGCAAGCTCCGCCTCCCGGGTTCTCGCCATTCTCCTGCCTCAGCCTCCCGAGTAGCTGGGACTACAGGCACCCACCACCACGCCCAGCTAATTTTTTGTATTTTTTAGTAGAGACGGGGTTTCACCATGTTAGCCAGGATGGTCTCGATCTCCTGACCTCATGAGCCGCCCACCTCGGCCTCCCAAAGTGCTGGGATTACAAGCGTGAACCACCGCGCCCGGCCAAGCTTTTTAAAATTCAACTTCCAACCAGTGTAATACCACATGATGGGAAGGCGAGAGATGAGATATCACACTTTTTCCACACTCCCTAATGATACTAATAATACTTGTTAGCTCCTCACATGGTGTAAAAGTCTACTCATTTGACCCCGACAGCCACCTATGAGCTAGGTAGGACCGTGGTCTCTACTTCATGGAAGAGGAGCAGGCTGAGACTAGCAAGTGAATTATTCAGGCATATGAAGCTGCTCCGTGGCAGAGCCCAGTTCATTCCTTGCCCTCCTACTCTGAAACCTGTGTGCTTTCCCGAGTCCCTGCTGGCTGGCCAGGCCAGGTGGCAGTAGGGGAAGGCAAAGGGGCTGGGCTGGAGCCAGCAGAGGCTCAGGTCCTCTGGTGCAGTGTCAAGTGTGACATCAGAGCCGGATGGGTGTGACACATTGTCCTCTATCTGGCCCAGCAGCGGCCGCACCTTCCAAGCTTCTCCATACTATGTGGGAAGGCAGGAAAAGCAAGTGCAGATTTAGGGTTGTGTGCTGAGGAGGTTTTATCGGGATCATGAATAAAACAGGGCGGAAAGGAAAGATAGGGGACTGGCACGAAGCCTCCAGGCTGCTCGTAGCCTGAATACTTGAGAGGTCGCAGATGTCCTTCGCATCCTATAGCCTTCCTCGGAGAAGTGCTCTCCCCCACTGGACTCCTGTGAGTCGGTCTGATGAGGCCTATTTGCCCACCTGCCTGTTTGAGTACCACTGGCGCCATGTCCCTGCATTGGCCTATCCCATCTGGCCCATCTATCCTGCCCTGTGCCAAGGCCACATTTTTTTTTTTTTTTGAGACAGTCTCGCTCTCTCGCCCAGGCTGGAGTGCAGTGGCACATCTCCGCTCATTGCAAGCTCCGCCTCCTGGGTTCACGCAATTCTCCTGCCTCAGCCTCCCGAGTAGCTGGAACTACAGGCGCCCGCCACCACACCCGGCTAATTTTTTGTATTTTTTTTTTAGTAGAGACGGGGTTTCACCGTGTTAGCCAGGATGGTCTCGATCTCCTGACCTCGTGATCCGCCTGCCTCAGCCTCCCAAAGTGCTGGGATTACAGGCATGAGCCACTGCGCCTGGCCTAAGGCCACATTTTTAACTGTAACATCAGATCCCAAATGGCTTCAACTTCCCCCCAAAGTCGGGTGTATGGCCCAACCTCTGAAAGGTGCAGGCCAGCAGGAGGCAGGGAGGAAGGGAGTGAGGCGCTGCCCTCTCGCACTCACTTGCTCTGGAGCACCCCTTGTCCCTCTATTCTCAGGAGGCAGCCCATTGTCATCTTCTCAAAGAAGCTGTTTAGAAAAGGAGGTGCCGAGGGGCAACAACATACTATGGTCCACAGGTGTTTGAGGAGAACCGTGTGTGTGCAGTGTTGAGGGAGAGGGGATACGACTCATGTCTGAAACCTAGTCTCTCTCTCTGACTCCCAAGTTTGTAGCCCTGAAATGTGAAATAAAGACTGAGTTGGGTGATTAAAACTGCTTCCTTGGCCTGGGGTGGTGGCTCACGCTGTAATCCCAGCACTTTGGGAGGCTGAGGCGGGCGGATCACTTGAGGTCAGGAGTTTAAGACCAGCCTGGCCAACATGGCAAAACCTCGTCTCTACTAAAAATATAAAACTCAGCTGGGCATGGTGGCCCATGCCTGTAATCCCAGCTACTCGGGAGGCTGAGGCAGGAGAATCACTTTAACCCGGGAAGCAGAGGTTGCAGTGAGCCGAGATGCCACCACTGCCCTCCAGCCTGGGGGATAGAGCAAGACTCTGCCTCCAAAAAAAAAAAAAAAAAAAAAAAAATGCTTCCTTGAAGAATGTCAGCCTCATAGATAAAATCCTAATTTATTTAAATCTTTAAAAACAAGCTATTTATAATCTGTCAATTATAAATAAACAAGTTAATTACGAAAAAAAAAAAAGAGCTACTTTTAACTTGCAGCACTTCTTAGGGTAATGTGCCCGCCTTACAGATCCAAAGAGTCTGCTTCGGGCCTCCCTTCTCTTTGCCACCCTCCTTTGTCTGGCCTTCCCGATTAATTAAATATTAATCTACTCATGCCTTTTCTCCAGATTCCTCTTCAGACAGAAGAGGTTGAGCTGTGAGAACTGATCTCATTCTTAACCTGATTCCTATTCCCCATTCTGACCCTAGTATGTGACTGCCATTGCCAACAAAACCCCAGCGATGGACTCCATTACCTTTCTCTGGTTGTGCCTGATCTTTCAACATGGGCATTAGAAAGGCACACAATATTGTAAACCTTTTGATTTTATCTAGGGTAATAATACTTAGTAACAATAGCAGCAACAACTGATCTCATATATTTAATGCAATCCTAGAAGGTAGTTATCATTTTTATTACCCACCTTTATCTTCTCCATCCTCATAACTAGGATGGAGACACTGAGGCTCAGAGAGGACAGGTTGCTTGCTCAAGACCATATAGCTCCTAAGTACCAGAGTCAATGTTTGAACCGAGTCTTACCTGAAGTAGGAGAATTATCTCAGCATGACTTTGAAACTCTTTCTGTGAGCTGCCCAATATGTTTTGCCTGGGCACTTTGACTACAGTGAGATTTCTGGTTAGTATTGTGAAGCAGTTAAATAACTTAAATTTACATTAAACATTTCTGGTTTTACTTTGATGATGACTTAAGAAAATGAATATAAACATATTTAGCATCATTGGGATAGCCACTTTGTAACTGAACAGATATAAACATAAGAAGTTTGCATCTTATTTTATATTCATGAATATTCAGAAGCCATATATAACAACAATAATTAAAGCGCAACACCAGTAATAGTCCACATATTACTTAAATTTGACTAACAGTATTCTTGTTGTTCTAGAAATGAGATGACCAGCTCTTTCAGAATATACAGCAACTGCCTCCACATAAAGCAGTGCCAGGTTTAGGAGATTTACGGTAAAGCCATGTTTCCAAGGAGGTCTGTACAAAAAGCCAGACTTCTGCTGGCAGTTACTGAGAGAGATAGGCTTTCCATCCATGGCAGCCATTTACTTTTGCTCTGGGAGACGTTTGTAATAGAAAAGGCACAACTGGGGTATTTATTCATTTCCCCCCGTTCCTCTAGTGTTTGGTGGCGTTGCCGTTGCAAGTGCGCAGGGCTAAAATGAACTGGTTATCTTAGGATCATGGAAAACCTGGAATCAAGGCTCAAGAATGCCCCCTATTTTCGTTGTGAGAAGGGAACCGATTCCATCCCTCTATGCCGGAAGTGTGAGACGCGTGTCTTAGCCTGGAAGATCTTCTCTACCAAAGAGTGGTTCTGCAGGATCAATGACATATCACAGAGGAGGTTTCTAGTTGGCATTCTGAAGCAGTTAAATAGCTTATATTTGTTACACTATTTCCAAAATATCCTTCAGACCACACAGGGAAAGGATTTCATCTATAACAGGTCCCGGATCGACCTCAGCAAGAAAGAGGGGAAAGTTGTGAAGTCCTCCTTGAACCAAATGTTGGATAAAACAGTAGAACAGAAGATGAAAGAGATCTTGTATTGGTTTGCGAACAGCACCCAGTGGACCAAGGCGAATTATACTCTCTTACTGCTGCAGATGTGCAACCCCAAATTACTGCTCACTGCTGCCAATGTGATCAGAGTCCTGTTTCTGAGAGAGGAGAACAATATCTCAGGTAAACAAGGCCACAGGCAGAGACTAGAGGGCCCCCGAAGACCAGAAGGCAAGGCTTCAGAAATCTGTAAGGAACTGCAGTTGTAGACAACATAGGTAGACAGAGATTGCACAGAATGCAGCATAGGTTTTTTGAACTGACACCTCGTCCTGACACCCGATCCTGTTTACCAAAGGAGAAATGACTGAGTGTAACTTCCTTCTTGAAAATGATCAATGCAGGAGGAAGTACACAACTTTTAACTCACAAGCATTTATCATAGATTTCTGCATTTCATAGGCCCAGAAATGGCTGGTCCCTGCCCCTGACCCCTTAATGCTGGTGTCGTTCCTGCTTTAGGGATTGGACTGAGCTTGAGAGGGTTGTAAAGGGGAAGCTTTTGTTTTTCTCTTCAGCTGCCCTGCACAGAAACCAGACCAAGAAGTCAAAACTTAGGGCTTTTTTTTTTTTTCATTCACTCTACCATGCTCCTTGCTTATCCATGAAATGAAACCTTAAAGTAGAGTTTCTCCAAGGCTGGAGATAGCTTAAGGGCCAAATAAGTCTAGGGTGGTAGTTCTCCAGCTGTGGCTTGTATCAGGATCTCCAGCAGGACCTGTTAAAACAAGCTCCTCCCCCAGAACTTCAGACTCAGCAGGTCTGAGGTGGGCCCAGGATTCTGTATTCCTTTTCTTTTTTTTTTGAGATGGAGTCTCGCTGTCACCCAGGCTGGAGTGCAGTGGTGCGATCTTGGCTCACTGAAACCTCCACCTGCTGGGTTCAAGCAATTCTCCTGCCTCAGCCTCCCAAGTAGCTGGGACTACAGGTGCGTGCCACCATGTCCTAATTTTTTTGTATTTTTTGGTAGAGACGGGGTTTCACCATGCTGGCCAGGCTGGTCTCGGACTCCTGACCTCGTGATCCGCCTGCCTCGGCCTCCCAAAGTGCTGGGATTACAGGCGTGAGCCACTGCACTCAACCAGGGATTCTGTATTTCTAACAAGTTTCCAGCTAGTGCTGATGTTGCTGGACTGGGGATCTGTCTTTGAGAATCACAGGCCTAGGGTGTTGGAGAATCTTGGAAGTGTTTGGCCAGATAGTTCAGGGAAGCAGAAGAAACAATAAGGGTGGTGTCTGTTTTGCCTTGGTATAAAGGAATACCTGAGGCTAAGTAATTTATAAGGAAATTTCTAAGGAAAAGAGTTTTATTTGGCTCACAGTTCTGAAGACTGTACCAGAAGCATGGCACCAGCATCTCTTTCTGGTGAGGGCTTCAGAAAGCTTCCACTTATGGTGGAATGCAAGGGAAATCAACGTATCGTGAGGCAAGAGAAGTAGCAAGAGAAGGGGAGGGGTGTCAGTTTCTTTTAAACAGCCAGCTCTTGCTCGAACTATATTAATAGAGCGAGAACTCACTCATTACTGTGGGAAGGGCACCAAGCCATTCATGAGGAATCTGCCCCCATGACCCAAAAACCTCCCATCAAACCTCACTTCCAGCATTGGGGGTCACATTTCAACATGAGATTTGGAGGGGACAAATATCCAAACTGTATCAGGAGGCAAGAGAATTGAGCCTTGGAGGGGTCCAGGAGTGGAAGGTCCAACATGGGGAAGCTCAGATTTAAGCAGAGGTGGGAGAAAGCTGGGAGGGGGTGGTCACATGGAGGCGTTTTGGAGTTTTAGCTCTTGAAGGTGTGTAATTCCTGTCACCAGTGCGACCTGACAGGTGGTCATATTTGTAGACTAGTGGAATCCAAAAGAATTTTAAAGCTGGATGGCCTAGGACACAATTAGATCACAATATATGTCACTTGATTTATTTGGTGTGTCAGGGGTATGGAAGAATGATAATATAGAATGAAGACACAGTGAATCCTAGGGTGTCAAAAACAGTAAGTTAGATTGGAGATCAACCGACTTAATATCCTTAATATTTACATAAGGAGACCAAAGTCCAGGGCATCTGAATGACTTTGCTTAGGTCACCCACCACGTGGGCTGAAAACCACGATCCCCTCCTGGGCCCCTTCCACTCTGGAGTGAGTGCTGCCAGCAGCAGAAGGCCTGGCTTGTACACACAGATGCAATGCTCCGCAGTGCTCTTCCAAAACTTCATCCCATTCACCATAGGAATGGGCTATTTACACTGGAGTTGTGTTAAGTCCTATTACAGGTTGTGGCAACCTTCTTCTTTTTTTTTTTTTTTTTTTTTTTGAGACAGAGTCTCACTCTGTTGCCCAGGCTGGAGTGCAGTGGCCTGATCTTGGCTCACTGCTGCAAGCTCCGCCTCCCGGGTTCACGCCATTCTCCTGCCTCAGCCTCCTGAGTAGCTGGGACTACAGGTGCCTGCCACCACCACGCCCGGCTAATTTTTTTTGTATTTCTAATAGAGACGGGGTTTCACCGTGTTAGCCAGGATGGTCTCCATCTCCTGACCTTGTGATCCGCCTGCCTCAGCCTCCCAGAGTGCTGGGATTACAGGCATGAGCCATCACGCCGGACCAACAACCTTCTCTTTTCTTAGAGCAGACTCTCTCTTAAAAAATTAAATGTTCTGGTTGGGCGCAGTGGCTCACGCTTGTAATCCCAGCACATTTGGAGGCCGAGGCGGGTGGATCACCTGGAGTCAGGAGTTCGAGACCAGCCTGGCCAACATGGCGAAACCCCATCTGTACTAAAAATACAAAAAATAGCCAGGTGTCATGCACTTGTAATCCCAGCTACTTGGGAGGCTGAGGCAGGAGAATCACTTGAACCCAGGAGACGGAGGTTGCAGTGAGCCAAGACCGAGCCATTGCACTCCACCCTGGGCAATAAGAGCAAAACTCAGTCTCAAAAACCAAAAACAAACAAACCAAAAAAAAGTTAAATGTTCTATTTTGACTCGAGGGTGGTTATTTCTATCATTGAAGAAAATTCAGCTTGAGCTTCCGAAGAGCATTCCCTGTTGCAGTTCCTGACCTCGACTCTCTCTCTCTGCTTGTATAAACAACTCGAGACATTTTACAATGGGGGCGTGCTGAAAAGCTAACAGGAAGCTTTCTGAGATTTTTGCATAGAAGTTTGGAGGCCCCAAATAAAAACAGACATAACTGCTCTGGTCCATTCTGTACATCTTTAAAAGAAGGAAGAAAAAATGAAAAAGTTTCTCTCCACCTCATTTTCCTCAACACACCCACTTCAAGAGCAACCTTGTCTTGGTCTTCTGTGTTTCAGGGCTCAATCAAGACATCACAGATGTGTGTTTTTCCCCTGAGAAAGACCACAGCTCCAAGTCTGCGACCTCACAAGTCTATTGGACAGCCAAAACTCAGCACACATCCCTTCCTTTGTCCAAAGCCCCAGAAAATGAACACTTCCTTGGGGCAGCATCTAACCCTGGTAAGTGAACTTTCAGCAAGAAAGCCAATATGGGCTAGGTGCGGTGGCTCACGCCTGTAATCCCAGCACTTTGGGAGGCCGAGGCAAGCAGATCATGAGGTCAGGAGATCGAGACCATCCTGGCTAACATGGTGAAACCCCGTCTCTACTAAAAATACAAAAAAATTAGCCGGGCGCAGTGGCAGGCACCTGTAGTCCCAGCTACTGAGGCAGCAGAAGGGCGTGAAGCCGGGAGGCAGAGCTTGCAGTGAGCCGAGATCATGCCACTGCACTCCAGCCTGGGCAACAGAGCGAGACTGTCTCAAAAAAAAAAAAAAAAAAAAGAAAGCCAATATGCAACCAATGTGAGATTGGGAAGACCCAGTGGAACTGGAGGGGCTGGCAGGGTGATAGCATCTGGGGATGGCAGATTTGAGGAACTCACATTCATTTAGCATCTACAATGTGCTGGGCTCTTTGACATTACTTTCCCATCTAATTCTCACAGCTGGTAAGGGGAGGAGCAAGGATTAAATTGATCAATATGGCCCCCAAACCCATATTTGCACCTCTCCGCTGCAGTGCCCACAAGACACATCTGAAAATAGAGATCAGAAAGGAAACTATCAATGATTTCCTTTGGAGTCTTTCTCTGCTCTGGGCCACAATCCATCATCTAGTCCCTGGGCTCTGGCATGGTGGCCAGCTCTAGAATTAAACCCACCAATGGCTATTTTTGCAGTATTGGATTCAGTCTTGAGGAGGGAACAAAACTAATGGGGAATTTGGTTCCCCACCTCAAGGCACTCCTAAGTTGGGAACTGAAGCAAGACATATACATGAAATATCATCGGAAACACAATATCGTAGGAAATACAAGGCATAGATTCTAAAACACTTTTATATGGAAAATTTCAAATTTCAAAAGTATGTAGAACAGTATGATAACCACCCACCCACATAGCACTGGCTTCAACAATTATCAACACTTTACCAATTTTATTCCATTCATTTTCCCCCCTTTCTTAAGTTGTTTAAAATTTTTTCTTGTTGGAGTATTTTTAAGAAAATTCCAGGCACAATATCATTTCAGACTCTGATACTCTAGACTTCTCCTTGGGCTGAAAAAGCTGAAAAGCACATGTATATTTGGGTCAAAAGATTCTATTCTCGGCCGGGTGCAGTGCCTCACGCCTGTAATCCCAGCACTTTGGCAGGCTGAGGCGGGCGGATCACACGGTCAGGAGATCGAGACCATCCTGGCTAACACGGTGAAACCCCGCCTCTACTAAAAAAAAAAATACAAAAAATTAGTCGGGCGTGGTGGCGGGCGCCTGTAGTCCCAGCTACTCAGGAGGCTGAGGCAGGAGAATGGCGTGAACCCGGGAGGCAGAGCTTGCAGTGAGCCGAGATCGCGCCACTACACTCCAACCTGGGCGACAGAGCGAGACTCCGTCTCAAAAAAAAAGATTCTATTCTCAAGTGGCAGAAGAGATGACAAAAATCTAGTGGCCTAAGGTTAGAGTCTGAGGAGGTTTATTTTGTGGGAGAGCTTTTGGTGGGGACTTGTTCTCGGCCTGGAGTTTCTACAGAGCCAACTCAACCACGTACCTTTCTCCGGCTTCACTCTAGAGGAACCATGGAGGAATTCACTCCGGTGTATATCCGAAATGAATAGGCTGTTTTCTGGAAAAGCAGACATAACCAAGCCAGGGTACGATCCCTGCAATCTATTGGTTGACCTGGATGACATCAGAGACCTGTCTTCTGGGTTCAGCAAATACCGAGACTTCATCCGTTACCTGCCCATCCACCTCTCCAAGTACATTCTAAGTATGCTGGGGTGTATGAGGGGATTTCCCAGACACCTCCCCTCTTGGCCCAGTTCTGGGGTTTCTGGGTCCATCTTTTTTTTTTTTCCAGGAATGCTGGATAGACACACCCTGAACAAGTGCGCCTCTGTGAGCCAGCACTGGGCCGCCATGGCTCAACAGGTCAAGATGGACTTGTCAGCGCACGGCTTCATTCAGAACCAGATTACCTTCTTGCAGGTACTTCCTGCAAGTCTGAAAGGGGAATGTCTGAGACCAGCTTCATTTTCGTGTTGAGGCTGATATGACTGTGGACCTTTCAGTAAACCCTTAGCTGGCCTCCTCCTCTACATTTGTGGCCTTTTAGGCTTCCTGGGTCCCTTCTTTTTGGTCCAAACTCCTGTTAATAACTGAGTACTCTTTCATTGTCAGTGCATGTCACAAGGACAATAGGGATAGAGACCGCTCAGGAGCAGAGAGACAGAGCCTTTCCAACACCTCACAAAGCAGAGAACCCCCAGCCCCCAGGGAGTTATATTGCAGCTTATGCAGCAAGAAAGCCATAAATGTGTCTCTGCATCAACCTCATATGGAGCACAGATGTTTATAAGGCTGCAAAGTATTTTTTTAAGTTAAAATGAAATTTTCCCCAATGGCAGTCTTCTCCAGCATTTTTACTTCTCAGTTTCTTGCCAGAAGTCTCACCCTAAACCATGGATTTTGGTAACTTGGATTTTTTTTTTTTCCCCAGCAGAGAGGACAGAGGATGAGAAGCAGCAGCTATGGTGAGGCTGGCGACAGTCTGACCATCTTTGCTGGTCCCCCTGTGGCATTTGGTGTTTATTTTTCTCCTCCATTCGATCTGCACACACTGCCAGAGGAACTGGCCAGAAGTGGGCCTGCCTGCTGCAGCCAGGGCTTACCCATCCTTCAGATTTTGCCAAGAACTAGTTTTTCCCTTCCTCCTGCAGAGTTGGAGCCAAGAGAAGCCATTTTCTGTTTTTATTTTTGGTTTTTTTTTGTTTTTCCAGGGGTCCTATACAAGAGGAATTGATCCTAATTATGCCAATAAGGTTTCTATCCCAGTTCCTAAAATGGTAGATGACGGGAAGAGCATGCGTGTGAAACATCCGAAGTGGAAGTTGAGAACGAAGGTGGGTTCCAACAGCATCTGGGGCAAGTAGCTGTGAGCGTCTCATTCTAATTGCCATTGAAGGCTGAGGTCCAGACTCAGCCCTGGAGTGAGGACAGAGGATCACGGCAGGTGACACTCCTTAAGGAAGACGAGAGTTCTGTGTTGCTACTGACTTGCAAGACACTTCCTCTTTTTTTTTTTTAAATGAGATGGAGTCTCACTATGTCACCCAGGCTGGAGTGCAGTGGCACAGTCTTGGCTCACTGCAAGCTCCGCCTCCCGGGTTCACGCCATTCTCCTGCCTCAGCCTCCTGAGTAGCTGGGACTACAGGAGCCCGCCACCAAGCCCGGCTAATTTTTTGTATTTTTTTTTTTTAGTAGAGGCGGGGTTTCACCGTGTTAGCCCCGATGGTCTTGATCTCCTGACCTTGTGATCCGCCCGCCTCGGCCTCCCAAAGTGCTGGGATTACAGGCGTGAGCCACCGCGCCCAGCCCGACACTTCCTCTTCTTAAGCCTTGCTTTACTCATGTGTTGGATGGGTGGATTGATTTGGTTGTCTTCTCAGGGTTCTTCCTTACTTCAAAGCCCCTGGCCGTGTTTTGTGTCCATGGCACCAGGTCATTTAGTGGCAAGTTCAGAGGCCAGGAGCAACCCCATCAGCCCATGCCTCTGGAGGATCCAGCATCTGCTGCTCAGGAATTTGAGGAGGACCCGAGGGGAGGGCCAGGGCTGGTTCCAGAATGCCTAGGGCCTAGATGAATTTGGCTCCCTCATCCCTCACTTTCAGGTTTACTCTGGCTCTAGGATGGAAGGGGAAAGTTAATTAAATATAGCCCTTTCCACTAGTTCTTGGGCAATAATGAAGAGTGACCGGAAGACTCTTCGAGCTCTTTGCTTTGACTATCAAGGCATGGTTGATATTCCTAAAACCATTAGATTTCTGCGCCCCCCCACCTGCTTAAAGTCTATTTTGAAGTCTATTTAATTGGCCCCAAAAGGATAGTTGATGAGGGATGGTTTGACTGTCGCTTCCCATAAGGCAGCTATGTTAAATTAGAATTTGAGAAACAGAAGCATCCAGAGAGAGCATCTAGTTCATATGACCTGTAGGGGCCAGGCAGGTGACACAAAGGAGGAGACGGGTGGTGTGGGGAGTAGCGGACGGTGTGGCTGTCATGGACTGGACAGTTCACCTGCATCTGAAGGGCCAGCTGCTCATCAGTTCTGGCTAATTATTGTCTTGAGAGATTGTCTTGAGGCCCCTGACCGCTAGACCATCTAAGTCTTGGAAGATAGAAACCTGAGGTATTATGTGAAATCTCTTGCTTTTATTAAATGCTGGCAACCATTTAAAAGCAGTTTTAAAAACTACATAGGCCAAAGAAAACACATTTCTGGGCCAGGTGCAGCGGCTCACGCCTGTAATCCCAGCACTTTGGGAGGCCGAGGCGGGCGGATCACGAGGTCAGGAGTTTGAAACCAGCCTGGCCAACATAGTGAAACCCTGTCTCTACTAAAAATACAAAAAATTAGCCAGGCATGGTGGCAGTGCCTCTAGTCCCATCTACTCGGGAGGCTGAGGCAGGAGAATGGTGTGAACCCGGGAGGCGGAGCTTGCAGTGAGCCGAGATTGCGCCTCTGCACTCCAGCCTGGGTGACAGAGTGAGATTCCATCTCAAAAAAAAAAAAAAAAAAGAAAACACATTTCTGGATTTCCTTTGACCTGCAGTTTTTCATTTCTGAGCTGGTCCCTTCACCCATTTTATAGATAAAGAAACTGAGGCGCAGAGAGGTCAAGCTCTCCCAGCCAGCTGAGTGAAAGAGGTATTCATTTGAACGTGGACCTGCTTTTGTTTTCAAGTCTGTTGCTGTTTTAAGTATAACACAAAGAACACCCTTCTTCCTTGGGTGATACAGTCAGTAATGGCCCAACAGAAGGACTACCCAGCCAGTGTTTGACATTCTAGGAAGTTTTGACAGAACTGGACTGTATTGACAGAATTGTACTGTCATCTTGGACAAACACCGCCACTTTAAGTTCCAGGTCCCTTTCTAGTCTCATGAATTTCAAGGAAATCTCTTCTAACTACAAGCAGCCAGAAAGAACAGACAGTAAAACACAGATAAGACATCTAGGGCACAGAGGGATGTGGGGGGAAAGTCTCTTGGGTAACTACCAAACTTCACCCTCATACAGTGGGCCCAAGTAAAACAGTGGGCCATCATGAGCACATTCCTTTCCATTCAAGTGCACTAAGATAGTGAAGCTAAAGCAGACTTGGGGGTATGCCTGCAGCTGCAGAAAGATGTATGGGGACAGACACACAACTCTCCCTCCCAGATAAGCACAACAAAGAGACACAGAAGCAGTCCAAGCATCTGATAAACTCTCCCACCCTGAATCCTTAAAGACTCTTAGTCTGTAAGAGAGTGCGGCTTCTGATGTAACTCGGTCAGAATTCCCTCCCAGATTTGAAATAAACCTGTTGACTGTCAAGCCACCCTTCGCCTTTCTCTCCTCTTTCTTTAATTCTTACATGTGTAATTTAAGAAAAGGGGCCAGGCGCAGTGGCTCATGCCTGTAATCCCAGCACTTTGGGAGGCTGAGGCAGGTGGATCACCTGAGGTCAGGAGTTCAAGGCCAGCCTGGCCAACATGACAAAACCCTGTCTCTACTAAAAATATAGAAAATTAGCCAGGCATGGTGGTGCATGCCTATAATCCCAGCTACCCGGGAGGCTGAGGCAGAAAAATCACTTGAACCCAGGAGATGGAGGTTGTAGTGAGCCGAGATCACGCCACTGCACCACTCCAGCCTGGGCAAGAGAGCGAGACTCCATCTCAAAAAAAAAAAAAAAAAAAAAAAGAAAGAAAGAAAGAGAGAGAAAAGGGAGAGAAGCAGAGAAGCAGGTGAAACAGTATGGAGAACACATGAAATAGCAAGACTAAGCAGTTACAGAGTCTCCTGGGAAAAGCGGAGGTGAGTGCTTCTCAGGGTGGTGAGTAATAGCATGAGTATAAACTGTGTGCCTGATGCCCGTAGCTCTGCATACAGCATTTACTTGATTTCACCATAGATCGAGGAGGTGTTGTTGCTCCCAGTTTATGGATGTGGAAATGAAGGATATGGTGTGAGAAAGTGGCCGAGGTCTCACAGCTGGGCAGTGGCAGAGCTGGAATTTAAACTCAGGTCTTTCCCTTCCCAATGACTCCACCATGTGGCTTCTTGGGCTCACAAAACTTAGGAGATGAGCAAGGGCCAATGAATTCTCACCTGGGTTGGGAGAATCCAGGGCGGCATTATTTAATTCAGGCTGGGATATGGAAAACTCCCTGGACACTGGAGGGGAGGCAGGTTGGCAGATTCTTCTGAGCAGAGATAGACTACATGGTTAAAGATTAAGAAGGAGAGGGAGCAGAGGAAAGAGGGCATCTGAGGAAGAGTCTAAAGGCATGGAGCAGAAGGCTAAGGTTTGGAAGGAGACTTCAGAGATGTCCCCAAGAGGACTCTCAGGTGCAAACATGATGCTGTGTTCTTCTTTGCCTTCAAGATAAATATATTCTGCTTTTTCTTCCTGCTAGTCTAATGGGACTGTTATTTCTGGCTATTTGAGGATAGAATATGGCAGGGAATATAAATGGAACTGAGAGTCTAGTTCAGTCATCTATGCCAGAATTTAGCATGTCTGGAATGCCAGAAGGTGTGTGATAGAGGAAGCAAAGGAGGGAGGGAAGGAGGGAGGACGAATGAAGGCAGGCAGGCAGGAAGGAAATAAAGAAAGACTGGGAAGCAAATGAAAGCGCCCCTGTCAAGACTTGATAAAATGATTTCCTTTCCCTGAGTCCCAGATACCTTATCTGTAAAATAATGAGAACATTTTGTGGGGCAAGTGATCTACTTTGTAAGGCAGCTACAAGGACAAATGAAAGTTGCAGATGTATGAAAACTTTGAAATGCAAATGCAGGCTGGTCGTGGTGGCTCACACGTGTAATCCCAGCACTTTGGGAGGCTGAGGCAGGCAGATCACGTGAGGTCAGGAGTTCGAGACCAGCCTGGCCAACGTGGTGAAACTCCGTCGCTACTAAAAATACAAAAATTAGCCAGGCGTGGTGGCACATGCCTGTAATCCCCACTACTTAGGAGGTTGAGGCAGGAGAATTGCCTGAACTCGGGAGGCGGAGGTTGCAGTGAGCCAAGATCATGCCATTGCACTCCAGCCTGGGTAAGAAGAGTGAAACTCCGTCTTAAAAAAATTGCAGCCGGGCCTGGTGGCTCACGCCTGTAATCCCAGCACTTTGGGAAGCCGAGGCAGGCAGATCACAAGGTCAAGAGATCGAGACCATCCTGGCTAACATGGTGAAACCCTGTCTCTACTAAAAATACAAAAATTAGCTGGGCATGGTGGTGCACGCTTGTAGTCCCAATTACTCTGGAGGCTGAGGCAGGAGAATCACTTGAACCCAGGAGGGCGGAGGTTGCAGTGAGCTGAGATTGCACCACTACACTCCAGCCTGGTGACAGAGCGAGACTCCGTCTGAAAAAAAAAAAAAAAAATGCAAATGCATAGCATAGCATGTGTAGCAGTAATTTCACAGTTGGCTTAAAATCCCCTGAGTGTGCTTTGTACTATCAGGTAGATGTAATATACATATGACGTTCCGACTTCTGTGAAATGGTCGGTCAAAGGGCACCTGTGACTTTATGTTGTGAGGATACCCTTTGTGAGCTGATTTTTGAAAAAGTTGTGTTATTGGTGACATTTGGAATTCAGCCTTGAAAGTTCATGGAATCAGGGCACATGGAAAATCAAAGAGATGAAAGAAGAATTAAGAACCTTGACCCAACATTTTCTAACTCATGGTTTCCTTTGGTGCTTGCTCACTGGCTGCTCCCTTCTCTGCAGAGCAGCAGCCTCAGCCTTCAGAGGAAGAATCTGTGAGCCCTGTGCCCTTACCAGGGAGACCCTAGGGGCTCTGGGACTGTGGGTATTTGAAGTTACCACTGAGCTTTAACTTCAAATATTCCCTTGTTAGAATGAGTACAACCTGTGGACTGCATACCAGAACGAGGAAACGCAGCAGGTCCTGATGGAGGAGAGAAATGTTTTCTGTGGGACCTACAATGTTCGCATTCTCTCTGACACGTAGGTACTGGGGTCAGAATCTGGGTCTCTAGGGACGCTTGAGTTATCCACACTGACATTTGGGATTTCCCTGACCTTTGTGTACATGGAAAGGCAAGCTCTCCTCACCTCAAGCTCCAGCCCTAAACTCGCACATGATCCCATGTAGACAATACCTGCTTCATTTTGCACCATTCTTGGCAGTGGGTAAAGGACACTTTCCCTTTCTAAATTTTGGGTATGCTGACCAACAACTTTTTGCACAAGTCACACATAAAATCTTTATTTTTTGAAATATCTTTATTTTGTTTTATTAATTTTAGAAATAATATACGGTTATTGGAAAAAATCTTTCAAATGCCAGAAAATGTATAGAGAAAGGCAAAGTTTTCCTGTAGTCTATCACCTAGCAATAACCACCATTAATATTGATGTCTACCCTTCTAGAATTCTTTTCTTTGCATACTTAGCACATATTTTAGTAGAAGTGGTGTTATATTACACATATTTCTGTAACCCAGCCCAGCAAAGTACTATAGATATCTTCCCATGGTAAATATGACAATCGTATTTATAATTGCATACTCTGACATCATTTCAATATGCCGAGAGACGAAGGTCCTTTAATAAGCAACTTTCTGCCATATTTTAGGCCTAGGACTTCACTTTATATTCACAAGGTTTTGCAAAGTCCACTTCTACTTTATTTTTGGCCATGAATCTTATTAACAAATTGCATCTTGACAATAGAACAGTCAGTATGGGGAAGACAGAACAGATAAGATAGGGGAAAGGCAAAGTTGAATTTTTATGCTTAGTGTGGTGATAACTGCTCTTTAGAAGAGATGGTGACTAGTTGAACTCTAGGTATGACAAACGGAATAAGGGCAAAAATATCAAGAATTGCTCCTTATATATATGTGTGTACATATACACACACATATATATATACACATATACATATATGTACATGTATATATATATACATAAAAATATATGTATATACACACACACATATATATGTAGTTTAAAGAACAATTATCACCATACTATCCATATTTCTTTTTTCAGAGTGAATCTCATTCTGTCGTCCAGGCTGGGCTGCAGTGGTGCAATCTTGGCTCATTGTAACCTCCACCTCCTGGGTTCAAGCGATTCTCCTCCCTCAGTCTCCTAAGTAGCTGGGACTATAGGCACATGCCACCACGCCTGGCTAATTTCTGAATTTTTTTGTAGAGACGGGGTTTCGTTCTCTGGTCAGATTGGTCTCAAAGCTCCCCATATTTAGAGTGACTATACATCCCTGCTTATTGGAACAATCCCTCTCTAGTCTGCAGTCCTAGTGTCATTAATAATAGTGTCCCCAGGTTGGGCGTGGTGGCTCATGCCTGTAACCCCAGAACTTTGGGAGGCTGAGGTAGGAAGATCGTTTGAGGCCAAGAGCTGGAGGTTACAGGGAGTTATTATTGTGCCCCTGTACTCCAGCCTGGGTGACAGAGCAAGACCTTGTCTCTAAAAATAAATAAATAGTGTCCCCTTTCACAATAAAAAACTCTCAGTTTGGACAATACATTATTTGGTCATCCTGTTCATACTTTACCTATTTGCTAATAATCCTATGATTGAAAGATTAATTCAACTCACCTAGTTTTATGGGACAATAAGCTCATTGTAAGTAAGGTCCTTATCTGATAATTATTTATATTTCCTGTGATATCTACTAGCACAGGACTTTGAACCTAATATATGGTCACTGGATATTGATTAAGGGAAAAAACAAAAGAAAAGAAATACAGTGTGCACAGGACTTCCCAACTGTGTTCCTCTGATGTTTTCCAAGAAAAAAGGTTTCCGTGATCAATTAAATCCGGGCAATGCCACATACTCTGTTCTCTCTCTTGGGGATTTAGCATACATTTACAGAATTGTTAAAAAATTGCCTTGTGTCTCTAGTTTTTAAATTTAACGGAAATGGATTTTTGTCATCGTATGAGAGTGGGGATCCCTCAGAGCCTGTTAATTCTCAACCTTGCCTTCTGCTGCCTCCCTTGTTGAAAGGCCCTGGATTTTCCTTTACACCACTGCTGTAGGCAAAAGTCATGGGGCTAAGTCAGTCCCAGGAGGGACACTGACTCTTCTTTCATGGATAATCCTTTTCCCCTGGCACTCAGGTGGGATCAAAACCGAGTCATCCACTATTCCGGGGGAGATCTGATAGCTGTGTCATCTAATCGAAAGATCCATCTTCTGGACATCATACAAGTGAAAGCGATACCCGTTGAATTCCGAGGCCATGCTGGGAGTGTCCGGGCCCTCTTCCTGTGTGAGGAGGAAAACTTTCTCCTAAGCGGGAGCTATGACCTAAGTATCAGGTGAGGAGTCCAAAGACATCATGATCCCTGTCCCACCTAGGGCCTAGAGGCAGCTCATGGAAGAAGTGTGCATGCTTCTTCTTTTTATAGTTAACAGTTTTCCTAGAAGATACTGACTTCTAGAATACCTTCAGCTTATTTTTTTTTTGGCAAGGAAAAAGTCAGGAATGTATATATTGCTTAACATTTGAATGAGATGGATTTATAACAGTTATCAGATATATTTTCTAATTGATGACTGCAAATCAGAAAAATTTTCTTTATTAGCATTCTTAGAGGAAGAAATAATTTACATTTGTTCTTACAGATTCTTTCAGGGGAACGTGGTTTTTTATGGGTTTGAGACAGACTATAGAGGCAAAATAGTGCTTTAAAAACACATATGTGGCCAGGCGTGGTGGCTCACGCCTGTAATCCCAGCACTTTGGGAGGCCGAGGTGGGCGGGTCACGAGGTCAGGAGATCAAGACCATCCTGGCTAACATGGTGAAACCCCGTCTCTACTAAACAAAATACAAGAAATTAGCTGGGCGTGGTGGCGGGCACCTGTAGTCCCAGCTACTCGGGACGCTGAGGCAGGAGAATGGTGTGAACCCGGGAGGTGGAGCTTGCAGTGAGCCGAGATCGCGCCACTGCACTCCAGACTGGGCGACACAGCAAGACTCCATCTCAAAAAAACCCAAAAACAACCACATATGTATATTTTTAAACAATATAACAAACACTCATGCGTCCATTACTCAGGCCAAGAAATAAGATACCACCATTCCCTAACCCTCCCACTGTGCCCTTCTCTTCTTGCTTCTTCCTGCCAACCAGAGGTAATATTATTCTAATTTTATACTAATGATTCCCTTGCATTTCTTTATCATTTTTGCTTCCTTCTTATACATCTCCAGAAGTATTAGTTACTTGTGCCTGTTTTTGAACTCAACATAAAAAGAATCATATTTTAAAAATTTGTTGGTACCTCATTCTTACATGGAACTATGTTTTTGAGATTCACCTATATGATGCAGGTGGCAGTAATTAACTTATTTTCACTGAGATACTGTATTAAATTGGATGATTGTATCATAACTCATTTATTTGTTTTTCTGTTGGTGGACATTTGCATTGTTTCTAGTTTTTGTTTTTTTTTTTTGAGATAGAGTCTCACTGTGTCACCCAGGCTGGAGGGCAGTGGCGCCATGTTGGCTCACTGCAAGCTCCGCCTCCCAGGTTCACACCATTCTCTTGCCTCAGCCTCCCAAGTAGCTGAGACTGCAGGGGCCCGCCACCACACCAGGCTATTTTTTTTTTTTTTGTATTTTTTAGTAGAGAAGGGGTTTCCCCGTGTTAGCCAGGATGGTCTCGATCTCCTGACCTCATGATCCACCCGCCTCGGCCTCCTAAAGTACTGGGATTACAGGTGTGAGCCACCGCGCCCAGCCCTTGTTTCTAGTTTTTAATTATTTCAAAGAATGCTGCCAGAGACGGGTCTTGGATGTGTCCCCTGGTGCCCATGTGCATGAGTTTTTTAAAGGTATATTCTTAGTATGGGAATTTCTAGGAAGGAGTACTAAACTGTTTTCCAATGTGGTTGTATTAATTTACATTCCCATTGGCAGCATATGAGAATATCTCTTCTTATATATTCTCACCAACACTTAATATTGACAGTCTAACAGTTTTGTCAATCTGATGGGTATTAAATAAAACCCACTGTGTTTTATTGGGGTTTAAATTTTAACTTTCCTGATTACTAATGAAGTTGAACACCTTTTCATATGTGTATTAGTCAGGGTCTCCAGAGAAACAGAACCAATACAATGTGTATATACATAGGAGATTTACTATAAAGCATTGACTTGTGTGATCAAGGTGGCTGGCAAGTCCAAAATCTGCAGTGTGGGGCCAGCAGGCTGGAGACCCAGGAGAGCCAACGGTGCAGATGAAGCCCAAAGGCCATCTGCTGGAGAATACCCTCTTGCCAGGACTATCTATTAACTTTGTTCATAGTATCTACATGAATTTTGTTGAACAAAAATTCTCAATATGGGCCAGGCGCGGTGGCTCACGCCTGTAAGCCCAGCACTTTGGGAGGCTGAGGCAGGCGGATCATCTGAGGTCGGGAGTTTGAGACCAGCCTGACTAACATGGAGAAACCCCGTCTCTACTAAAAATACAAAATTAGCTGGGCATGGTGGCACATGACTGTAATCTCAGCTACTCAGGAAGGCTGAGGCAGGAGAATCACTTGAACCTGGGAGGTGCCACTGCACTCCAGCCAGGGCAACAAGAGCAAAACTCGGTCTCGCCGGGCGCGGTGGCTCACGCCTGTAATCCCAGCACTTTGGGAGGCCGAGGCGGGCGGATCACGAGGTCAGGAGATCGAGACCATCCTGGCTAACACGGTGAAACCCCGTCTCTACTGAAAATACAAAAAATTAGCCGGGCGAGGTGGCGGGCGCCTGTAGTCCCAGCTACTCGGGAGGCTGAGGCAGGAGAATGGCGTGAACCCCAGGGGGCGGAGGCTGCAGTGAGCCGAGATTGCGCCACTGCACTCCAGCCTGGGCGACAGCGAGACTCCGTCTCAAAAAAAAAAAAAAAAAAAAAACTCGGTCTCAAAAAAAAAAAAAAATCTCAATATGAATGTAATAAAATATCAGTTTATCAGGGTTTTTTTTTTCCTCATTTCTGTGATTCTTCCCTCTTCTAGGTCACAGAGATATTTTCTAATATTTTCTTCTATCAACATTACAGTTTTATCTTTTGCATTCAGTTTTTTAATCTATTTGCAATTCAACCTTGTATGTGGCGTTAGGTAGAGTTTCCATTTCATTTATTCATAAATGAATAATGTGAGCAGTTTCTCCCCCACAGCAACTACTATATAACCTGCCACTTCCTCCATTGATTTGAGGTGCTATCTTTATCACATGGAAATTTCCCATATGTGCATGAGAATGTCCCTGAGCTCTCTGATCTAGTCCACTGTCTTTCTGTTTTTAATCAAAATCCCCCTCCTTGAAAACTGTTTGTTTTGTTTTTAGGTATGCATTTGGAGAATGTTTTAAAATGTGACTGGGAGGGAAATTCTACTTTTCACTTTTCTTTTTTTTTTTTTTTTAAGACGGAGTCTCGCTCTCTCGCCCAGGCTAGAGTGCAGTGGTGCGATCTCAGCTCACTGCCAGCTCCGCCTTCCGTGATCATGCCATTCTCCTGCCTCAGCCTCCCGAGTAGCTGGGACTACAGGCACCCGCCACCATGCCTGGCTAATTTTTTGTATTTTTAGTAGAGACAAGGTTTCTCTGTGCTAGCCAGGATGGTCTCGATCTCCTGACCTCGTGATTTGCCCGCCTCGGCCTCCCAAAGTGCTGGGATTACAGGCATGAGCCACCGCGCCCGGCCTCACTTTTCTTTTTTATGTAACAGCTATAGTATATAAGTTTTGAGTTTTTGGAGTAAGTTTACCAACTTTCAATAAAACCTAACTAGACTTTTTATTTGGGCTGCATTGAATTTATAGATTAGTTTGGTAAACACACTCAATTAGATCATCTGTGTTCTTTCTTAGAGCCTTAAAGTTTTCTTCATAAAAGTCCTGTGTATTTTTACTTAATGCTGTACACGTTATAATTTTATTACTATTGTGAATGGTATCTTAATTTTGCTTATATTTTCAAATTAGTTATTGCTGGCATAGAGAAATGCAATTGATTTTTGTAAATTGATCTTGTGTCTGGCATCCTTGCCAAACTCTCTTATTAGTTCTAAAAGCATGTATGTTTCATAATTGGTTTTTCTTTCTCTTTTTTTTTTTTTTTTTTTTTGAGACGGAGTCTTGCTCTGTCGCCCAGGCTAGAGTGCGGTAGTGCGATCTCAGCTCACTGCCAGCTCCGCCTCCTGGGTTCACGCCATTCTCCTTCCTCAGCCTCCCGAGTAGCTGGGACTACAGGCGCCCACCACCACGCCTGGCTAATTTTTTGTATTTTTAGTAGAGACGGGGTTTCACCGTGTTAGCCAGGATGGTCTCGATCTCCTGACCTTGTGATCCGCCCGCCTCGGCCTCCCAAAGTGCTGGGATTACAGGCGTGAGCTACTGCACCTGGCCAATAATTGGTTTTTCTATGTAGACAATCCTATCAACTGCAAATGACAATATATTATCTTTTTTTTTTTTTTTTTTTTTGAGATGGAGTCTCGCTCTGTTGCCAGGCTGGAGTGCTGTGACGCGATCTCGGCTCACTGTAACCTCCGACTCCCTGATTCAAAGGATTCCCCTGCCTCAGCCTCCCGAGTAGCTGGGACTACAAGCATGTGCCACCACGCCTGGCTAATGTTTTTTTGTATTTTAGTAGAGACGAGGTTTCACTCTGTTGGCCAGGATGGTCTCAATCTCCTGACCTCGTGATCTGCCCACCTCGGCCTACCAAAGTGCTGGAATTACAGGCATGAGCCACCGCGCCCGGCCGACAATATATTATCTTCTTTTCTAATGCCTATACCACCTTTTGTTTTTCTTTTCTTCTAACTTTGCCTAGGCCTTCCAGTGCTGTGGCAGGCAGTAGCAGTGAGAGTGGGCATCTTCATCTTGTTCCCCTTCTGGAAGGGAATACATCTACAGTTTCTCCACTGAGCATAATACCTGCTGTTATGACTTTGGCTTATACCTTTTACTAAATCTGGAAAGTTCCTTCTTTTCCTATTTTTCTAAAAGTATTTATCAAATACCTTTTCTTGCATAAATTTAAAAAACCAACCTGAAGACATATACCACCATATTGCTAGAAACAGAAATTCAAAACATGCTTTCTTTCAGAGCACTGTGCCATCATTCAATGCACTGTGGCTGCATTGTAGGCTCTGAGAAACTGGTAAGGCATTGGTAAGGCTGCAAAACCCTTGGGAATATTAGAAGAAAAAGCTTTAACATATCCAAAAAACTACAAAGACATATTAATCGTTTTTATGTGCCAAGCCTCACAATAACTCTGTGAAGTAAGTACATTTTTTTTTTTTTTTTGAGACAGAGTCTCGCTCTGTCACCCAGGCTGGAGTGCAGTGGCGCCATCTCGGCTCACTGCAAGCTCCGCCTCCCAGGTTCACGCCATTCTCCTGCCTCAGCCTCCCGAGTAGCTGGGACTACAGGCACCTGCCACCACGCCCGGCTAATGTTTTGTATTTTTAGTAGAGACGGGTTTTCACCATGTTAGCCAGGATGGTCTCGATCTCCTGACCTCGTGATCTGCTTGCCTCAGCCTCCCAAAGTGCTGGGATTACAGGTGTGAGCCACCGTGCCCGGCTGTAAGTACAATTATTATTCTCAGTTTACAGATGAAGAAACTGAGGTAAGTGGTAGTTCAGTAATTTGCCCAGAATCACACAGCTAGTAAGTGATGGCCCTGGGAATGGACTTCAGGCAGCCTTCTCCAGAACCATTATCTCAGCATTCTGCTTTGTCCTGTCTCAAAAGCAGCCTAGCTGAAGCGGAAGCATCAATGGCAGTTGAGAGACCTTGGGCAAGTGTTCTTGTTAAAAAACAGATAATTCATCTTTGCTCCCATCTATCTCTTAGATATGCCCTATATGTGCATAAATATTTTGGATCTAAGTGATTGGTAAAGGATTCTGTTGCTCTTGTTTGCAGATCCACTGTACCGTGGAATCAGTGCCATGGATTCTAAGGCTGGTGGTCATTCAGGACGCTTCTATCTAAAAACCACCTGACACTGATCAAGCATTTTGTACATGTTAGTCACTATTCCAGTGTTATCTCCACTGGTGCAGGGTTTCTCAACCTTGGCACTATTGCCATCTGGGGCTGGGAAATTCTTTACTGTGGGGCCTGCCCTGTGCAATGTAGGATGTTTAGCAGCATCTCTGGATTCTATGCACTAGATGCCAGTGGCACCTCCTTCCCGGCTTGTGACCACCAAAAATATCTCCAGATATTTCCAAATGGCCTATGGGGGTAGAAGTTACCCAAGATTGACAATCACTGTATTAGTCCATTTAATTCTTCACAAAAACCCTATGATGTAAATACTCTTTTTTTTTTTTTTTTTGAGACAGAGTCTCGCTCTATTGGCAAGCTGGAGTGCAGTGGCACAATCTCAGCTCGCTGCAACCTCTGCCTGCCGGATTCAAGCAATTCTCCTGCCTCAGCCTCCTGAGTAGCTGGGATTATAGGTGCACGCCACCATGCCTGGCTAATTTTTGTATTTTTAGTAGAGACAGGATTTCACCATGTTGGCCAGTATGGTCTCAATCTCTTGATCTCATGATCCGCCTGCCTCAGCCTCCCAAAGTGTTGGGATTACAGGGGTGAGCCACTGTGCCTGACCAACGACTCTTATTATTATTTCCATTTTATCAATGAGGAAAGGAAACTTACACAGAAATTAACTTCCTCAAAGTTACACCAAATAGGTGCTGCAGCTGGGATTCAAATCCAGGCCCCTGACTCTAAGCTGAACCATGAGAATCTGCTGCCTCCCAACTAACTAATTATCTACATGGGTTCTACGCAGTATGATCCTTTGGGCCCTCAGGAACTCTCACATTCTTTTGGCCTGATTCCTGCAGATACTGGGATCTGAAAAGTGGGGTTTGCACACGAATCTTCGGTGGTCACCAGGGGACTATCACTTGCATGGACTTGTGTAAGAACAGGCTCGTATCTGGAGGAAGAGATTGCCAGGTAAAAGGTGAGAAAGAAGTGCCTTAAATTTTCTAAGAAGTTTCCCCCGACCCACAGGTTACCAAAATGCTTTGTTTTGCTCATTTCTATAGGCAGGCACTCATTTATTCTTTATCATCCATCCATCCATCCACCCACCCACCCACCCATCCTTCCTTCCTTCCATCTATCAATCAATCCATCCATTCAACAACCGTCTGTAGAATACCTACAGCAAGCCACACACTGAGCTAAGTGCTGAGGAGAAAAAAAAAATAATAGGATATGGCCCTTTAGATATAACTTTTTATTTCTTCAAAGGGCTCATTGTCTCCTAATGGAAGCAGATACATAAATATATAGTGGGGAATATAATAAGTCCATGAACAACAACGGCTGCCATTTACTGAGTACCAGTTTTGTGACAGATGCTTAACATACATTATTTAATCCTCACTAGAGCCCCATTGATAATTTTATAAATGGGCCAAGATATATACATAAAATATAAGTGAAGGAAAGCATACTTACATAGTTAGGGCTAACCTAGCAGAAATGATTAAGCACATGGCCTCTGGATCCAGACTCCCTAGGTCCAAATCCCGGCTCTGCCACTCACCACCTGCAAGACTTGAGCAGGCAACCCAACTTCTCTATGCCTCAGTTTCCTCATCTGTGTAGTGGGGAATAATAATAGTACTTGTCTTGTGACGATGAGCATGTCACACACCTTGAGTCATCGCCGGCTGTTAGTGCCATGTAAGTGTCAACTCTGGTTGTTGTTATATTTTGTCTCAGACCACTTGTCCTGTTGCCTGAGGAAGAAGGTGCTTTTGGGGAGCACCTTTGAAGGAGACTTTAATGTTTTCATTCCTGAATTCATAGAGATCACTTTCAACATCTTCCTTTTTTATTTTTATTTTTTTTTGAGATGGAGTCTTGCTCTGTGGCCAGGTTGGAGTGCAGTGGCACAATCTTGGCTCACTGCAACCTCTGCCTCCCGGGTTCAAGTGATTCTCCTGCCTCAGCCTCCCGAGTAGCTGGGACTACAGTTGCACGCCACCACGCCCAGCTAATTTTTTTTTTTTTTTTTTTTAGTAGAGACGGGGTTTCACCATGTTGGCTAGGCTGGTCTCGATTTCCTGACCTGGTAATCCACCCGCCTTGGCCTCCCAAAGTGCTGGGATTATAAGCATGAGCCACTGGGCCCGGCATCAACTTCTTCATTTTAGAAAACCCTGTTCTGCCACCCACCCACTCTCATCCCCACTAGAATATGCCAGGCAGTTGCTCTAACACAGTCTGTGTTGAAGCAGCAGTAAACCCACCCCTAGCTGTGACCATTTCTCCATAAAATTGAAAAGTCAGATTCAGAAGTATTTAAAAATGTAAGTGAGGGTAGATGACCTTCTTTCATTTTGGGGATAGAAGGTGTGGGTCAGGAAGACAACATCTGGGAAAAATGACAACACTACATGTATGCCAAGATTTTCTTTTTTTTTTTTTAATTTTACCTGCCCCTACTCAAGCTGTATGCCATGATTTTTATGAAATCTACTCGATAGCAAGCATTTTTCAGGCTTGAGGAATCAGCTGATTAGAGATGAGCTGTCTAGCACTTGGGCCTCAAGGCTAAGTTCCAGGGCCATAGCCAAGGTCTTCTGGATTGCGGGCTCCCTCAACCACCTGTATTCAGGGCGCTCTGTGCTGTGGGCACATGAGCTGTTGGTGAGCCTGCTCTTCGGAGGTGCTAGGCCACGGGAAGTCCTTCTAGAATCTGACTTGATGGGCTCGATGAGTCTTTGCTTCTGTGATGGGGAGCAGAACTCCACTGTAACCTTTCCTTTTCCCCCTTTTTCCCCACTCCCATGTCTTCCTCTGTCTCCCTCCTTTTCAGTATGGGATGTAGACACAGGGAAGTGCCTGAAGACGTTTAGACACAAAGACCCCATCTTGGCCACCAGGATCAATGATACCTACATTGTGAGCAGCTGTGAGCGAGGGCTGGTGAAAGTGTGGCACATTGCCATGGCCCAGTTGGTAAAGGTAAGTGGGCAGTGGGCTACCTTGGCGGAAAGGGCACTGGGGAGGAGATGGGTGGGCTCCCCCTACCTAGCTCCTCAGGTCATCCTAGAGTAACTGAGTATGGCCTTCAAGAAGGACAGTCCTGAAGCTCTAAAGGGGAAGGCCCCAAAGTGAGGCATTCAGAGTCCGTGGAGGGTAGGGGCTCCACCGCCCACATCATGACCCACAGTATCATGGGGTTGGTAGAGGAAGGCTGCATTCTGACTCAGCATGAGATATGGGCTCAGGGCCTTCTAACAGCAGTGGAGGTGAAGTACCTTTTTCTCCTCCAGAGTATTGCACTCTGTAGGGCCAGGCGCAGTGGCTCACACCTGTAATCCCAGCACTTTGGGAGGCTGAGGCAGGCGGATCATGAGGTCAGGAGTTCGAGACCAGCCTGACGAACATAGTGAAACCCTGTCTCTACTAAAAAAAAGAAAATACAAAAAATTAGCCGGGCATGGTGGTGGGCGCTTGTAACCTCAGCTACTTGGGAGGCTGAAGCAGGAAAATTGCTTGAATCAGGGAGGCAGACGTTGCAGTGAGCTGAGATCATGCGTCTCAAAAAAAAAAAAAAGAGTATTGCATTCTGGCATGGGGTGAGGGGATGAACGAAGCATTTTTTCCTAAGAAGAAAACACTGGGGGATGAACAGAGAATTTTTTTTCTCCATGCTCTCTAATGAAGAGAGAACATGGATGGTCTTGAAAGTGATTGGATGGTCATGAAACATATTCTTGCTGGATCGGAACCCCTAGCCTTAGCGGGTGGTGTTGATATATGATTTGCAGCAGGAACACAGGATCACAGTGAAAAGTGGCTGGCTTGGCCTGTGGAATTTCCCCACCAATCTTGTCACTATGGCCAATCCAGCGGTTGCAGGCACAGGGATGGCCCATGTGCACTCTGGGTTCTGGCAAGGAGCTGGGATGGCACACCTTACCTTCGTCCTTCTCACAGCAAAGGACAGTGATTTCTGGCCCTCTCTAGTGCTCCAAGAAGGTAGTGTCTGCCCCAAACACAGACCCACCAGGAGCAAGGCCCCACCCTGATCCCATTCCTCCTTAACCCGAGAGAGAGCTCTATGTGGAATGGACTCCATTGGCCTTCTTTTTTTCTTTTATTTTTTCTTTTCTTTTTTTCTTTATTTATTTTTTGAGACAGAGTCTCGCTCTGTCACCAGGCTGGAGCACAGTGGTGAGATCTTGGCTCACTGCAACCTCCATCTCCCTGGTTCAAGCGAATATCCTGCCTCAGCCACCCGAGTGGCTGGGATTACAGGTGTGTGCCACCAAGCCCAGCTTATTTTTGTATTTTTAGTAGAGACAGGGTGTCACCATGTTGGCCAGGATGGTCTCAATATCCTGACCTTGTGATCCGCCCGCCTCGGCCTCCCAAAGTGCTGGGATTACAGGCATGAGCCACCGCGCCCGGCCTCCATTGGCCTTCTTAGAGCAAAAGCAGGATTAGCTCAGGTACCTACCGAGTGAATGGCAGTCACAGATTGGTTGGGGGGTGGCTTTGGGATTCATCTGAAGAAGGCTCAGCTTTGGTTCTTGGAGGAGTCACAGTCTGAGTTGAAGACAGTGGTATCTTTTCTTGCAGACTCTCAGTGGCCACGAGGGAGCTGTGAAATGCCTGTTCTTTGACCAGTGGCATCTCCTCTCAGGAAGCACTGATGGCCTGGTCATGGCCTGGAGCATGGTGGGGAAGTACGAGCGCTGCCTGATGGCCTTCAAGCATCCCAAGTAGGTGCCTGTGAAGCCCGGAGCGATGAACCTGGTGTCCTTCCCTTCCCCGTCATAGCCTAGACTGCAATCATTGGCAGACCTTCTGCTCCCTGTAGACATCGTGTTCTCTGCACCTCACCCTCTCTGCTTCCCTCCTCTTCCACCTGGGACCCATTTTTCCCCACCATCTTCTCTGTCTGACTGTTAGCCTCTTCCACTCTCCCTTGTTTTTCTTGTGAAGTAACTATAGAAACTGGGGGTTTTGAGAAGATATTGAATTTTTTTTTTTTTTTTTGAGACAGAGTCTCGCTCTGTTGCCAGGCTGGAGTGCAGTGGCGCAATCTTGGCTCACTGCAAGCTCTACCTCCTGGGTTCACGCTATTCTCCTGTCTCAGCCTTCTGAGTAGCTGGGACTACAGGCGCCCACCACCACACCCAGCTAATTTTTTGTATTTTTAGTAGAGACGGGGTTTCACGGTGTTAGCCAGGATGGTTTTAATCTCCTGACCTCATGATCTGCCCGCCTCAGCCTCCCAAAGTGCTGGGATTACAGGCGTGAGCCACCTTGCCCAGCCAATAATACTATTTTAAAAAGAATCAAAACATTAAATAATTCTCAGCATGACTATTGTATAAGTAAACTCTAGGAATCAAATTGCAAGAGACAAACATGATCATCTATATGTTAGATAAAAAAAAAAGATTGTGACATCAGCCTTTTTGTTTTGTCATCTTGTGGCCCTGTGACCTAATTGCAGGGAAAGTAGCTGCAGAATGGGAAGAGGTATGTCTTGAGAGAAGCTCACGGTTTACTTCCACAATTATAAAATGACAGCAGGCCGGGCATGGTGGCGCATGCCTGTAATCCCAGCACTTTGGGAGGCCAAGGTAGGTGGATCACCTGAGGTCAGGATTTCATGACCAGCCTGACTAACATGGTGAAACCCCGTCTCTACTAAATACAAAAAAATTAGCCAGGCTTGGTGGCGCATCACTGTAATCCCAGCTACTTGGAAGACTGAGACAGGAGAATCACTTGTGTCTGGTAGGTGCAGGTTGCAGTGAGCCAAGATCGCACCGTTGCACTCCAGCCTGGGCAACAAGAGTGAAACTCCATCTCAAAAAAAAAAAAAAAAAAGGCAGCAAACACCATTTTGAGGCCAGTTATGGCCAGTGCCGCTCAATCACACACAAAATGCTCCCAACCTACAAACAAACCCAGGCATTTTATGAGAGGATGGGTACTGCCTGCTACTCTGTTCCCTTCCAGAGAGGTGCTCGACGTGTCCCTTCTCTTCCTCCGGGTCATCAGCGCCTGTGCAGATGGCAAGATCCGAATTTACAATTTCTTCAATGGGAACTGTATGAAGGTGATAAAAGCCAATGGCAGAGGCGATCCTGTGCTGTCCTTCTTTATTCAGGGCAACAGGTGGGTGGTAGGTGTGGAGGTCAGAACTGTGAGTGATTCTGTTGGATTTTTTGATTTTTTTCCTCCCCTGGGATACCAGCCCTGGATTTGCTGTCAGGAGGAGAGAGTGTGCAATGCCTCTCTACAATTTTGGCTGGGTGGAGCAATAGTCTTGTGGTGGGGACTAACAGGGCTTTGCACAAAACTTAGTAATCAGGAAGCAATCAACTGTTCATTTTGACTTTTTTTTTTTTTGAGACATAGTTTCACTCTGTCGCACAGGCTGGAGTGCAGTGATGCGATCTCGGCTCACTGCAACCTCCGCCTCTCGGGTTCAAGCAATTCTCTGCCTCAGCCTCCCGAGTAGCTGGGATTACAGGCGCCCACCAGTATGCCCGGCTAATTTTTAGTATTTTTAGTAGAGACGGGGTTTCACCATCTTGGCCAGGCTCACCTTGAACTCCCAACCTCGTGATCCACCCGTCACGGCCTCCCAAAGCGCTGGGATTACAGGTGTGAGCCACCGCGCCCGGCCTGTTTTGACTCTTAATTCATCCTAGGTGTTTGTGGGAATTGCAGTGGGTGCAACATAACGCTTCTGTAAGGACCACAGTTCTACCAATGTGCAGCCCCTGCTTGCTCTTTGATCATGCCTTTGGCTGCCTGAGAGCTCTATCAGCTATCTTTGATGCCTCACTTCTAATGCAAAGAGACATATAGGAGAGTGGGGGGTGGCAGCAGCAGGGGGTACAGTGGGGGAAAGCTGAGCTGGTGAGCTTACAAAACCAGTACCATGACTGACTGCATTGTATACAGGACTGTGCTTTATATATGCGTAGACTCAGGGTGCTATTATATGAAAATAACCAAATAGAACTAACCTGTAAATTCTACTTCAAGCTCACTTGAGACATCTCTTAATGTCCCTAAACCATATTGCCTTCCTTTTAGTGAAACTTTATTAGTATTATTTACCATCTTAAAGAGGGCAGCCTGGTAATAAGGCTCAGTTAATGAACACTTTTCAGTCATGCTGCTAAAAAAAAAAAAAAAAAAAAAAAACTCTGGCCATTTTTTACTCACAGCATCCAAAGAAAGGTGTTTTTCTTTCGGCTTGAGTGAACGGAAGTCTAAAAGGGATTTCTTATTGGAATGACACCCCGCATTCCATTCCAGCAGTTCCAGCCAAAACAAGTTACTTTTCTAGAGAGTTTATGCTGTTGGTTAAGGTCTTAACATTGCAGCCTTTTGAAGCAGAAGGAAACCTGTATAGAGTATTTTCATTTCTTGTTTATAGTTAAGGGAAGAGCACAGAAAGGGGAAAGCCGCTTGCTTGTAAAACTGGTGGGTTAGGGAGGCAGTGCTGCGGGGGCACAGGAAGGGGACAGGGAGGGCAAGTTCCGGAGCTCTTTTGTCTATGGAGCATTAAAGTGGGGATCAGAGAAGTTAGAAATCATCTCACTTTATAAAGTATAGATGTTCTGTCTACATCTAGAGTGTGTGCAGAGATCCTGGAGTGACAGCATGGAGTGTGTGGTGTCTGTGTGGAGGGTCTATGAAGGAGAAGAGGCCTCCCCATTAGAGAGCTTTCCTCATTGCCAGCAGCAATAGTAATATTGGGTTTGGAAGCTGTGCTTCAAACAAACAAACAAACAAACAAACAAAAACACTGAATTTCAAGACATCTGTGTGCAGAGTACCTTCTTGGCACCCTAGGTACATGGCACTCACTCCAGGAACAGAAATTCATTTAAAAGCATTTTAACTTGAGGCCAGGCGCAGTGGCTCGTGCTTGTAATTCCAGCACTTTGGGAGGCCGAGGTGGGTGGATCATTGAGTCCTGGAGTTTGAGCCCAGCCTGGGCAACATGGCGAAACCCTGTCTCTACTAAAAACACAAAATGAGCTGGGTGTGGTGGTGCACACCTGTAATCCCAGCTACTCAGGAGGCTGAGGCACGAGAATCGCTTGAACCCAGGAGGCGGAGGTTGCAGTGAGCCGAGATCGCACCACTGCACTCCAGCCTGGGCGACAGAGCGAGACGCCATCTCAAAAGAAAAAAAATGATTTTAAACATGACTATTAGCAGTTTAGCCAAATCCAGACTATCCTTAAACAAATAAGGGCTCTTGTCTGAATGTGCACTCCTAAGTGAGGACTTTTGAAAAGCTCTTTTTCTCTAGCCTCCGGGGAGGCAACTCCAGCCTGCACATGCTGAGGCTCTCTTCAGGAGGAAACTGCCTGGAAGTGTGACAAGGGCCTCTAGCCCTCAGCAAGAACCTGGGCCCTAGGACAACACTGCACAACAGTGGTGACCAAGTTCTCCATGGCCTGGGACTGAACTGCCCATACCAGTCTCCTGTACTACCTGTCCCTAAGGCTGTAATACTTGGCCCTGACTCTGGCCCTGTCTGGGTCTTCCCAGAAAGAGAAGGTTCTTGTTGCTTGGTGCCAGGTTTGAGGAAGTTGAATAGGGTTCAGGCACTCCTGCCAGGGATGGGGGTGTCTCCATCAGATAGGCAGGTGGCTCAGTGCAGGGACCCAAGTGCTGAAGTGGGGCTACACCCTTGAGGAAGGGGGATACTCCCCATGCACAGCCTAGGAAGTCCCACACTGTCTTTCATGGTCTCCACCTCAAATGTCTGCACAATCACTATAAAGGTTTGAGGGAAATAAGAGGGAAGAGGACAGTTGTGTTAAGAGGGAGAGGGAATTGGGGTCAAGTCAGGTGAGCTCCAGGTGGAACTAAGGAAGAGGAACGTGACCGGGAGCAGGAGGGCTGGTGGTGTGCAGGTGTGCTCTGTGAAGGTCAACTATAAACCAGGATGAACACGCAGATGTCATCTAGCCCAGGGATGCCAAGCCCAGGCTTTAAACCCTCCCTTCCCTCATCCACTGCAAACCTCACCAAAGGACCCCAGCACTCTTTCCCACCAGGCTGCAGGCGCCTCAGTCTTCAAAATAACAGCCAGAGGACAAGGCTGCATCGCTCAGCTTACAAACCAAACAAAATCTTCCATTTCCTGATCTGTGCCAGTCCCTCCACTGTATGAAGGAGGACTCCTGAATGATAACAACAGCATACAGATCCCAAATTGAGCCCTCACCATGGTCCAGCACCTTACAAATAACAATTCATTTCATCCTCACAATGACTCCAGGAGGGGAGAAGATTATTAGCCCCATGTGGGAGATGAGGAGACAGTGGCAGAAAGAGGCTGAATTCAGCCGCGAAGGATGCACAGCTCATGAGCGGTGGGGTCGGGCTCCCCATCCAGGCAGCGCCGCCGGCTTCCTTGCTCACCACCGCTTTGCTGACACTGCCTCCCACGTGGATGGGGCTCTGGTTTTAGGTTTATCACAGAACACACAAGCACATACGTTTTAGAATATGGTATTTGTAGATTCATTAAAATCTGACATTTACAGGATATTAAAGCCATTCTAAGAGACAATCATGGTAAAGGTGTAATCGCATTTGTAAGCTTGCCAAATTGGAGTGTAAGAGCTTTTATGAAAAGTTTCAGAAATGTGGCTTACAGGGTAACGGTTTATGGTCAACTGCCTTTTGATCTCTCATGTGAAAAATATGTACTTACATATATTGCAGGAAACCTCACCACTTCCTTCCTAAGTGTCGGTCAAAAACACTAATTACTTGACTAATTAGACTGTGAAACTTCCCTTACAGATGGTAAAAATGAGCTATTTTCACCCCACAAATTTAGTTGTGACATACCACCAAAAAAATGTAGGAATCTTTCAATAGTTTTACTATAGACAGTATGAACGATTTAAGCAAATCATATAAAAATAAATTAGAAACTAATGAAAATAATCTGCCCTTTCATAAGAGGGGAACGCAGGAGGCTGGCTCGTGAGATGAAACCCCTTTGATGGGAGACTGGAGGCCAGCTCCAGGTACCTTCTCCCCGCCCCATGAATTCGTTAGTCCTAGCTTCGTTTGTGATTTTCATCATAGCTTCAGGTACTTTCTTTATCCACCTGTAGTCACAGGTAGGCAGCACTGCTTCCTTTTTTTTCTCCCAGACATTCCCTACAAGGGAAAGTGTATGTCATGTGCACCCACCAGCCAGGATGACACGGTCTCTCTTTACTCTGCATCCACAGAATTTCAGTCTGCCACATCAGCACATTTGCTAAAAGAATTAACGTGGGATGGAATGGAATCGAACCAAGTGCTACAGCTCAGGGAGGAAATGCCTCCTTGACCGAGTGTGCTCATGTGAGACTCCACATCGCAGGACACTTACCAGCATCGAGGCTGCCCGTGGCCGCTGTCCAGCCCATGACAGGCGGGATGGCCCCAACCACAGCTCCGACCCATGTGTTGGCAATGCTGATCCTTTTCAGTGGTGTGTAGCAGCAGGTATACAGGAAAATGTTGAAGAGCCCCAGGGCTCCTGTGAGTGGATTCACCCCCAAGGTCAGAATGGCAACTCCTGGAACAGCACAACAAGTGGCAAAGGACACAGCTAGCAACGGGCTGGAAAAAGGCAGAGAACGTGGAGTGATCATCTCCAACTCAACTCAATCACACTGCCTAAAATCGGCACTGACAAAGTACAAATAATCCACCTATCCAGTAGAGGCAGCACTGATCTGGCTGATTCCTGGATATGGGGAATCCTCTTTATGAAACAAACTTACAATAAGAAAGAATATGTTTGTGGGAGCTCTGGCTGCTCTTCTTGATTTTGCTAGCTAAGAGTAAAGTGGTTAAGAGAGTCAGGATTAGAGTGTTCTGGATTCATATAGGTTCTGTCCCTTCCTGGCTATAGGGCAGCTAGGTTTCACTTACTCCTCTCTATAAGAGAAATGATCATCTTTTCCTCCTAGGGTTGAAGACTGACTGAGACAATGCCTCCTGCACAGTGTTCCATTTTATATTTAGTCATGAACAAACAACTTCAGACACAATATTGGAAGATTTGGGCAGAAAATACTACCTGAATTCTGGAAGCTGTTCTTCCCCTGTATTTATACTTTATTAAGACGTCACTTAATTAGTGATCATGAGTAGCAATGATGTGCCTCTGACTGCCATCATTACAATGTCTGTAATGAATTACAGGCTCAGCATGCTACCGGTTCCCGACAACAGTAAACACCAGGTGGCCGTTGTGTAGTACCAGTGCCGTAACGTGACTTATGGACACGGGATTTTCAAGGGGAGGTCGCACAGTGTTATTTATGCAAATGAAACCCATCATCTAAAACTCTACAATGATAATGATTATTATAAGCCTGTTTCTCAAAAGAGCCAACTTCTAAAAGTAGACTTTGTATGGAATCTTGTGAAAGGCTTTTTGAGAGTCTAGATAAATTGGATCTACTAGTTCCTGCTTATATGCATGTTTATTTATTCTTTCTTGAGAAACCTAAGGAGGTTACTCAAGCCTGCCTTCTCCTAGCAGAAGCCATAATTCCACTTCTGAGTAAGGTATGTTTGTGTAGTGTTCAGTGACCCTGCTGGATTACAGATTCCACAACACGTTTCTTAGCAAGCAAGAGTCACCAGTGTGCAGCTTCTAGGGTGCTCTGGTTTTAAAAACAGCCAACTCCCTAGAGAGGCAGACTTTACCCTATGTGCACACATGTGAGATGATACCCTTCTATGCACAGGGTTGCAGTGTTCCTATGGCAGGAGAGAGGGCCTGTATCTATGAGAGGGCCCTTCTAGGAAAAAGACTAACTTGTAGAATTATGACGAGTTAGAATTTAGCCGGGAGGGGGCCAGAGGAGAGCCCAGCAGCTGGAACTACAGTACGGAATGAAGTCAGGGCAACAGAATATGAAAGCTAGAAGTGACTTGATGGAGAATTCTGGCCACCACTCTACCACTCTGCTATAGGGGCCAGCACTGACTCTTTCCTACCTGGCCTGCAGCCTCTGTGCCCAAAGAGTGACCCAACAGAATGGAATTTTGATGGAAAATGAGAAAATATAAGGGATATGTTGCTGTCAAGGTGCCTGTGACAGAAGAACTATAAATTACAGCTGAGAGACTTCTGAGTGCACATTCTGCCTTGAGGTGGCATTTCCACCCACCTGTTCCTGGGCCATCTCTTCTGAACCCTGTGGTCAGTTACTTCCACAATACTCACTCAGGCACCCTCAATAATCCATTCTGCCTTGTCCATCCAACATTCCCACTCTGGATCTGCTCAATAACCTACTGTCTCTGCTCCTGCTGGGAAAGGCTTACACTTATACTAACTGGCCCCATTTCAAGGGGATGGTTTAACAGTGCGGGTGCTTAGCCAGGGCTGATTTCCACTTTCGTTCCTTATAGTGACTATTTTAACTCTTCTCCTGCCTTCTCAAGGCTCCAGGTTCACTCTAGCTCCCAAGACGCCTTAACAGATGCCCTTCCCTCTTATACAACAGTGACAAATGCCCTCAGATTTACTTCCTTCCTCCCATTTCAGAAGAGGCTGTCTTCATTCCTTTTAAAGATAAACCCTCCACTTTTGTTTTTATTTAATCTCCTCCCTAATCTCTATTCTATCCCTTCTATCTCTACTGTCTATTAACCTCCTGCATCAAATAAATTACTTTCTTCATATTTCCCCCAAGGTAATACCCCTCTTGCTTCAACACTCTTCAAAGCCAAGCATCCTGATGGAGTGGATCACACACATTCCTTGCCTTTCTCTCTTCCATCCCTCTGTTTCCTATTTGTTCCTCAACTGTATCCCTCACCAGCTGCTGAAACACATTTCTCTAAGGTGGAGGTATACAAGGGGACTTGAAAAAGTTCATGGAAAATGCATATTATGAAAAGACTATGCATGGATTTCAAAAATTTTTTGTACCAAAATAAACTCATACTAACTTGTTATAACATGTCTGAACAGGATCTAGATTGAGGCATTAAGGAGGATAAGACATCAGTTTGAAAAGAGCCCTTATCAAAGCAACATGAATTCTGCTAAAACAGAAGCAAGAACAAATATCAAATTTATGCTAACGCTTGGATGGAAGAATAGTGAAATCATTGATGCTTTACAAGAAGTTTATGGGGACAATGCCCCCCCAAATCAGCAGTTTACAAATGGATAACTTGTTTAAGAACAGATGATGTTGAAGATTAAAGTCCACAGCTGCAAACCATCCACATCAATTTGTGAGGAAAAAATGAATCTTTTTCATGCCCTAATTTAAGTGGACCAATGGTTAACGGTAGAAACAACAACCAATACCATAGACGTCTCAATTGGTTTAGCTCACACAATTCTGATTGAAAAATTAAAGTTGAGCTAACTTTCCACTCAGTGGGTGCCAAAACCATTGTACTCAGATTGGCTGCAGACAAGAGCAGGGCTTTCAATGGAAATTTTCAACAAATGGGATCAAGATCCTGAGGCATTTCTTCAAAAAAAAAAAAAAAAGAAGAAAATGAATATATAACAGGAGGTGAAATATGGCTTTACCACTACAATCCTGAACACAAAGACAATCAAAGCAGTGGCTACCAAGAGGTGGGAGTGGTCCAGTCAAAGAAAAAGCGGACAGATCAAGAGCAAAGCTCATGGCCATAGTTTTTTGGGATGCTGAAGGCATTTTGCTTGATTCCTTTCCAGAAGGCTAAAGAACAATAACATCTACTTATTATGAGAGTGTTTTGAAAAAAATTAGCAAAGCTTTAGCAGAAAGCTTCCCCAGAGAGTTCTTCTCCACCACAACAATGCTCCTGCTCATTCCTCTCATCAAACACGGGCAACCTTGTGAGCATTTGGATGGGAAATCATTAGGCATCCACTTCACAGTCCTGATTTGGCTCCTTCTGCCGTCTTTTTGTTTCCTAATCTTAAAAAGTCTTTAAAGGGAATCCATTTCTCTTCAGTTAATAATGTAAAAAAGAATGCTTTGACATGGTTAAATTCCCAGGACTCTGTGAGTTCTTTACAGATAGACTAAATGGCTGGTATCACTGCTTACCAAAGTGTCTTGACCTTGATGGAGATTAGGTTGAGAAATAGGTTTTTTTAAAAAATTTTATCTTTTAATTCTATTTTTTCCATAATCTTTTTGAAGTTCCCTCATACGTCATATGACCTGGAACCATCTATTTTCCCAACATGGCACACAATATGATTTTCCAGATGAAAGATTACAAAGATACCTCTGTGTTGTTACATCTCCTATATACCCAGAAAGGAAACTTTAGATGGCTAAAAAGCAGTGCACATATTATAATGTTGTTCTTCTTCCAATAAGGTAATTTATAGCTTATAAGAACAGATTTTTTTTTTCCCTATGAGACTCTAAAAAACTAGCTTTATTTTGGGAGGGAGAAAAATGTGGCTGATAAACATTTTATTTTTCCTGAATTGGCCCTTGTGTCAAAAAAAAAAAAAAAAAAAGAAGAAGAAGGTTGTTTACTCCTTCTTCAAGTTCTGTGGAGGCCAGTTGGATTCAAAGATATTAGTGTTATGAAAAGCCCTTTTAGAAGAGCACACATGAATTTAATTTATTGAGATAGGCCATTTTATGTGTAAGTTTAGTTTCTGACCTTTGTTGAAGTCACAGAAAATGATGTGGCTCAATTTTGGTGTTTAAATCAATGTGCACAAGGGCATGAATGAAAACTGGGTAGGCTGACAAGCCATGCAAACGAAAATGAAGCTATTTACCCAGGATGCCATGATCACTCTCAGCATCCAGGCACCTGAAGGAATCCTTCCCCTTCTGGCACGAGGAGCCCACAATCAGTGGACTTCAGAGCTTTCTTGTGTTATGGGCAAAGGTACTCCAATTGCAAACTGTGTGAAATTTATTTTCCTGTTATGTTTCATTTTTCCTAAAACATTTATAACAAAAGTAATATACATCCAATTCAGAAAACTGGCAATTCTAGAAAATCACAAAGAAGAAATTCTTCATGAGTTATTCGGAGAAACATACTAGTTGATATCTTCTCAGCCTTTTTCCAATGATATAACTACTTAAAAAAAATTGAGAATATGCTAAATTGTGGTTTTATCCCCTGATTTATTTCAATATATCTTAATAATTTCCCCAGGCTATTAAATATATTTTTTGCATCAACATCATTAATATTTATAACACACAGTGGCTTATTCTTTGGATACACCACAATTAATTCAACCAATATACTTTTTTTCAGACATTCAGTCTTTTTCCATTTTTAAAAATCAAAAAGCGTGTTGGGATAAATATCTTATGGGTAGACTTTTGTTCACAGCTCTGGTTAGAAGAAATTCCGAAGATAAATTCCTAGATGTGAAACTGCTAAGTCAGATGATATGCACATGTTGTAGGGATTTTGACACGTACTGTCAGGCTGTACTCCAGAGAGTTTGCACAAATTTACACTCCCACCAGCACTATATGAGAGCACCATCTTCTAGAACCTGTATCAACACTGGCTGTGACATTAAAAACAAAGCAAAACAAAAAATAAAATTTGCCAATAGATTAAAAAACAGTATTGAGTTTCTTAAAAAAAACCCTTAAAATAAGACAAGTTTACTGAGATAGCATTACCTCATTTTAGCAGTAAGAAACTGAGACTCAAAGCAAGTAAAATAACTTGGAAACAGGACCTATACTCAGGCTCATTTGTTGGCTCATCAGTTTAACCCAGAGTCTCCCAACTGTACGTGGGGCACACTGGTGTAATACAACTTGCTGAGCTTCTTCTTTCCTGGGTCTGCTGAGGGCCTGGGGTGGCTAGAGTCTTGAGTTGGGATGCAATCACCTGGGAGGAGCTTCCTGTGGGCTTAAAAGCACCTTCAGTTTACTCCATTATGCAAATAGCCTAATACCGCATTCCCTGAAACCAAAACAACTGTATATAATGTGGTGAGCAAGACAGGTGTGGTCCTTGTCCTGGGGGCACTGATGCTGTAGTGGTGGTCAGTTCGTGGCCAAGGCAAGCATGTGTGGCACAGCAGGGAACACGGGGCAGTCAGGGGCACCTAACCTAGTTTATGCTGGGTGGTGGACAGGGGGTGTTTCTAGGAAGAAGTGATGTGTAAACTGAGACCCGATGGATGGGTGGGAGATGGGCGGAAAGGGTGGAGAAGAGAGTTGCAGGCAGTGGGAACAGCGTGTGAGAAGGCCAAAGAGGAGAAGAATGGCAAGTTTATGTTCCACATATCTGGAGAGTAGAATGAGGGTGGGAGGTGTCAAGAGAGCACAGAAATTAGGAAGGCCACATACAGAGACCTCTGGGCAAATGCAGACTCAGTGAAGTCTTCCAGATTTTAAAAAGTGGAAGAAAATGATCAGATCTGCTTTTTAGAAGGACTACTCTGCCTGCCATGTGGAAGTCAGCAAAGAGAGACAAGCATTTGTTTAATTCACCTCACCAAGAGAGGCTCAAGTTAGGCATTTTAAAGGAAGAAGAATCGTGGGCACACCACCACATAATTTTTATCAAATGCTTCGTTGAGAGAAACAGCCTTCAGCTAGCTTGTATCTTTAATCTATCTTCCAGATTTCCTAAAATGCATTGGTGGAGCACATTAGAAGCAGAGAGCGGGCCCTCCTCTCCCACTGAACGGCTCTTTGGTCTAATGACATGAGGGTGATCATGGTTTGCACTTTAAGTTCTATTATTCTTGGCTCCACTTTGTCTCTTCTTAGTCTTCTTTTTCTGGACTATTTTGTCACATTTTACATATATTTGCAAGTTACTTGAACTCTTGTTTGAAATAAGGCAGAGGAAAAAAGTTAAATAAAGGGGTAACTAGAGGATTTTCTTTAGAATATTTGTATACAATGAGACATCAGTAAAAAAAAAGTAAAGGACTCTCTTTGGAACTGTTAAGTAGAAAGAGGACAAGCAATAATAATGGTTTTGGAATAAAGAGAGAATATATCAATTAATATGTGGGTTATTAAGTTTGATTTGCCATGAAATCTTTAAATATCATGGTTATATTCAGGTTGTTGAAGTTTAGCTGTTTTAATCAAGAGATCTATCTTTTAGATAGAAAAAGGTTAGAAAAGAGTGTTCATTTTTCATCTCAGTTAAACACAACTATGATTTTCTGCCTTAGTGCTCATAAAATGTGGTCAGAGCTAAATCTCAGAGATCTCAAACACTATTATGTCAAAGACTGATTTCTTGTTATTTTAGGTCAATTAGTCTATATACTCTTTCTCTTAATCATACCATTCAGCCTTTGATTAAAAAAACAAAAACCATCGGCTCTTCCCATTCCTAGATGGATTTTTGAAAGCATCCCAAGCCTGGAGACGCACACAGGCACACACACATACACACCTGAGTTTTCTCCTTTCATAATTTATTCAATATTTAAATTTTTTGTGAAATATGTTTTTTTTATTAGTCCTTTTTCTCCTTTTTATCATTTAAATTCCTTAGCAGTTTGCTTCCAGTTCAAGTGTTACTCTGACATCTGGTTTCTAGAAGCAAGATGAGGAGAAGAAAGGCTAAGCTGGCCTTCTTGGGTGTCTCTGGGCTCAGTTACCTTAGGAAAGAGGGCCTCATTGGAATTTCTGGGTAGATCCTCCACACCATGATTCTAAGTGTGGCTCCTGGACCATCAGCATCACCTGGGAACTTGTTAGGAATCCACGTGGTCTGGAAGCTCTCTGAGATTTGATAACTACTATACCATTACCAATGTGATGCTGGTCCCCATCTGGCCAAGCTACATATGCTGAGCCAACATAAGCCGCTCCACTCCAGTGCTGACTGCGGCCGGCCTGGTTAGGTCATCCACTTTCAGTTGTCTTTCATTATATATCTCTTGGCATGTTCTAGTGGAAGAATAGAGGGCTGTGAACTAGCTCTGTTATCAATTAGCAGAGGAACTTTGGATATATCCTTAGACTTCTGACTTACCTGCACTATCTACTTTGTTTTAATTTAATCATACAGCTACAAGTGTTTTGATCATTAAAAGTACTTAAAGGGCAAGATGAAGCAAGTGTGGTAAAAGTCTTGATAGTTGTTGATTCTGGGCCATGAGTATGTTGAGGGTCCACTGTAGAGTGAGCTCTACTATTCCATCTGTTGGGATTTTTCATAAGAAATATGTTTTAAAAATACTTTAATACTTTTTATTATTAGTGCTAAATTCTGGTTTCCTCATGGAACCATAACTAAGCATGCTGAGTAGGATCAGGTGGTCTGCATTCTAGTTCTGACTCTGAAGTTAACTAGTTATTTAAAAGTGGGTAACTTATTTAACCTCTCTGGTCCTTGGTTTCCTCAACTGAAAGGGTGTATTATGGCTCTTTCAATGGCAAGACTGAAACTTTCAAGTCAAACTTGCTTAGGTAAAGGCTCAATAAAAAGACAATAGGGAAGGCGGGTTTCTACTTGTTTAGCCGTGTGATCTTGAGCAAATTATTTAATCTGTTGGCCTTAGATTCTTCATCTGTAAGATGGGAGGTATTATAGAGTTGTCTTAAGAATTAAATACAATGATGTAAATAAAGCACTTAAAAAGTGCTTGTTAAATGAGCACATAGTGTTGACTTGTTCATTCATTCATTCATTAAAATTTCTCATTGCCTAGATAGCCACTATGCTAAGTGTAGCTGTACAGCAGTGAACAAAACAGCAAGAGTTTAGTCTAGAAAGGAAGACAGACCTTAAACAAACACATGTAACTACCGTGAACTCTCCAATTGTAAAATCAGCTACAAGAAAGAACAGATGAAATAAGACAGAATAATTTAAATAGGAAGGACCTATTTAAATAGAGCTGGAGGGAGGGGCTGATAAACTTGCCATAAATTGTTTCCCCTGATTTATTTTGTCAGACTTATAAAGACATGAATATACCACTATTTTTATCTTCAATTTTAATTTTACTTACAATTTAATTTTATTATACCAAATTACAAAAAGTGGTATATTGAAAAGCTAGATTGATCACATACAAAACATGTTTTTTAAACGTTGGTGCTCTTGCACTGCTGCAACAGTAGCTGTAATGGCCTTTTATTAAGAACAGAGGAATTAATAATCTCTGTGAGTGATTCTTGCTGGATTGAATTTATATAAGAACAATCTGAAATAGAGTTGAACAAGGTGTGATAATATTGCAAAAAAAGTTCTAATTTTCAACAACACAGAATAAATGTGTGAATAAGAAAAACAGCACTATTTGATGGGGGTGGTCAGAAAAAGACTAATTTTCTTGAACAAAAAAATTCTTTTATATTCATTCACTCACGCATGCAAATCGGTTCATGGTTCATGCTGAGGGTTGAATGATGATTTATTTCAAAACTCATATACAAAACTGAATTACATTTTAAATTAAGATGTCTTTCTACTGAGCATCACTGCTTGAGATTTTTCTACCTCTGCCTTTCCTGCCCAAGGCTACTGTAGAAAAGAAACTGATGGATTGAGAGTGGGGAAAAATTGGTCCACACATTTCTATGAATTATTTTTTTCTCCTTTTTAAATATAACATTGTTTTGTTTACTAAACATCAGCCCCTACATAGCTCTACGAAAGTATAATTTTCTACAGAAATTAAGAACAAATAAGAGAGAAACAAGCTTTAATTTGGTGCCTATTTATTGCACTTAATAAATGTAATTTAAATTACCTGACTTTTAAATAACTTCCTGGAAAAATGTGGCCTTTCTGTTAAGTAATGTCTCAGAGAAGCCTATGAAATGTTAAGTCAAGAAAGCTTTATATTTTGAGCAGCTCTGCAGGTAATTAGTTTAGACAAAAATTAATTTCATACTTCTTGGTCATTCTTCCACAATAAATGACTTTGAAATTACAAAATAAAATATCCTTTCTTCAAAAACAAAAGAAAATGCAAAACCTTAATCAAATCAAGACAATTTAACTTTAATTTCCCGTGTAAATCCCACATTGGAGCTTGGAAATGAGTTTCTGGAGAAAGCCTCTACAGAAAACTGTTTTGAAAATGTCTCCCCAGAATCTTATTTAGGAGTTTTCTATTTCTGAACATGTCTCAAGTTATAGATATTGTAGAGTGGCAGATGACTGATGTAAATTCAGAACTTAAGGAAATTGTGAAGAAAATGGGAAAACAAAACCTATTTTAAAAGAAAATTAAATTTTAAAACATGTTTAAAAGAAATGCAAAGAATGTAAGAAGAAAATATATTTGGCATAATTACATTCAGAACGTGGAGATTGTGGTTTCACACACACAGACACCTTTTTATTTATTTATTTATTTATTTATTTTAAGAAATGGGGTCCCATCTCTAAAAAATGCTCAAACTCTTGGTGTCAAGTGATTCTCCCACCTCAGCCTCCTGAGTAGCTGCGATTATAGGCATGCATCATGATGTTCGGTGCAGAGACTGTGGTATTATATTAATAATTTTTTTCAAGGAAGAAAACAAACCAGATCTACACTGAATGAGTTTTGAAAGCTGACTGAAAGAATCCTGTTAATCTAGAAGGAAGAGAAGAAAGATTGCCTATAAAAGAAAAAAGAAAAAAATACCAAAATGAATCTCCCTCATTGCTGACCACTGAGATTCAGCCTTCTTATTCAGAGGGGAGTACGTGGTGACCCCTGAATTATGCTACACCAATTCATCTTAAATTAAGGGTAATTTGTACAAAGACTTAGGAATTTTTAAGGAGGAGTGATTCCTATTGTCCCAGCTACGAAAATCAGAGTTTCCAGCATTGTAGTCCAATCTCTTAGTCTGTTTTTCTAATTTCTTGAGGGCAGGGACCAACTACCGAATCCCTCCATTACTCCTGGATCCCATAACACCCAATGCCTGCCACGTGACAGACACATACCTTTCCTTTCTCCTGATTGAGCCAGATAGTTGAATTCTCTGATCTGCCTCCTTATTTTTAATTTATAGGACTCTACTTAAAAAATAGCTTTGTTCACCTGCACCAAATAGGGTCAATGAATTTTAAAGAGTCTTTGAAAAGCTTAAATAAAACACAATTTATAAAGAATGAAGCTGGGAAATAAAACTATCCATCTCTGCTGCTTTGGAGACTGGCAGCTGCGTGCACGTGCAGCTACCCGGAGGTATAGTGCTGACCTCTTACTCCATCTCCTTACCTGCCCCTTGGGACCAGGACCTTTGGCCAGGGACCATGTTTACAAATGCAGACATCTACAAGGACCAGCCTGGCACAGCAGGCCAAACAAAAAATGCTTCTTCAGGATTTGGTCTATTGGCCATTATTTTGCCATCTCTGATCTGTTCTGTGAACGTGTCTAATTAACTGTGCATCTAGCTCCTTTGCCCTAGAATTGGCCCCCTTGCCCCCTGAAACACTTCTCTCCATCTTTTGTATGACCATCTCTTACTCATCCTCTAAGACTCAGCTTAGACATCAAAAAACTCCTCCAAGGACATTTTCTCTCTCCGTTCTCACCTTCCTGAGCCCCTCCACATGGTTGGTCTCCATGTCTGTTCCCAAGCTCTCACAGCACTTCTTAGACCTCATGCTAACATGAGCTGCTGCCATGGCTGCCCATCCCCTTATGCTGTGTTTTTTCAGTGAAGTGACTTTGCACTATTCATCTTTATATTCTCTGAACTTAAGAATGGTGCCCAAATGAACCTTTACAAACCATGCAAAAGAGAGAACGCTATGGTATGACTTCCACTCATCTAACACCAACCAATGAAAACAGCATTTAATTGTGTCCCATCTTTTCACATCGTCTTACGTGAAAAGAGAGGAATCAAAGTGAAGAGACATTAGGCAAAATGACCCTAGATTATTAGTAAAAGATATTTGCTCCTAAAACATATGTTTTAATTGGCTACAAGTGATAGACTAAGTTACTATGACAGTTAACTCTTCATATTCATATTTATTAGAATATCTGGGCATTTTCTGATTATAAAAGGGAGATGAGAACAGAAGAATCCTTCATCCCTAGGAATACTGTCACAGCTCACAACGCTTGAAAATAGTCACAAATGCTTTCTTTTTTCTCATGATGAGAGAAGGGAGTGTAACTTTCAGAAAATCCCAGCAGCGTTCCTCTTGTTCAACCATTGTAATGACTAAGCATGACAATATGTACAAAAAGTTTTTGTGAACTCTTCATACCATGGTTAATAGAGAACAGTTTTATTTTAAGAACAAGTTCTCTACATTAACACCACTATTATTAAGTTGAGGCCAAATTTGTTCTTCCTGCCACTTCACTGGTTAACACTAAAAAAAAAGAAATTTCTATACTTATAAAATGTTTATGTTCTTATTACATTAGCAATATATACACACCAAGAGACTAATCATAACAACCCTTAGAAACTCTGCAGAGCTTTAGCCTGGCTGGGTACCCGTCTGCTAGACTAGTGTGCCTGGGTGATGAATAATATCCACAGCTCCCCTGCAGCCCACAAAATGTTTACATTTGCTTAAGTGCTTACTGGTAAAACCCTCAGTAAATTTGAAAAATGTCTCCTGTAAAGCCCTATAATACTTAACCTAAACCCTGTTCTTTAAGTTAATAATGCCAACCAAACAATCCATTCATTTCATTTCTAAAACTCCATCTTCATCATTCATTTCAAAACCAGGTATTGACTGACCCCAATTCCAAGTGTTTTAATTTATCCTCTCTAAATAACCTTTTGCTCTGCTCTTATCGTGCAATCTCTCCTGCTTACAGCCCACACCTAAAGCTTACATGTTATGGATCACTCTCATCTGATCCATTAAGTTGGAAAAACTAATGCTGACATGTATTATTTCCCTGTCAGCGTCACCAAGCTGGAAAATAGATAATTCAAAAGAGACATAATCAAAATACAGATGTCTCTGAAATAACAAGAAGAAAGGCCCAGTCCTGGCTCCGCCTGCAGGAAGCTTTCACTGTCCACTCTGTCCTTCTTCTTTGTCTGACTTTCCAGAGAAATTCTTGTTTGTACTGATCTATTCATTTCATTCAACACATATTTCTGGGCTGCCTTATGCTGTCTGTTAAGCATTTTATACATGTGGCTAGTTTTTCACCCAGATTATAAAACTTTGAGCATTATAAAAACAAAACTGACAGTGCTTGTACATTACAGGTGATCAATACACTCTTGATGAATTGAAGAAAATAATTATTTGATTCTAAAATATTTAAAAGAAACAGTAGGCCTTGACGTCCTTAAGAAATATTAAATTAGGATAGACCAGCAAAAAGGATATCACTAAAAATATATATATAAGATACCTTAAAAATATAAGTCTGAAGGACCTCAGGTTTGATAAAAGATAGTAGATGAACGGTGTCTACATCTCTCTGTCTTCTCTGAAAACAAGGAGAACATGAACAGAAACTCCAATTTTAACCGAACTAGGAAACACATCTCTGAAGCGAAATTAAGACTTGGTAAATATTAAGAATCTCTTTGGCTTTAATTATAACACACAGAAAGAATTTGACATAATGTGTTTGTTGAAAGTTGGGGAGGTGGATTATAGCTAGAAAGTTACAAAGCAGAATCATAGCTTTAGATACACATCTGGCCAAGTGCCACGTAAAGTCCCGTGGAAGCTGCCCTGGATCCTTCCCTTTGCCTTAAGTACTTTTGTCCTCCCATTCCCATCCCTAATGCTTAATTGTCCTTATAACCCTTTCCTTTGCCCCAGGGAAATGGAACTATCAGGCCCAAGCTGGAGCAATCAAATTTTCTCTCATAAAGATTTGGAATTGGGACAGGGAACTCAGCTGGAGGACCTAGGGGCTAAGGCTGAGGTTGCCATTTTGATATGAGTCCATTTAAGTGAAGAGCGGTTGGAAGGGCCGCCATGCAGAGAGAAAAATGCAGTGAAAGTACAGAGAAAAGCAGAGATGAATGGTGAGGCTGGAAGCTGAGCTGCAACTAGTGAAGTGGTGAGCAGGCCACCCTTTCCAGAAGTCGGCTACAAAGAGGAGAAATAGAAGAGTAACTGGATGGAGCAGCGAATTTAATAGATTTTTGTCTAAGACAGAAGGACAACCTGTCAAATATGAAGTCAGAAGAGAAGGAACCAATGAGGCGACAGGGCTGGCAGAGGTGCTGGGAGAGCCCTCAGGCCCCACAACCTCCATTCAGGCCAGTTGGTCTCCAGGTCTTACAGCACGGAAGACCATAAGATAGAAAAGGGGTCCCAAGGACCCCCGGAAACATTCCAAAATAAGTGTTAGACTCTGGCAGCTATAATCTCCTAGGGCAAAACACTTGGTTTTATCCTCCTGAGAAGAACTGAGGTATATTTTAGAAGAAATATTGGGAACGTTCACTTTTAACCACTTGTCTCCTGCTGTCCCCTCCTCTTGGCCACCCTAAAACTACTTAATCCTTTTATCCTATTAGGACGAGTGTTGCAAGCAGATATGCAGCTTCGTTAAGTGGAAGGTGTTCAAGGACACTGGCTGCCTGTGTGATGTGTAAGAGGTACAGGGAAGGGAGTTACTAGTGATGATATAAAACTGGCAAAGAAATGGGCTCAGAGGTGTCAGAAACAAACTACTTGATTTGGCCTCTGCCAAGTCCCACTTACCAGTGTGAGTATCCAGAATGGAAGCCGTGGGTCCCTGAGGCTGTGAGGTGGCTGCGCTGACACAGCCTAAGGAGAACAGATGCAGTGGTTTGGCTCCAAGTAATAGGGATAAACTCCGTGGTGAGAAGCTGACAGCAGAGGTTAACACAGCTCCATTGTGACCCCTCTGGAGCACTTTTCTCCAGACTTCCTCACATGCAGGAGCTCTTTAGCCAAATGCACCACGACTCTAGATTTATCCATGAGCATCTGGGATGCTTCCTAAGTGATGTGATGTACAGTGTACTCAAGTTCATCAAGTGGCCCCGAGCCATTAAAGACTCTGATAAATAATTCTATCATAAAGGCCCCAGAGCTGACATAAAAAGCAGAAAGCCACGGGGTCAAGTGCTTCCACAGGAACTACATTTGGTAAATAGAAGCTGTAAAAGGATGTTTCTATTAACCACTTGCAATTATTGTAAGGCCACCATCTTTTCTGGAATGGATGGTCAAAATAGCTAATAATTTCTTGTGTCCCTGGAAGTTTTAGGATGAATTTAAATAGGAGGAAAACAGGAAGACCAGTATTTTCCCAAACATGATAAGACAATCATTTTTTTTAAACTATAAGTGATACCTCAGACACATGGAGTTGGTATTTTCTTTTTTTTCCTTTTGTGTCTGCTCCCAGACTAGAACTAAATAACCAAAGTAAATGCTTGGCACACTCTCAAGGAAGCACAGCTCTGCCTTGCACCAGTGCCAGAAGCCTCTAGAACAGTGACGGAGGCAACCAGATGAAGAAGACGAGACATTCCTCTCCCAGCAGCGTGAGAGACACCTGGCGACTGCTGGCAGGAATCAGCATTTCACACAAGCAATCAACATAACTAAAACTTAAGTACTGTCCTCTGTATTCTCCTTGGGAAAATGAAACAAATGACAATGTCATTGCATTGATTTTGTTCTCATTAAATGGTATTTTAGCTATAAACATTTTCCCCTTTGATTTGCAAAAAAAAATTATAGAAAATGTCTATGTTGCTTAAAATGCAAAGGGTTTTTACTGTAACTATTTCAAAAACAGCCAATTATCTTACTATTCCTTGTTTATTACATATATTCAAGGTCACTTTCTCCATCATTTGAAACAACATAGACAAAAGGGAGCTCAGTAACAAACAGGCAAGCAGCACCAAGACTGGCACTCAAAGCTGTATTAGGACCAGATGCATTTTCAATTTCTTGAAACAGTGGAGCTGCAGTTTATTCAGTTTATTTAGGTCAGCCCTAAGGTGAAACTATATTACATTCAAAATTATCCTTTAAAATCCCCTGAACTCATCCATAAAGTACATGGAAGGTTATGTATGTACAATTCTGGAAAATAATGACTGTGTTCACTAGAGTTTGAGAATCACTCAGTTAAATTAAGAGGGAACAAAAGAAAAGCCTATATTTAGATGGCTGGGCATTCAAACCATTCCGCCTTTAAGGAGACTCTCAGTAGAGGAGAGGTGGAGAATTCTATGGGGTTCTGTTTCCCTGTGGGGTTTACTCTATTATTCTTCATGCTACAAGCATCGGCAGCCTGGCTAAACAGAAATGTATTTCTGTTGGTGCTGGCTGTGAGGATTTGACTGAACAGGGGAGCTGCACCTTCTCTGGGATTACATTCTAATGTCACCTCTGCTCCTCTCCCTTATAATGAATTACAGGTAGACAGAGCTATAGCACTGTAACAAAGGTGAAGATACACATAGGCAATAGAGACGGGAACGTTTCAGAGAAGAGTAGGCAATGGTAGCCAGCCTGAATTTTGAGCTGAGTAACAGAAGAACTTCACTTCTGCTGTGACCACCCTGGTCCAAGCTATCATCAAGTCATGCCAGGAGCTGCCCCAAGTCTCTCTCCTGGGATTCTATGGTCTATTTTACCCAGGCAGCTGAGGGGTTCTTTTAACCTAAATCTGATCACACCAGCCCCATTTGTACAACTTATTTCTGGCTTCTCCCACTGCACATGGAGTTCCAGCCCTTCTGTCTTCATCTTGTGCCACCCTGCCCCTTGTTCATTATGTTCTCACCACACTGGCCTTTCTATTTATAGTGTCAGGTAGAAGCCCACTCTGGCCACCGTACGTTCCCCCAGATCTCTGCATCACTCTCCTTCAGTTCTCAACTCCAATCCACTCCCTCCCAGTGCCTTCCCGCTCTGGAGTGCTCTCTCCCAATTGTTCTGTATTATCATTCTGTCTCTTTCCTTGGCACCATTGATGCCCACCTAGAATGATCTTTTAGAGCTCAACTGTTCACTGGCTAAAGTTCTACCTTCCCCACCGGACGGGAATGAAGGCAGGGATCAGGTCATGCTGGTCATATTCCAGCATTTAGCACAGAGTGTAACATCCAGAGATGCTGAGGACACAATTCTGAAAAAAGTAGTAACAATGATGACAGCAGTATCATTTACTGACGGCTTTATAAGAACAGTCGTTTTCTCACATAACTCTATGAGGTGGAAGGCACGAACCTCATTTTATAGGCGAGGAAACAGAGCCTCAGAGAAGTTTAGTAATATGGTCAGGGTTGCATGGTGAAGCAGGCGGAGGAGCTAGGCTTTGATTCCAGGCAATCGGACCCCAAAATCTTATGTTCTACAACATTCTATTCCCCAAGGAAAAACCAAGTGCTCTGAAAATCTAGTCTAAAACAGACTATAATTTTCAATACACAAATTTACCCATTGCAAGTGTACAGTTAGTTCTGAGTTAAAAAAAAAAAAAAAGGTAAACATAGTGTAACCACCACCACAATCAAGATATGGAACATATAAATTTATCTTTTCAAAAAGTTTCTTATGCCCCTCTGTAGCCAATTCCCTCCTGTCCCCCGCACCCCTCCCCCCACCGCCGTTTCCCAGTAACCACTGATCTTACTTCTGTGCCTAGTTTTGGCTTTCCAAAATGTCATATAAATGGAATCATACGACATGCTGTCTTTTGTCTCTGTCTTCTTTCACTTAACATAGTGCTTTTGAAACACACCCGTGTCACTGCACGTACCAGTGGTTTGTTCCTTTTAATTTCTGAGTAGTATTTCAGCCGTAATTTGTTTATCTATTCATCAGCTGAGGGATGTTTAGGTTGTCTTTAGTGATATTTAAGCTAATATTCATGTACAGATCTTTGTATGGACATGTGTCCATACATACACAGGAATGGGATTGTATGGTAAATTTTGTTTAAATTTATTGAAATCTGCCAAACTGTTCTTGGAATTGATTGTACCATTCTGCATTCACACTAGCAATAAACGAGAGCTTCAGGTATTCTACACCCTTGTCAGCACTGTATTGTTGTTTTTAATAAATGTTAATTATGCTAATAGGCGTGTAGTGGTATCTCATTGTGTTTTTAATTTGCATTTCCCCTATGATTACTGACGTTGAAAATCTTTTGCTTATTTAACGTCTGTATTTCTTCTTTGGAGTAGGGCCTATTTAAATCTTTTACGCACTTTTTTTTTTTTTTGACAGGGTCTTGCTGTGTCACCCAGACTTGAGTGCAGTGGCATGATCTTAGCTGACTGCAACATCTGCTTCCTGGGCTCAAGTGATCCTCCCTCCTCAGCCTCCCAAGTAGTTGGGACTACAGGCACATGCTGCCATACCTAATTTTTTAAAAAAATTTTGTAAAGATGAGGTCTCACTATATTGCCCAGACTGGTCTCAAACTCCTGGGCTCAAGCAGTCCTCCTGCTTTGGCCTCCTAAAGGGCTAGGATTACAGGCGTGAGCCACTGTGCCCGGCCCCTTTTGTCTATTTTTAAGGTTGTTTTCTTAATGAGTTTAAGACTTCTTTCTATATTCTGTACATGAGTTCTTCATCATGTCTGTATTTTACAAATGTTATCTCCTACTCTGTGGCTTGTATTTTCATTTTAAGTGTCTTCTGAAGAGCAGAAGTTTTTAATTTTGATGAAGTACAGTTTATCTACTTTTCTTGCATGGTTTGTGGCTTTTGTGTTTTATCGAAGAGTCCTCTGCCGAGCCCAGTTTCACTGGGGAGCAGCCCATGTTGTCATGCTGGAAGTGGAATTCCACAGCTGATTTTGGAATACTGACCTTGTATTCTATACCCTTGCTAGATTTACTTATTACTCCTAGTAGCTTTTCTGTAGATTCCTTTGAATTTTCCACATAAACAATCACATTGTGAAAAGAATTTCATTTCTTTCCAGTGTATGTGCCTTTTCTTTCTCTCTCTTGCCTTATTATATACTAGTCAGGAGCTCCAGAACAACACTGACCAAGGTCCAGTTCCTATAGAACAGCCTTCACAGTGTAGTCTGGTCTGTACATTTTCCTTAACCTCTTCCCAGTTTTACTTCCTCACAATTCTCCTATATACATCCTTCCCTCTACAGCTGGCCAGGTTGCCTGTTTTTATCCTTACACATATATTTTGCACTCCCATCTTTGCATTTTTGCTCACCATGTTCATCTTGCCTGACATGGTCTTTGCTTCATTCTCTACCTATCCAAAGTCTGTCTGTCTGTCAAGGTCTACAGCGTGTCTCTCTATCTTGATGTTCATTTTGTCTCTTCGCTCATTCTCCACTCCTGTCCGAATGGCCTTCTCATCGCCTTGACAGCAGATGCCATGTATTCCTTCTTTGGTATCTTTACTTCTGTATTTCTCCCACCTAGGAGGTCATTTCTTTCTCTTATCATCCATCCACCTGTCCATCCATCCATTATTAAGCATTAGCTACCTGCCAGGTATAATGGCTAGCATGCAAGCTCCACGATAGCAAGAATTTTTCTGTTTTGTTCACCTCTGTAATATAGTATTGAAAATGGTGCCTAAAACTGTTCGTGTGACAAGAGCATTAATACCCAGAATGTACAAGGAATTCAAACAACTCAATAGTAAAAACAAACAAACAAACAAATAATGCCATTGAAATGTGGGCAAATGACATCACATTTTTTGAAAGAAGACATACATGGTGGCTCATGCCTGTAATCCCAGCACTTTGGGAGGCCAAGACAGAAAGATCACTTGAGGCCAGGAGTTTGAGACCAGCCTGGGCAACATAGTGAGACACTGTGTCTACAAAAAATTTAAAAACAAAATTAGCTGGGTGTGTTGGCTCGCACTTGTAATCCCAGCACTTTAGGAGGCCGAGGCAGGAGAAACGCTTGAGCCCAGGAGTTCGAAACCGGCCACACAAAGTAAAAAAAAATTACCTAGGCCCAGCGACTGGCACCTGTAATTCCAGCTACTTGGGAGGCTGAGGTGGGAGGATCACGAGTTCTGGAGGTTAAGGGTGCAGTGAGCCATAGTCCTGCCACTGCATTCCAGCCTAAGTAACAGAGCAAGACCTGTCTCAAAAAAAAAAAAAAAAAAAAAAAAAGAAAAAGAAAAAGAAAAAAAGAAGACATACGAATAGCCAAAAGGTATATGAAAAAATGCTCAACATCACTAATCATCAGAGGAATGCAAATTAAAACCATACTGAGATATCATTTTACCCCAGTCAGAAGAGCTATTGTTATCATAAAAAATGAAGATGTTGATGAGGATGCAGAGGAAAGGGAACTCTTACACACTGTTGACGGGGCATGTAAATTAGTATAGCCTCTATGGAAAATAGTATGGCGATCTCCCAAAGAACTAAAAATAGAACTACCATTTGATCCAGCAATCCCACTACTGAGTATCTACACAAAAGGAAAGAAATCAACATTAATCAAAAAGATACCTGTACTCATGTTTATTATAGTACTTTTCATCACAGCAAAGATATGTGTTTTGTCTTAAATATGTTTGGTGAAACAGTGATCACTTACGGAAGACCTATCTGCCAGTTGAGTGGAAGACAGATGGAAGGAGGGTTAGGAAGAAGGCAGAGAAGTCAGCTGGGATGTGCTGTAATAACCCACGCAAAACCGATGATGGGCTGAAGCTAAAGCACTGAGGTGAGAGGGCACAGATTCCAGGGTAAATCAGGGGGTTGAAAAGACACAATCTGTTGAGTAATCAGATGAAGGAGATAACAGAAAAAGAGTGCCTAGGATGGCTTATAGGTGCCTGACTTTGGAACATAAATTAAGGTATTAAGGAAAAAGATTTGGGAAAGAAAGTGAATTGGGGTGAATACACACAAAATGTGAGCTGCCTGCAGGGGCAGCCCAATAGATTTTCAGAGGAACTAGGCTCAGAAAAGCAATCTGGGTTGGAGGTACAGACAGTGTGGAGTGTAGCAAATGCAGGGAAGTGAGATGAGGAGGAGATTAAGGACCACCAAACTAGAGTAGGTGGAGGAGGAAGGAACAGAAACAAGAGCTCAGCAGGGAACAGGCAGAATGGCTTATTTCTTACTCAACCTCTGGTTCTCAGCTTCAAGACGCATTCCCTGAGAAGTAATCCTTGGTCTCCTCAGTTTGAGGTAGATACTTCTCTTTGTGCTCCCACGTCACACTGGGCCTGTCCTTGTAGTATTTAGCACATTACACACATATGAGGTGCTTCATGACTCAGAACCCCACAAGACACAGAAGTGTGCCTTAGTCACCACTGCACCTCCAGGGTCGAGCACCATGCCTGGCTGGCATGTGCACTAAAAAACCACATTTGTTGAGTGAAATGTACCTTTGACAACACTTAGTGTCCTTTTAATGCACGTGTGTTGCCTTCTCCTCGACGTGATTCCAAGAGAATGAAGACCATGTTATTTACCTCTCTGCAACCTTGGGAACTAGCACGCTTTTCTACATAGACAACACTCCACAAAAGTGTTCCGATGATGATAGTATGAGGGAAAGGTTCAATAACCCACCACTCTACTTTCCACTGAGTATTTTTTGCCTACCAACTTAATCATAATGGAAACACAGTTTTCACTCTGAGTTTGCTTATTCAGCGTGTGTTTTTGCTTACTTCTCCCCATCCTTTGAAAATAACTTGAATTTCTTTTTTATGTTATTAGCTGACAAGTATTATATTTTAAAGCAAATTTTAAAAAGACATTCAAATTCTGTAAACAACTCTATAATTCTCTATAGTTTTAAACCTCTTCCCTAACAATGTACTTTTATTTACATGATTTTAGCGATCTTATTATTATATCCATAATAATGTTATGAGATGAACAGGTTAGAATTCTTCTTTTCTCTGAGACAGGATTTCACTCTGTTCCCCAGGCTGGAGTACAGTGGTACAATCATAGCTCACTGTAACCTCCAAATCCAGGGCTCAAGCAATCCTCCTGCCCCAGCCTCCCAAAATGGGGTCTGCATTTTCTTCTAGGTTGACCATTAACAAACTTAATGTCCATCAATGGGCAATGGCTAAGTAATAAAAAAATCTATTGTATGGAATATTATATACAGCTAAAAATTGTATGATGAGGATCTGTATATACTAACTTGGAAAGAGATCCACAATACATTATCATTTGAAAAAAGACAAATTAATAAACAATGAGCTCATCACAATTCCTTTTTTTATAAAAGGAGAAAAATTCTCTTTTTGAGTTTGCAAGGAGAATAGGGAAGATTTTGACATCTTGATTTCACTCAGTTTTTTTTTTTTTTTTGAGATGGAGTCTCGCTCTGTTGCCCAGGCTGGAGTGCAGTGGCGTGATCTCGGCTCACTGCAACCTCTGCCTCCTGAGTTCGAGTGATTCTCCTGCCTCAGCCTCCTGAGTAGCTAGGATTACAGGCGCCTGCCACCACGCCCGGCTAATTTTTTTGTATTTTTAGTAGAGGCGGGGTTTCACCGTGTTAGCCAGGATGGTCTGGATCGCCTGACCTCGTGATCCACCCGCCTGGGTCTCCCAAAGTGCTGGGATTACAGGCGTGAGCCACCGCGCCCGGCCTCAACTTCACATTTTCAAAAATATGTGTAGCATTGAAATCACATCTGTTGCATTCAAAATATGCACACTTAGAGGCTAATATACTCTTTACTCAATACTAGCATTTTATTAAAAACTTGTTTTATTGGCCGGCTGTGGTGGCTCACGCCTGTAATCCCAGCACTTTGGGAGGCCGAGGCGGGCGGATCACGAGGTCAGGAGATCGAGACCATCCTGGCTAACACGGTGAAACCCCGTCTCTACTAAAAAAAAATACAAAAAATTAGCCGGGCATGGTGGCGGACGCCTGTAGTCTCAGCTACTTGGGAGGCTGAGGCAGGAAAACGGCGTGAACCCGGAAGGCAGAGCTTGCAGTGAGCAGAGAACATGCCACTGCACTCCAGCCTGGGTGACAGAGCGAGACTCCGTCTCAAAAACAAAAACAAACAAACAAAAAAATTTGTTTTATTAAATTGTTTCTAGTATCAGCATTTCTAATACCACTCAGGGTGCCTGCCTGTATGATGGCATACCTGTTGGGCAACAAAGACCTCAATGTGCTTCGAAGTTTGAATGCCCAAGTACTTAATGCATACGTACTTAATATTTTTCATAGAACGCCGATTTTTTAAAATTTTCTTTTTTTTGAAAAAGCAGATGATGCGGAGAAAGCACAAAAACAAGGACAATTGGAAACTCCTGGAAAACTGCCCAGTCACCCAAAGAAAAAGTCTTGGAAAATCCCTATGTCACCTGACCAATTCCTCCTGACTGTTAGCGCCCTGCAGCACGCCCGTAATTCCGGGGAATTTGCCTATCCCTGTAGGCCCCAAACAGAAATTACTGATGTCTGGGGACCTTCAATTTCATACCCAAGGAAGGTCTTGAATTTCAAAGGAAAATCAATCCAACGTGCAGTTGATCGGTTGAGATTGAGCAATCCTCCTATAGATGTGAAACGAACCAGTATTCCCCTTGAAATCCAGAAACTGCAGCCCAACTTGAAGATCTCTTTGCACAGTCCTAGAGCCCAGTCCACCATACCCGAGCCCATGATTATCCGCTCCAGGTTCTCTGGCAGCTTAAAGGGTGGAGACCAAGTGACCAGTTCAATTGAAAGGGCTGTGTGCAGTACGGGTCCCCTGACCAGTATGCAGGTCATTAAACCAAACCGCATGCTAGCTCCACAAGTGGGCACAGCCACCCTGTCTCTTAAGAAAGAACGGCCTCGCATCTATACAGCCCTTGATCCTTTTAGAGTGAACGCTGAGTTCGTGCTGTTGACCGTGAAGGAGGAGAAGGAGCACCAGGAAGCCAAGATGAAGGAATATCAGGCCAGGGAGTCCACTGGAGTGGTTGATCCAGGAAAAGCCAGCAAAGCTGCATGGATCAGGAAGATCAAAGGCCTGCCTATTGATAATTTCACGAAGCAAGGGAAAACAGCGGCCCCTGAACTTGGACAAAATGTATTTATCTAAACCAGCCTTGGGAAATTACAGTGTTTTACAATAAACAGAAAGCCAAGCGGATGTTGCTATTTGGCCTTTTTTTTTTTTTTTGACTGTTTCTTCCTGGTAATTAATGTGGGAACTCCCAATTATCTTCCCCTGAGCCAAATATTTGATATCATCAAAATAAGAAAACAGAAGGAGGTTGGGCGAGATTAGCATCTGTAGTCCCACTGAAAACAATTTAGTGAGCATTAGGAAAGCCCAGTTTCGTTGATGGGGGATGGGGAGATGATCACTGGAAATTAGATACCATTCATCACTACCAATTTAGTGCTATTAGTTCTTCTGGCAAATGAAGTTATGGGATTATATCAGGGTCATGCATTGGAGTTTTCTGGTATTTTTGCACAGAAGCCTGATGAAACCCATGAAGAATTTAAAAGGGGAAGCCCTCAGTGGGGTTGACCTGCTGCATCTGACAACATTGAGCTTTTCCTTCTCAGGGCTAACTCCTAAGGAAGAGAATTAGCATATTTATCCTCTGTACAAAGAGGGCCAGTAACATCAAGTGCATTGAGGTTTCTGCTTAAACCTTTGGACTATGGTGCAGGGACCAGGTAATTTAGAAGAGTGCAGCCCACTACAAGAGCTATGGCCCATTAGAAAGTTCAAGCCTTGACCAGGTGCGGTGGCTCACGCCTGTAGTCCCAGCACTTTGGGAGACTGAGGCAGGTGGCTCACCTGACATCAGGAGTTTGATACCAGCCTGACCATCGTGGTGAAACCTCGTTTCTACTAAAAATACAAAATTAGCTTTAAAAATTAGCTATTAAAAATTAAAAGACGATAATGAATTCAAACACAATGCCTTAAAAAACCAAAAACTACGAAAAACAACACAAAACTCCACAGCACTGAGTGGACCACTGAAAACCTGCCATGGGCAGGCTGGACGTACAGGCCCCAAATTTGTTAGCTTTTCATCTCCAAGGGCACGAATGCAATTGTGCTGCCGAAATGTCTCGCCTTTGAGAAACGCGTGTGTGTGTTTTTCCCCTTTCATTATTAGAATATTAGGTTTTAAATGGCACTGGCAAACAGCCACATAAAATTTGTGATTTTAATAGAATCCCTTCAATTAAGGAAACGTGCAAATACCACTATGCCAACAGCAGTCTGACTCGGCCAGACAGATAGGATATTGTCATCATCACCGCTTCAAAGATGACTTAACGCCCCTTAATTTCACATCCTTTGTTCAGGCAAGATCACAGCATGAGCGGCTGGACTTAAAACTGTAATAAGTATAACGTCTCCCATTTACTAGATACTTACACTGTAAGGAAACCATTATCACCCCCACTTTACAACTGACGAAAGAAGTACATAAAGGTTGGTGATATGATTGGCAATAGAGTTCCCAGGCGCCTAAGCTCCAGGGCGCAAGGTCTCAACTCCTGGAGTCTAAGTTTATACCTCCCATAATAATACCGTCCATTAGTTACTCTAGAGTCCTCCTGCCTTGTTTTTCTTAACGTTTTACTTCTCTGCAAGAACATATTTTAAAAAGTTGCTTCTACAATTTAAAGTACAAAAGTAATACTGTACAGGAGTAAGTCTTTGTAAAATATTTAAAGAAAATTATATTATACAATAAAACCCCGCCCCCCTGCATTCGGGGCAGCGACGCTGGGGGAACGACTTTAGAATTTGCATTGGGTGGACAGCAAATACTTCCGTAAAACAGACCATGAAGCTTTCCACTTGGAGCCCACTGTGGCCCCAATGCCTTTCCCTTTCGCTCCTGCTCCAGGCTCCGCCTCCGCCGTGTCCGGGCTGCTCGCCCCGCCCCCGCTCGCCCCGCCCCCGCTCGCCCCGCCCCCGCTCGCCCCGCCCCCGCTCGCCCCGCCCCCGCTCGCCCCGCCCCCGCTCGCCCCGCCCCCGCTCGCCCCGCCCCTGGATTTGCTCCCTCAAAGCGGAGGTGAGGCCGGACTGAGGCTCTTACAGTGGTCCCTGCTGGCCCTTGGTGACGGGTCGCGTCAGTTCCGACCCGGACCCGTACGCTGCTGCGCTGACGTGGCTCCTGGAAGCAGGGCTGGCGTAGGGCCGCCATGTTGCAGCAGGTGAGGGGCTGAGGGCGCGCTGGGAGGGTGGCGGCTCCTGGGACTGGCTCTGCAGGTTCCGTGGGACTGGAGCCCGCGTCCCCCGCGCCCGCTACTCGAACTCGAGGAGGAGCGGGGCGGCCGGGAGTGGAGGGCTGTGGGTAGTTGTCTGAGGAGGGCTGCTGGGGGTTCTGAGGCCGCTGGGGGAGGCGTGACCCGTGCGGCGCAGAGCAAGTACTTCTTGCGGCTGTGGGGACGCCCATTGTTAACCAGCGCGAGTGGGGGTCTCTCTTTCCTCAACCCTTATTGCCGGGGTGGAGTTGAGGAGGAGCGGCCTGCGGGCCTCTTAGCTTCCTGACACCCAGGGGTGCGATGCTATCTTGTAGGAATCGGCGACACCGCCAGAGCCTCGCTTTCAAATTGCTGTTTCCAAACTAATGTTGTTGGTGATTCTCTCCTTTGTGCTCTTAGAGTTAATTGTAGTCCACATGTTGGCAACCAGAGACTCGTAAGATTAATAATATTTTTAGAAAAAACTACTGTTTATGGTCACTTAGATTGTCTTAAGTGTTTTTTTCTTTCGGTTCACACAAAATTTGTTGAGGGATTACTATGACTCAGACACGGTTGTAGGCCCAGGGATAGGGTTGTGACCAGTACAGACAGGTTTCTTGCCCCGTATTTTCGGGTTAGGGAAGTGGGTTCTAGGAGATGGGGGTTGGGTGGGGAGACACGATAAATTGTATAACCAAAGATATTTTCAGATAATTGCAAAGGCAGGGTGATGAAATAACAAGTGTCCGAGGATAGGACAACTAAGATTTATGGTCAGGAAAGACTGCTTATGAGGAGATGCCTTGAGTGGAGAAAATCTAATAATGGTTAAATTCAGCTGTATTACAGGAAAGGTGTCCCGATCCAGACCCGAAAAGAGGGTCCTTGGCCGGGCGTGGTGACTCAGGCCTGTAATCCCAGCACTTTGGGAGGACGAGGTGGGTGGATCATGAGGTCAAGAGATCGAGACCATCCTGGCCAACTTGGTGAAACCCTGTCTCTACTAAAAATACAAAAATTAGTTGGGCGTGATGATGCACGCCTGTAGTCCCAGCTACTCGGGAGGCTGAGGCAGGAGAATCGCTTGAACTGGGGAGGCCGAGGTTGCAGTGAGCCGCGGGCCACTGCACTCCATCCAGCCTGGCTACAGAGGGAGACTCCGTCTCAAACAAAACAAAAAAAGTCTTGGATCAGGCAAGAAGGAATTCAGGGTGAGTCCACAGTGCAAAGTGAAAGCAAGTTTATTAAGAAAGTAAAGGAATGGCTACTCCATAGAGCAGCCTGGAGGGCTGCTGGTGGCCCATTTTTATGGGTATTTCTTAGTGATATGGTTAATAAGGGGTGGATTATTCATTCCTCCCCTTTTAGATCATAGAGAGTAACTTCCTGATGTTGCCATGGCATTTGTAAACTGGCATGGCGCTGTTGGGAGTCTAGTAGTGAGGACGACCAGTGGTCACTCTCGTGGCCATCTTGGTCTTGGTGGGTTTTGGTTGGCTCCTTTATTGCAACCTGTTTTTTCAGCAAGGTCTTTATGACCTGTATTTTGTGCCGACCTCACATCTCATCCTGTGATTTAGAATGCCCTGTCTGGGAATGCAGCCCAGTAGGTTTCAGCCTCATTTTACCCAGCTCCTATTGAAGATGGAGTTGTTCAGGTTCACATGCTTCTGACATTTGAACCTGCGCCCAGGCCGGATGAGGCTGGAGAAACACAACCATGTTGACTGTTCCCACTATTTATTTATTTATTTATTTATTTATTTATTTATTCATTCATTCATTCATTCATTCATTCATTTATGAGACGGAGTTTCACTCTTGTTGCCCAGGCTGGAGTACAATGGTGTGATCTCGGCTCACTGCAACCTCCGTCTCCCGGCTTCAAGCGATTCTTCTGCCTCACCCTCCAGAGTAGCTGGGATTACAGGCGCCCGCCACCATGCCCGGCTAATTTTTGTATTTTTAGTAGAGATGGGGTTTCACCATATTAACCAGGCTGGTCTTGAGCTCCTGACCTCAGGTTATCCACCCGCCTCGGCCTTCCAAAGTGCTAGGATTACAGGCGTGAGCCGCCAGGCCCGGCCGACTGTTCCCACTTGATAAGTTTGTGATGTGAACCTCAGTCGAGCCCTTAGTGCTGCCAGGCGGTCATTCTACATTTCCATAGCCCCTTCACCCTCTCGCCTTAGGCAACTATTAAAACTCAAATCTTCAACGTTTCTTCTCTTATCCTCTCTCAGCTGGTAACGTTGCTTCTTGTTTCACTGAAAATGGAAGCCGTCGGAAGACAATTTTCACACTAGCTGCCTATTTATTTGCATGTTTACTCAGGGTCTCATATTCTTTTATGATAATTGGACTGTCAGTGCTCCATTCTTAGGTCTTCCTGTCTACTGTGTCCTGGTTTCCATCTCCTCTTGCCTACTGGAAGGCATTGTTCTAGTAATTCTCTTTCTTGCATCATCAGTTTTTTAATCCTTTTAAACGTTTGCTCACATCAACATATAAACGTGTTTTAATTTCTCTTACCTTAAAAAATGAAAACTTGGCCGGGTGCGGTGGCTCACACCTGTAATCCCAGCACTTTGGGAGGCCGAGGCGGGTGGATCACGAGGTCAGGAGATCGAGACCATCCTGGCTAACACGGTGAAACCCCGTCTGTACTGAAAAACAACAAATTAGCCAGGGGTGGTGGTGGGCAGCTGTAGTCCCAGCTACTCGGGAAGCTGAGGCAGGAGAATGGCGTAAACCTGGGAGGCGGAGCTTGCAGTGAGCCGAGATCGTGCCACTGCACTCCAGCCTGGGCGACTCCGTCTCAAAACAAACAAACAAACAAAAAAAACAAACTTGACACCACATGCTCTTTCACTGGTCACTCCATTCTTTTTCCTTTAAAGACTTGTATCATATATACTTGTCTTTTAATTCTTCCAGTCTCTCTTGTATTCATTCTAGTCAGTCTCTCTTCCCCTCTCCCAACTGTACTGGAACTGCTCTTACTGAGTTCCCCGATGACCTGTTAAAAATACAGTGGTCATGGCTGGGCGCAGGGCTCATGGCTGTAATCCCAGCACTTTGGGAGGCCAGGGTGGGTGGATCATGAGGTCAAGAGATGGAGACCATCCTGGCCAACATGGTGAAACCCCGTCTCTACTAAAAATACAAAAATTACCTGGGGGTGGTGGCATGTGCCTGTAGTCTCAGCTACTCGGGAGGCTGAGGCTGATGCAGGGGAGTCCCTTGAACCCGGGAGGCGGAGGTTGCAGTGAGCCAAGATCACACCATTGCACTCCAGCCTGGCGACAGAGCGAGACTCCGTCTCAAAAAAAAGAAAAAAAAATACAGTGGTCTCTCTTTGGTTTTCATCTTACTTATGAGTAGCATTTGACACAGATGATGGATCCTCCTCCTGGAGGCACTTTGTTTGGTTTCCAGGACACTACCCCCTCCTGGCTCACCTTATGTTCCTTGGTACTTCTTTTTCAGTCCCCACAGCCTATTCCTTCTTATCTTTGTGATCTCTAATTATTGGAATGCCAGGAGTCTGTCTTAGCCATCTTTATCTTTTTAGTTGTTCAGGACAAAAACTTTGGAATCTTCCTTGATTCCTTTTATTTACCCTTCCTCCACCTCCCCAGTCAGTCAGTCCATCAGCAAATCCTGTCAGCTCTACCTTAAAATGTACTTGGAATCTATTTCTCATCACCTCCACTGCATCCATCTTAGACCAAGCCACTACTTCTTGGCCTCGTGATTAAAGTAGTTTCCTAACCAGTCTCCTAGCGTTGTGCTTTTGTCCCTCCTTCTTCTCCCCTCCCCCTCCAGATTTTTACTACAGTAGCCAGAATTCTCTTTCTAACAGGTGAGTCAGAACATGCAGTCTTACACTTAAAACACTCCAATGGATCTCCCTTTCAATGCTTTTTTGGTTTTAGCATCTTAAAATGTCGTTTAGCATCTTAAAATGTCCAAAATCAAACTGCTGATTTTGCCCCGAAATCTTTTGTGTCCATGGTCTTCCCCATCTTAGTAAATGTAACTCCAGGAGTGCAGAGCTATTTGTCTTTTTTTTTTTTTTTTTTTTTTTAAATCTGTACCACTTACAGCAGTACCTGGCACTTGGTAGGCACTCAGTATTTACTGAATAAATGAGAAGAAATCAGTCTTTCAAAGAGCAGGGTAAGAGAATAGTGTTCTAGGTAATATGAACCATAAGTGCAAAAGAACCTGACGGGGCCCAAGTTTGGCATGTTTAAGGAACTGAAAAGAAGGCCAGCCTGGGCATGGTGGCTCATGCCTCTAATCGTAGCACTTTGGGAGGCTAAGGCAGGAGAATTGCTTGAGCCCGGGAGTTTGAGACTAGCCTGGGCAACATAACGAGACCCTATTTCTGCAAGAAATTAAAATATTAGATATGGTGGCTTGCAGTACTCAGGAGGCTGAGATGTAGAGCCTGCAGTAGTGACCCCTGATTGTTCCACTGCACTCCAGCCTGGGCGAGAGCCAGACCCTGTGTCAAAAAAAAAAAAAAAAATGGCCAGTCTGGCAGGAGCTTAGGTACTGTATAAATTTCCTGTTGCTACTGCGGCAGTGAAGTCATATGTACTGTTGTAAAGTTCTGGTGGTCAGAAGTCCAGAATGAGGCTCAAGGGGTTAAACATCAAGGTGTGGGTAGGGGTTCTGGAGAATCAGTTTCCTTGCCTGATTCAGCTTCTAAACACCTGGGATCCCTTCCCCATCTTAATGCCATCAGCACAGCCTGTTCAAATCTCTGTCTCTCACCTCTACTTTGCTTGTTTCATCACCTTCTCTCACTGACCCTCCTTTGTTTCCCTTGTAAGGACCATTGTAATCATGTCATCTGACCAGCCTGGGTAATCCAGGATGATCTCTTGACCTCAAGATCCTTAACTTAATCTCATCTGTGAAATTCTTTTTGCCAAGTAAATTTACATATTCACAGGTTCCAGAGATTAGAACCTAAACATTTTTGGGAGGGGTGAGGAGGTATTCAGCCTACCACAGTTAATGAAGAGTGAGTGGCCTGAGATAAGGTCTTAGAGATTGGCAGGGACCAGATCATGATAGGTCATGATAGGGAGTCTGTTTTTCAGTCATAGTGCTGAGAGGTTTCAGTAGGGGAATGATAGGATTTGATGTGAAAAAGTCTCCCTGGCCGCTGGATGGCGATTAGACTGTTGGGATCGAGAGCAGAAGGCCTCAGCTTTTTATTCATAACATCATACGGTGGATCTCAGTCTTGCTGTACGTTATGATCACACCTCAAAGCAATTATATCTGAACCACTGAGGGCTGGACCCAAGTATCAGCCTTTTTTTGTTTGTTTGTTTGTTTTTTAAGAAAAAGAGCATTCTAATTGTAGCCAAGGTTGAGAACCACTAGTTTCATAGATCTGAATCCATTTTACCTTTTCAGCCTTAGCTCAGTAGGAGCTTCTCGCATCCATCACTTACTGCATGAGCTACTTGACCATTTCTTAGACAAACTTCCTGTATTCCCACCTGTGCCTTTCAAAATATACCTAGTCTAGGGAGGCCTACGCGGACTGTCAGGGCCCAGCTGACAAACTCTCCTCCAGAAAGCTTCTCCAGTGCCCTGTAGTAGGAATGATTTGCTTCCTTCCCTGGCTCCCATTTGCACTTAGATTTCTCAGCCCTGATCACAGTCAGCTGTATATTATCGTCTCCTTTGCTTATTTACTCATGCCTTCAACAAATACTGTACCACTTGGCTGAATGCTCTGCTAGACACTAGGATTTACTACAATGCAAAGACAGTCTTGGTTGGGCGTGGTGGCTCACACCTATAATCCCAGCACTATGGGGGGGTGAGGTGGGCGGATCCCTGGAGGTCAGGAGTTTGAAACCAGCCTGGCCAACGTGGTGAGACTCTGTCTCTTCTAAAATTACAAAAATTAGCCAGGCTAATTAGCCGAGACACACTCCTGTAATCCCAGTTACTCAGGAGGCTGAGGCACTAGAATCTAGCTTGAACCCAGGAGGTGGAGGTTGCAGTAAGCTGAGACCATACCACTGTACTCCAGCCTGGGCGACAGAGCAAGACTCTGTCTCAAAAAAAAAAAAAAAAAACCTTGTCTTCTAGGTCCTCCAGCAGCTTAATCTATATGGAGGTAGGAGCGGGTAGATGTGCAATAAGAATACTCTGAGATAATTGTTCAAATGGAGATTCGTCCAAGTGCTGTGGGAACATGGGGATTTCAGAGACAGGTTTTCAGCTATTTCAGTATTTGAGCTAAAAAACTTGAAGGATGATTTGGTATTTGGTGGTGAGCAGGGCATGGGGAAGGGAAGAGTTTTCTGAGACAACATGTGAAAGGCAGGAGATGGGAGAGAGACCGTAGTGTTCTTAGAGACCATGTAGTAACAGTATTGCTTCAGTGCTCAACAGTGCTCAATGAAGACAGTGTCAGAAGCAAGTAGGGGGCATTAGATTCTGTGATCTTCTATGCTTTATGTGAAGGAGTTAAATTTTATCCTATACTTGTAGGGATGCCATTGAAAAATTTGAGCAGTAGAGTGACATGGTGTGATTTCCATATTGGGAGGATTGCTCTGGGTAATGTAAAGGAGAGGCTGGAATAGAGAGGGATAAAGGCAGGGAGGCTGGTGAGTGGCGCTAGGAGAGGAACAGGATCAGGTTTGTTGTAGTTGAGGGGAATTGCAGTGAATTGAGGTGTGAACCACTCTTAGAAGCCTAAGGTTATGGGGCCGGGCATGGTGGCTCACGCCTGTAATCCCAGCAATTGGGAGGCCGAGGCGGGTGGATCACAAGGTCATGAAATCTCCTGGTTAACACGGTGAAACCTGTCTCTACTAAAAAAATACAAAAAATTAGCCAGGCATGGTGGCACGCGCCTGTAGTCCCAGCTACTTGGGAAGGTGAGGCAGGAGAATCACTTGAACCCAGGAGGCAGAGGTTGCAGTGAGTTGAGGCCACGCCACTGCACTCCAGCCTGAGCGACAGAGCAAGACTCCATCTCAAAAAAAAAAAAAAAAGCCTAAGGTAAAAGGAAGCAATGCTTTGGGAAGGTAGAGGATTGAAGAGGAGATTCAGGATCAGGGTTCTTAAAAAAATCTTTTTTTGCCTAATAAGTGGCCTTGAAGAAGTTTATATGCATATGCTGATTAGAAAGATTCAATAGAGGCCAGGCGTGGTGGCTCAGGCCTGTAATCCCAGCACTTTGGGAGGCTGAGGCGGACAGATCACCTGAGGTCAGGAGTTCAAGACCAGCCTGGCCAACATGGTGAAACCCCGTCTCAACTAAAAATATGAAAATTAGCTGGGTGTGGTGGCACACGCCTGTAATCCCAGCAACTTGGAAGGCTGAAGCAGGAGAATCGTTTGAACCCGGGAGGCGGAGGTTGCAGTGAGCCAAGATCGTGCCATTGTACTCCAGCCTGGGTGATGAGCAAAACCCCATTTCAACAACAACAAAAAAGAAAGATCCAATAGATAGACTTGAAGATAGAAGAAAGTGTAAATACAGGGGAAAATGATGAAACAAATCCCCGAGGAGGCATGAAAAGAAGTTATTCTGAGCACAAATAATTGGTTTAGCCTTGGATAAGAAGAGGAGGAGTTGTGAGAAGGGGTCATGGAACTAAGGATGCAGTCAGATGATTTTGTGAAGGAGCCAGAAACCTTGAGATTATCCCCAGTAGCCTCGGCTTGCTCTGTGACTTGGGAGAGAACAGGTGAGGAGGACAGGTGTTAAGTTGTAGTAGCCTCATCTGCACCCCAGAGTTTTCTCAGATGGTGCAGCCTAGGGGCAGGGATGGAGGAGCTGAGACTTCGATTATTCTCTGGGGTTTTTGCCAGATGATTTGAGGAGGCGGGTGGAGGATCTGCATGTGTCCTTTTCTAGGTTTTGAATTCCTGATGCTGTAACCACATTATTTTATCTTCTATTTTGATGAGTATGCAGCTTTGCATTGCAGTGGCTGTGTAAACACTGAATTTTGTTTTGCTTCTTGACCATTTATTTTTCCAACCAGGATAGTAATGATGACACTGAAGATGTTTCACTGTTTGATGCGGAAGAGGAGACGACTAATAGACCAAGAAAAGCCAAAATCAGGTAGGAGGAGAAGTTGCATGAGCTGTGTTAGTGTCCAGTGTTGTTCTGTATGTATGTCAGTGCTAGCTGATGGGAGTCAAGGCAGAGTTGTTTCAATGTGCTTGTGAATACTGCATGTTGCTAATTTAACATTTAGTGTAAGACAAAGATGACATTTCAGATTTTCTTGTGAATAATTGGCATACTTAATACTGAGTTTTAAAATCAGCAAATCCAATTATTTGAACACCTGTGTTTTTAATTCTGTGCTATTTTCCAAGAATGTACCATTTCTTTATATAGTTTCTGTAGATACTTTACATTTTGATTTATTGTGCACATTTCAAAATCACATAACATTTCTATTCTAAATTTAATTCTCTCTAAATAAATTCACTTATCGAAAGCAAATTCTACTTGAACCCTGCTAAAATGCTGTTTTTTACTTTTCTTTCATCTTTCATGCCAGTCACAAAAGACCACATATTGTATGATTTCATTTATATGAAATGTCCAGAATAGGCAAATCTGTAGAGACAGAAGATAGATTAGCTGTTGCTAGAAGCTGAGGGGTTTGAAGGTAAATGGGGAATGACTGCCAGTGGGTGCAAAGATTCTGTCTGGGGTAATGAAAAGTTGTAAAATTGGAGTGATGGTTGTACAAATCTGTGAATGTACTAAAAACCATTAGATTGTTTACCTTAAATAAGTAAATTGTATGATATGTGAATTATATCTCAAAAAAGCTATTAAAAAACAAGAAACAGGCTGGGCGCGATGGCTCACGCCTGTAATCCCAGCACTTTGGGAGGCCGAGGCAGGTGGATCACGAGGTCAGGAGATTGAGATCATCCTGGCTAACATGGTGAAACCCCATCTCTACTAAAAATACAAAAAATTAGCCGGGCGTGGTGGCAGGCGCCTGTAGTCCCAGCTACTTGGGAGGCTGAGGCAGGACAATGGCGTGAACCCAGGAGGTGAAGTTTGCAGTGAGCCGAGATTGCGCCACCAAACTCCAGCCTGGGCGACGGAGCGAGACTCCGTCTCAAAAAAAAAAAAAAAAAAAGAAACAAACAAACTACCTGATAACTTTGTCTTAATGTCTGAGTGATTTCTGAGGGCTAAGGAATTCTTTTGGCGTGATTTGAAAATAGGATTCAAATTCTAAGATACGGTTTCCTTATTTCTCCAAGAGAGGTAAAATTCTTTATTATCTATTTTGTGAAAGTTTATATTCAATGAGGTGTTAAAGTCATCTGTGCATAGTGTATTTTCTGTCACTATAGGGCCTAGTCAAATAGTGGGGCTTAAGAAAAAGAGAGCTAGGAGGTTTGCTTCCTCCTACTAAAGTCACCTCTTTTATTTTGACAAAACTCTTCACAGTTACACGATGGCTAAAACATTTTTCTCTACATTTGCTAGTACCTGTAGTAAAATGTAATTGCATTTCTTTCATTGTGTTTTGGTTTTCAGACATCCAGTAGCATCGTTTTTCCACTTATTCTTTCGAGTCAGTGCAATCATCGTCTGTCTTCTCTGTGAGTTGCTCAGCAGCAGCTTTATTACCTGTATGGTTACAATTATCTTGTTGTTGTCGTGTGACTTTTGGGCAGTGAAGGTAATTTTGATTGTTTTTATTTTAAAATTATATTTAATATGAAAATGATGTATAAAAATATGACAGCATTTTGCATTATTGTTAATCTTTTGTTACTTCAAACCTCATCTGTGTTGAAGTGCTAGATATATCAAATTGCATGTAGTTTTTTTTTTTTTTTTTCATTTTTTCCCTTTGACAATACAAGATGAGACATGTAGGTTACTGTGCTGCTGATTTTTCTGTGCCATATTCTAACCTACATCAGCTTTAAAGTCAAATAAACAAACAAATGTGACTAGCAACCATAGACCCTACAATGTTGCTTCTAATCCATACCATGGGTTTTGCTTCAGGCTTACCTGTAGGTGTGTTGTATATAATTTCTAGATAAGGCCCCAGTGTAGTTTGTCCACAAATACCTAAAAAATACCTACCTTTTGAAAAGGCTCCTATGGATGCTTTAAGGCAGTGTTTCTCAACCAGAGACAAGCTTGCCACCCACTGAATATTTGTCAGTGTCCAAAATTGTTTTTGGTTGTCATGACTGGAGGTGGGAGGAGTGTGCTATTGACATCTAGTGGCTAGAGGGCAGGTATGCTGCTAAATATCCTAACACACAGGACGGCCCCTCTGCAACAAAGAACTACCTGACCCAAAATGTCAGTTGTGCCAAGGTTGAGACACCCTGCTGTAGGGGATAGAAAGGAGTGTAAGAAATGGTTTCAAACTCAAGAACAATGATTAGAGAGATGGATGGATGGATAGATAGGTACATAATAAATAGATAAGTAAGCATAATAAAATATTAAATATGGACTCTAGATGATAGATATTTGGGTATTCACTGTAAAATTTAACTGTGTGTGTTCGAAAATATAGTAAAATAGTGGAGAAAAAAATCAAAGGCTGATTTTGGAGTTTCAGAGACATATACTGATTCAAAGACTAGTAAGATGTTACAACCCTATTCACATCCACCAATGTAGCCATTTTTAGATCTTTTAATTCTTTTTTTTTTGAGACGGAGTTTCACTTTTGTTGCCCAGGCTGGAGTGCAATGGCATGATCTTGGCTCACCGCAACCTCTGCCTCCTGGGTTCAGGTGATTCTCCTGCCTCAGACTCCCGAGTAGCTGGGATTACAGGCATGCACCACCACGCCTGGCTAATTTTTTTGTATTTTTAGTACAGACGGGGTTTCTCCATGTTGGTCAGGCTGGTCTCGAACTTCTGACGTCAAGTGATCTGCCCGCCTCAGCCTCCCAAAGTGCTGGGATTACAGGCGTGAGCCACTGCGCCTGGCCATCTTTTAATTCTTAAAGATATCTGAAGTGGTTGGCTTGGTGATGGCCAGTTTCCGTAGGCCGCATAATGCTGAGAAGGAAGATTTCAAAGGTCTGTTTTCTTTAGGTTTTTCTTTTGTCCAGTCTTCTTTGGCTTGCATTTCTTTGAATTTCTTCTGTTACTTTATGCTCCAAAGTATTTAGTACATACTGCTCACAGTTTTGATACACGTTTCTTTTTGTTGTTCATAAAATTTCTGTTTAGCCAAATAGAACATGCTTTCCAGTCAGTTCTTCCTGGTAATTTCCAAATTCTTAAAATTTTTCTGGGTTTAGAGTTTTAAAAAATGCGATCAAAATAGTTTATTTTCTGATAAGGTTTATTTGTTTGTTTATTTTTGTTTTTAAACAAGAGCTTAAAAAATGGCACCCTTTTATCCTTGGCAAAATTACTTATAGATAGCAAAACAATGGAGATATGAAGCAAAATTAAGAAGTCAAGAATAGGGAAATTATTAAGTGGACTTGGGATAAGCAGGGTTCTGAAACAGTTAAAATGGAGATGTGTCGTAATTGTTATAAATCTCAATGTACTTACTAAAAAAACAAAAAATCAATCTTCATCTAAACCCCTGGGTGTCCAATCTTTTGGTTTCCCTGGGCCACAGTGGAAGAAAGAATTATCTTGGGCCACACATAAAATACACTAACATTAGCTGATGAGCTTAAAAAAAAAATCGCACACAAAAAAATCTCATAATGTTTTAAGAAAGTTTACGAATTTCTCTTGGGCCGCATTCAAAGCTGTCCTGGGCAGCATGAGGCCTGTGGGCAGAGGGTTGGATAGGCTTGCCCTAGGTGATGTTAATGAAGATAAAGAAGAGGTAGAGAAGGGAAAATAATTTAAAGGTATGCTTAAATGCTAAAGCTTATATTGGTTTTTATTTTATTCTTCACTCTGACAAATTGAGTAAAAAAGGTTAAATAATGGCTTTAAAAATTTAATGGCAACTATGGCTGGGCGCGGTGGCTCATGCCTATAATCCCAGCACTTTGGGAGGCTGAGGCGGGTGGATCATGAGGTCAGGAGATCGAGACCATCCTGGCTAACATGGTGAAACCCCATCTCTGCTAAAAAAAAAAAAAAAAAAAAAATGAGCCGGGCATGGTGGCAGGCGCCTGTAGTCCCAGCTATTCAGGAGGCTGAGGCAGGAGGCGGAGCTTGGCAGTGAGCCGAGATCGCGCCACTGCACTCTAGCCTGGGCAACAGAGCAAGACTCCATCTCAAAAAAAAAAAACAATAATGGCAACTATTAGTAAAATTTAAAACCAGTCGTGTATCTTCTGCAACATTGGAGAAGATGGAGCAAGTAAAACAGTTCATAGAGCAAAAGAAGGAAAACAAAGCAACTGTCAAGGAAGCTTAAATCAGAGAGTACATGTATAAAGTGATGTAAGTAATAGCAAATTCATTATAATAGGAAATGTAATTTGATTAAACTACCCATTTAAAGACAAGAATACTAAGATTGGTCAGAAATCAAAGTCCAAACAAAAGATCTAACCAAATTAATGACATTAGAAAAAACAAAAGAAGGCAAAGATAACATCAGGCAAAAATAAAAGAAGGCAAAGATCAACTCAAACAAAAAGAAACTTGGCATTGTATTATTATCAGATGAGATATGGATCAGAGTAAGAAAGCACTAAGAGGAACAAAAAAAGGTGATTTTATGAATCACAGTGAAGATCATTCACAGAGTAAAATTATATCAAACTATGTATAGTAAAAAAATTGGAAATATTAGAAAATAGAAAAGCATTATGATGAGTTTAACAAACTACTATCTTAAACAAACCAAAGTGCCAAAAAATAAATAAGTTCTGAAGGATCTGAATGAAATAATTGGCAACATCAATTTGATAGCAGTATTTGGGACTTTGTATGACAGAGAGAATACTTTCTTGTTAAATGCCTGTGGAACATTTACAAAAATTGACTAAATATCACTGTGAAGAAAATCAAAATAAAATTGCCCAAAGCACCTACATTTTCTACTCCAAAGAAACAGAACTAGAAATTAATAGAAAGTAGTTGTTGAAATTGGAATTCTTTTAAAAAAGCGAACTACTACATATCTTGGGTTTAAAAGGAAGCAAAAACTGTAAATATAAGTTATTTATACCTTAATGGTGATCATTTACAGTTAAACTTTCTGAATATGTCAAAAACTGAATTCAGAGGGAAAATAATAGACTAAAGCCTTTTATTTTAGACAAGAAAGAGGGAAAATAATGGACTACTTGAGTCCAGAAATTTCAAAAACAAGCAATAAGTGTGAGAAATCAGGAAAATAAACTAATAAAGATAAAAGCAGGAAATAAAGAGTTAGAAAATGGAAACAGAAGAGTTTGAAAGTATTCTGAGAGCATTCTTTGAAAATACCTATAGAAGAGACCTCTGGTTTAGGTCTCCCTTGCCAGCTCTTTTTTTTTTTTACTTAGCATCTCTCCCATAGGAATTTTGGTCTCATAAGACTCTTCCTTTTCTTCTCCTGTATTCCCTTCCTAAGGAGTGCTGTCTGTGCTTCTGGTTTGAATTGCTGATCTGTAAGCTGTGTTGCCTCCCAGATCTGTATCTCCATTCAGGTTTGTCCTCACAACTTAAGGCCTCTCCATGTGTCTTCTTGACGTTTTTATGTGGCTGTCTTGAAGGCATCTCAAATCTTTTTTTTTTTTTTGAGACAAAATCTTGCTTTGTCACGCAAGCTGGAATGCAGTGGTGTGATCTTGGCTCACTGCAACCTCTGCCTCCCGGGGTTCAAGTGATTCTCCTGCCTCACCCTCCTAGATAGCTGAGACTACAGGCATGCACCACCATCCCTAGCGAATTTTTGTATTTTTAGTAGAGGCAGGGTTTCACTATGTTAGCCAGGCTGGTCTTGAACCCAAGTGAGCCACCATGCCTGGCCAGGCATCTTATATCTTAACATGTGTAAAATACTACTTGTCATCTTCCACTCCCCAAAAGCTCTTCTTCTTTGAGTGTTCCCTTTCGTGGGGCCTGGAATCACTATTTTTTTACTTGAGCAAACCGTAAATGTATCAGTTGCCTCCTTCCTACTCCATATCCAATTAATGACCAAGTCCCATAAATCCATAGATTGTACTTTCTTCATTAGGGCATCAGTGCCTGCTGCTCTATCTGGAATGCTCTTCTTCCTCCCACATCACCTTCATACAGGGATTCCTAATCTTTTTATGCCATGGGCCCCTTTCATAAACTCATGAATAAGTTTTCACATATATAAAATACATAAGATTTCAAAGGAAGTCACTTATATTGAAATATAATTTAAAAATATTAAAAAAGTAAATTTCTGATTGAGTTATATGTGTAGTAGTTCCCCCATTATCTGAGGTTTCGCTTTCTGCGGTTTCAGTACTGCTATATGCTACGCTAAACAGTAAGATACTGTGTGAGGAGAGAGAACTACATTCACATAACTTTTATTAGATTATGTTGTTATAATTGTTCTATTTTTATTTCTTATTCTCTTACTGTGCATTATTTATAAATTAAGCATTATCATAGGTATGTACTTATAGGAAAAAATATAGCATATATAAGGTTTGGTATTAACCACAATTTGAGGCATCTGCTGGGGGTCTTGGAATGTATCCCCTGCAGATAAGGGAGGACTACTATACTTTATGAATTTATTAATGGTAAGATCTAGTGGCAGGTCTAATAACTACTTTCAAAGCAGTGGTGAGCATAAACAATATGTTAAGATAACTGCAGCAAGTATAGTACAAAATGAAAAATGTCTGTGGTTTCTATTGTGTCAGGGTGTTTTTAATTTTACCTATGTTCATAGTTTGTTGTCTACATTCATAATTTAATGATATGCTAACTACTTTCAAAGCAGTGGTGAGCATAAATAGTATTTTGAGGCCGTGCGTGGTGGCTTACACCTGTAATCCCAGCACTTTGGGAGGCCAAGGCGGGTGAATCACTGAGGTTGGGAGTTCGAGACCAACCTGACCGACATGGAGAAACCCCATCTCTACTAAAAATACAAAATTAGCTGGGCATGATGGCGCATGCCTGTAATCCCTGCTACTTGGGAGGCTGAGGCAGGAGAATCGTTTGAACCCGGGAGGCAGAGGTTGTGGTGAGCTGAGATCGCCCCGTTGCATGCCAGCCTGGGCAACAAGAGCGAAACTCTGTCTCAAAAACAAAAAACAAAACCAAACAAAAAACAAAACTACAATATTTTGAGGTAACTGCAGCAAATATAGTACAAAATAAAAAAATGCCTGTGATTTCTATTGTGTCAGGGTGTTTTTAATTTTACCTACATTCATAGTTTGTTGTCTACATTCATAATTTAAAGATATGCTAAATTTTAGCCAGAGGTTAATGAAAATGAAGGTAACATTTTTTTTTACCCATCGAGGTTCACAGAACCACTGAATCTATTAGTGGACACCATTAATTAAACATCCATGGTACTGTTGATTCTTATTTATCTTTTATATTTCATTCCAAATGTTGACTCCTCAGAGAGTCATTTTCTGATACCCAGACTAGATCAAATTTCCCTGTTATACTCTTCAAGCATCCCACACTTTTCCCTTGCAGGACTTAACTCAGTTGGTAATGGTACATTTGTGCATTGGTTGTCTGCCTCTCTTCACCTCTTTCCCTGAGGAAGGAGTTGGTATCTGTTAGTCACTGTTGTATTACCAGCACATAGTAGATGCTCAGTAAATATTTGTTGAGTAAATAAAGATTAGGAAAGCTATCAAACTAATTTGTTACCTTAGTAAGTAGGAAAAGAGCTTGGTACACTTGAGAGACTGACTGAAGGCCAGTGTCTATAATCATTTTCAGGGATATGTAGTTGTAAAATATATGTAGCTATAGTCAGGATGTAAAGTAGGTCACAGTAACCAAATAGCAAGGGGTTTAGGGAAAATTAGGGAACTGGAGAAAGGGCAAATTGTTCATGAGGGAAAAGAGAAGGTGTAATGTTTATGGGTGGACTTGTTGCTTGCTCTGTCACCTCTACCCCTATTAGTCCTGCCATTACCATTTTACTTAATCGTTTAGCCAGGCCTGATACATAGTAGTCTTTGCTAACTGGATATTATGGAGGTAAAGCTGAAGGTTTTTGTTTGTGAAATGTTACACTAAGATAGGAGCTTGTGACAGATCTTTAAATAATGCTTTTAAAATGTGCCTGTTTATATTAATCTTCACCAGAATGTCACAGGTAGACTAATGGTTGGCCTACGTTGGTGGAATCACATTGATGAAGATGGAAAGAGCCATTGGGTGTTTGAATCTAGAAAGGTAAAGTGCCTTTTTTGTTTTAAATAATGTTATCAGCTAAATTATTTGTAGACTATATTTAAATACTGGAAGATGAAGTATTCAGAATTAAAAACACTATACCAAATCACTTGGCATGTCAGCACTAAAGGAGATGGCCTTCTAGAATTTAATGCATTTTTCTGTCTAGTTCAGACCAGAAACAAGCAATATACGAACAGAATCCTTTGAGGGAAGACACTGGGTCTGAGTTCATACAGTGTGCTAAGCTGCCTGTCAGGGATTGCTGATAAAAGATCTCTGTGTTGCCTTTGTTAGTGTCTCCATAAATCCCTCTATGCTCAGCAGATAACTGCTTTTAACATCTTGTTCTGTCTTTGCTCCTGTGGTCGTCTTTCATTTCTGGGCAGGAAAAAGGAGGAGGAGTGCAGCTGGATAGAATATCTGATTGGAGCACTCTATTCCTAAGCTTCTGCCTTCAGGAGCCCTGGGGATCCTGGTCTGTTTTGGGTTAGCCTGCTACACTATAGTGAATATTCACTTTCCTTGTGGAAATAAGTTTTGGAAGCAGAGGACCAAATTCTTGGCGACAGTACACCAAGGGTATTGACAAGTTATTTTAAGAAAGTGGCACTGTGTTCAATGAGCCTGTATTCCTTTATATTATGGAATCTACCTTGGAAACAACTTACCACCCTTGTAAATTCCTGGGTATTGCTAAGACATTTTGATTATTGTCCAGAATCCCTTGATTCCGTTTTTTTTTTCCCCTCTGGACCCTAATTTGACCTTTTAGTCTCCAGAATGATTATAACTGTGATTTCCTTGATCATTGGTCAGAAAGGTATCATTTAGAGCTTCCTTATGAATAAATAGTACAAGTGCAAGAAGAATTGAATAGAAGCCTATCAGAGACCACTCTTTACTGTCATGAGTTGTGGTAAACCATCCATCCTGCCCTGAAAATGCAAAATTCTTGAGTTAATATAGATCAGTTCCTAAAATTACGAGAGTGATAGTCATGTATTTTTGGGTTCTAACTTAGGAGTTGGGCTATGTGTATTAATATTTGAACTTGTGGGTAATATGTTTTTTATTAAATATGTTGAACTTTTTATTGATAAATTTCACAACATGATAATTGAATTTATGTTCTTTTATAGGAGTCCTCTCAAGAGAATAAAACTGTGTCAGAGGCTGAATCAAGAATCTTTTGGTTGGGACTTATTGCCTGTTCAGTACTGTGGGTGATATTTGCCTTTAGTGCACTCTTCTCCTTCACAGTAAAGTGGCTGGTGAGTATCAGTGTAGAACTTTCAAATAATCCATTAAGATGTCTGATGGTAATCATAGGAAGCAACAACTGCAACTGAGTCCTTATCATTAGGGACCTATCTTGAATAGGCAGCTTCATCATGTAATTCCCAAGTTTTGCTTCCCAACTTTACCTTTCTCTATAATACTGGAGAAGAGATCCTAAAAAACCCCTTCCCACCAGTTTTCTAGGATATTAGTGGTCTTTTCTGGAAATAATGGTTGGTAATCTGTTTTGGTTACCTATTGCTGCCTAACAAATCACCCCAAAACATAGTGGCTTAGAGCAACAACAGCCATTATCTCACAGTTTCTATGGGTCAGGATCTTGGGAAGGGCTCTGCTGGGAGATTCTGGCTTGGGGTCTTGAGTAGTTGTAGTCAGACAGTAGTTGGAATGATGGGGGTTGTGAGCCATCTCCTCTTCATGAGGTCCCATGGCCTCTCCACATGTTTTTCCATGTGCCTTGGTTTGGGCTTCCTCATGGCATGGTGGCCTCATGGTGGTGGGACTGCTTACGTGGCAGCCCAGTACTTCACTTGTGGGGTGTTCTAGCTCACAAGCTTTTACAATCTAGCCTAAGATGTCATAGCATTGCTTCTGCTGCCCACTCACATTCAAGGAAATGGGAATTAGGCTCTACTCTTGATAAGGAATAAGAAGGTGCTAGAAGACTTTGTGGAAGAGGAGATATTGTTGCTGCTGTCTTTGGAAAATATAGTTTGTCACTTGACCCAATTTGTGAGTCTTACTCTTTTTTATATCTCATATTGTTTTTTCTTATTCTATCTTATATCTGATATGAATAAATATTGTGTGAATTTTCACACAATATTTATTGATATCAGATATATTTTGGCCTTAATTATGTTTTTCCTCCTAATTTGTAGTATTTTCTTAGTCCTATTTTGTGATATAGATTCTTTTTTTCTTTGTGTGTGCTCATACATTCATACTTTCCTTCTTTGGATTTGGAAGCTTATTGGAAGCTTATTGTCTTTTTTCAGTTCTTCTGGTAGTTACCTTTAATTACTTTATATGTTATATCATTACCCTCTTTCATGAATTAGGAAATGTATTCAGTATTTATGGAGTTCCTGCTCTGGAAAATGGGAAACTTTACGCTAATATGGTTTCTTTAACTTCTCCCTCCTCCTACCTCTAGAGTTTTGCTTATTATAGTCTTATTTTAGTCCTTCTAGTGGTTTTCTTTGTAACATTAATTAATGTACTTAAACCTGTTTATTGACTTAATAGACTCTGTTTAGAAAGGGAAGAAAATAAACACTCATATTCCTTCCTATGAGTTTCCTCCTTTCTCTCTTGTTTGTTCCAATGTTATTTTTGTGTTACCAAGTTTTATAATAGTTATCTTTTGAAAACATATTTCTTACTGGTTGTTCAGTCTTTGATCTGTTTTTTAAAAAAGTCAATTCATTGCCTATCACCAGTCTTATTGCAGCTTCTCCTTTTACTTATTGGTTGGCTACATTTTCTTTTGACTCATGTTTAAACATATGAGCCTATTGACTATTCTTAAATGATGACCTGGCTGGATTAATATTCTTGGGTCACAGTTTGTTTCTTTTTGGAGGATGCTATTCCATCATTTTCTTTCACTGAATATCTTGGAGAAGTCTGAGGCCAGGCTTACTTAACCTTTGTAATCTCTCCTCATAAGGTGTTTTTTTTTTTAGTTCATGTAACCCAGATGTATTTGTATTTATCTTTCCATATCAAGTTTTCTGGAGTCTGTGCCTTTCTGACAGGCAGACTAAAGTTTTGCTTGGAATCAGGAAAATTTTTTCTGTTAAATCTTTGCATTTATTTATGTTCTATGGTTTGACCTTTTATTTTGAAGTACCAGTTACGTTTATGTTGGATCATTTTTATTTGTTTTCATCTACTATTTTCTTGTTGCTTTAATTATTCATCTTTTCCTTATTTATTCAGCAATTTTAAGAGTTCACTCTTATGTCAGAGCTGTCTGGGGACACAGGGGGACAAGTTAGGGGACAGTAAACAAGTTGACTGCTCCAGTAGAGCTTATGTTCTAGTGGAAGGTAGATAAACAGTAAAAAATACAGTAGGGGATGTTAGTTAATGATACAAAGTAATGGGGTAGAGAGTGCAGAGGAGAGAACAGTAACTATTTTAAGTGCTCAGCTAAGGCTTCTCTCTGTATTTCCTTAGCTTTGTCAGCTCCATTTTCATCTCCTGTTATCTCACCCTCATGCTTTTTGAGTTCTTTTCTTTAGGTTTTTCTGTAGGGTGAAATAGTCCCAGGAATGCTTTTATTTTGGTGGGTTTTTTTTCTTTTCGAGTAGATTCTTCACCTATCTTCTGTATACTATGCTTCTTTTTTCTTTTTTCGCTATAGTTTTGCATAAATGCACTTCCCTTTTTCCTTATCCATTTTGCTTATCCTTACAGTGACAGTCCTGTCCAGCCCTTCTCTTTCTGCTGGTTTAGTGCGGGTGAATCCCCCTTGACCACCTTCTCCTGATGTCTGAGGCACGTGGCTGCTGCTCTGAGCTGGAGTTGCAGTGCTGGGTTTGGTAGCCTGAAGGCACAGGTGTGATGTGCGATGTGGAGAACTTACCAGGCTCTTGCTGTCTTGGCTGGGCTGCCTGGTTTTGCGTTCTCTTCCTTAGTGGGGCTCTTGTCTGCTGGTTGGCTGTGCACTCTCTTCTGGTTCTTCCCTTCTGCTTTGGATTGTTTGTAAGACCTTAGAGCTTTAGCATCCATCCAAGAGAGTGAGCCCAGTCTTTTTCTAGCAGTGTTTCTACTTCCTTAAAACAAAACAGGGAGAGGTTATGTGAAAGCCAGTTTGATCCTGTGTTAACCTACTTATGCCTAGTGTTCCATTATTGGAACGCTAAGCATGTAGGAGTTATTTATATCCTACTGCTCAAGGTAATCACCAAGGTCTGATTTTTCACTCATGCAAAAATTCACAAAATTGCAGCCTACAGCATAAATGGGTTAAGACCTTGGCATGGTGGCTCATGCCTGTAATCCCAGCACTTTGGGAGGGCCAAGGCGGGCGGATCACGAGGTCAGGAGATCGAGACCATCCTGGCTAACACGGTGAAACCCTGTCTCTACTAAAAATAAAAAAATTAGCCGGGTGTGGTGGCAGGCACCTGTAGTCCCAGTTACTCGGGAGGCTGAGGCAGGAGAATGGAGTGAACCCAGGAGGCGGAGTTTGCAGTGAGCTGAGATCGTGCCACCGCACTCCAGCCTGAGTGACAGAGCGAGACTCCGTCTCAAAAAATAAATAAATAAAAATAAATAAATAAAAATAATAAAAATAAATGGGTTAAGACCACAGGACGGGAATGGGCTTCACCCAGTCTCTCCATGAGTCTCCCACCTCCTCACTTCTCTTAAGATGATCATCTCTCATGATTATTGATCCTTCTGCGCTTCGTCTCCTGCCTTCTTCCCACCCGGTGGCACCACTATGGCCAGCTGCAGGGATTTTCCTGCCTGTTTGGGTCATTGTTAGTTGGGAGGAGTTTCTGCTGTCATGGCTATTTCTGCATTTTTTTCTCGGGTCTTTTGCTTTTCTATAAGTTCCTGGGGATGGTAATTATTAGTGAAATTTTCCTTAGAGCTTCTTTGCAGAGTTTGGAGCTATGTAGAGCTGCTCCAACCTGGCTCTTTCTTTGGCCACCAGCCCTTTTTTGTGTTTGTTGGTATTAGTTTATTTGTGTTTTTAAAAACGCTGTTTGCTGTTTGTACCTTAAGGGCAGGGAGATCTTCATGTCTGACTTCACTGCACCATCTTAAACCAGAAGTTTAACTTACAGATTTTAACATTTGTTGCCATTGAGTAAATCGATGCCTTAGCAGGACCCGTGATTGGTCTTTGAATTCAGGTGTACCCTGGCATGTTGATATATACAATACCCAGCAGTGCCCCATTTGAGAAGCATGGGAAATTAAAAGGAAATTTATTCAAATAAATACACAGTTTTATATTTATTTAGGAAACTAGCACCCTCTTATTACACTAACACGTTTAATTCCATGAAACATAAGTTTAGAACAGAAAGTACCACCTCCTCTTCTTTTACTAGGAATGTGAACCTGTTCATTAATCAAACATTTAAATCTATTAATTAAACATTAAAATCAGCTATACATCTTGTTAAGGGTAAGGAGAATAAATCTAGATTGGAAAACGACATTTCATTGAGCTGCTTTGCTTGTCACAGATATAAAAGAGTAGAATGGTCGATGAGCTGTTTATTCCAGAACAAGGGTTGGCAAACTATGGCCTGCAGACCAAATCCAGCCCGACACCTGTTTTTGTAAGTTTTTATTGAAAAACAGCCTTGCCCACTTATATATTGTCTATGGCTGCCTTTGGATTAGAACAGCAGAGTTGAGTAATTGCAACAGAGACCGTATGGTCTGAAATATTTATGATTTGACCCTTTACAGGAGAACTTTGCTGATCACTGTATTAGAGTCTTTAACCTTGGGAATCCCTCACATTGTCTCAATTTTTCTAATTAAGATTAATTAGAAATTTTTAAAGAATGGGTTTTGAGTTTCTTTTTCTCACTTCTCATTGATCCTAGTGGGATCACCATAGGTGAGAAAATGAAACTCAAAGGAACAAACAGCTCTGCAAAAGTACAGTTCCCCTTGGAGCTGTCTCTCTCCTCGGGGAAGGCAGGCATCGGTTGATTTATGCCTTAGGGCATTGCATCCCCTCTACCAGAAGCCAGTTGTCACGTAGAGCAGAGATTCACCCCTACCTGCTCTCAGTTTATTGAACTTGATCTACCTCTTGACTGTTCTTTTGTAATTCCTATAGGAATAATTAACATTTGAACCTTTCCTGAGTCTCATTTACTTTTCCTAACTTTACTCACAGACCAATGGGAAACAGAGAGCAAGAAGGCTCCCCCTGCACTGCATCCCCAGCAGCTAGCATGGTGCCTGGCACATAGAGCAGTTGTGTCCAGTAAATATTTGCTGGGTGAATGACTCGTGCCTTGTGCAGAGCGTCTATCAGATGGGTCTGTTCTGGCAACTGTCTCTGGAAAATCTCAACTGGCACAATCATGGCTTTGCAGAGCTTCCTCTTCCTTCTCTTTCTCATGACAGTCTGCCTTGTCTCATTTATGGCACAGAGAAAGGTCAATTTCAGGCCAGTAACCGTTGATTATTTTTTTCCCTTGTCCCAGGCGGTGGTTATTATGGGTGTGGTGCTACAAGGTGCCAACCTGTATGGTTACATCAGGTGTAAGGTGCGCAGCAGAAAGCATTTAACCAGCATGGCTACTTCATATTTTGGAAAGCAGTTTTTAAGACAAGTAAGTGTTTTCTGGATGTGATCAGTGACTAATGCAATTATTTCTAACTTTCATAGTTTAATTTTTATGAAACGCTCCTGAACAGAAGTTTTAAAGGCATATAGTTGTATAAATATAATGATAAAGATGTTGTAATTGCTCTTTGGGGGTGTTCAAGACAGTCTGGAAGTGTATTGTCAGTATCCTAAAATTATTTTAAAGCCAGGAAGGATAAACTATCATTGATAATAACTTATTTTTTAAAAATTACTTTTAAGTTCAGTTGTTTTTCATCAATTATGGGAGCTTTAAGTGAATGCCCTTGCAGAATGTATGTTGTATGTTTTTATTTTTATTTTTTGAGACAGAGTTTTGCTCTGTCGCCCAGGCTGGAGTGCAGTGGTGCAATCTCGGCTCACTGCAACCTCTGCCCCCCGGGTTCATGTGATTCTCCTGCCTCAGCCTTATGAGTAGCTGGGATTACAGGCGCATGCCACCACGCCCAGCTAATTTTTTGTATTTTCAGTAGAGATGGGATTTCATCATGTTAGCCAGGATGGTCTCCATCTCATGACCTTGTGATCTGCCCACCTCAGCCTCCCAAAGTGCTGGGATTACAGGCGTGAGCCACCGTGCCCAGCCTGTATGTTGTATGGTTTTAGGGAGAACAGTTGAATCACAAGAAGACCATAACATTTGTACTCAGATGTTTTTTTCCCCCTAGAACATAAGGATTTTACTATAATACCTCAACATCAGGGTTTTCAGCAGGATGAGTAGTAGTCATAGGTAAATAATTATTGGTTAAATCTCTTGGGAAAAGTGACTAGGTCTTTTTTTTTTTTTTTCTTGAGATGGAGTCTTGCTCTGTCGCCCAGGCTGGAGTGCAGTGGCGTGATCTCGGCTTACTGCAAGCTCCGCCTCCCGGGTTCACGCCATTCTCCTGCATCAGCCTCCCGAGTAGCTGGGACTACAGGCGCCGCCACCACGCCTGGCTTTTTTGTATTTTTAGTAGAGACGGGGTTTCACCGTGTTAGCCAGGATGGTCTCGATCTCCTGACCTCGTGATCCGCCTGCCTCCGCCTCCCAAAGTGCTGGGATTACAGGCGTGAGCCACGGCGCCTGGCCGTGACTAGGTCTTTATATGAGTAATACCTTGCATTTGGTTAGTACAGTAGGTTGGGCAAGTGATATTATGTAGGACAGGGATTCTTAAACTCGAACATACATGAGAATCACCTAGAGGGCACAAGATTGCTGGGTTCCACCTCCAGACTCCTTATTCAGTAGATCTGGGGGTGGAGTCTCATAATTTGCATTTCTCCCAAGTTTCTGGGTGGTACTGAGGGCACTGGTCCAGGGATTACATTTTAGATAACTAAAGCCCCGAGAAATTAAATTATTTACTTAAGATTATACAGCTAATAGTGGTACAAAGCTAGATCTTAAACCCAGCCCTCTGTACTCAAAATTTATTGTTCTTTTTATTCTACTGTACAGTTTCTCTCACAGAAGATGAAAAGTAGAGAAAATGAATATTCATGTAGGGACATGATCATCTCATTCTGAAGGATTTTTGCATGGCTCCAATATACCTTTACTGTGGTCCACCTTAGGGTAACTTTCATGTATGTGCTTATTAGGTTTTTTTCGTTAGAATTTTCAGTGTTTCTGAAGGTGGGGAGGAACATGGAATACAGGTGAAATTAAACCTTAAACCTGGCATAACATGGATAGGGTTAGTGTCTTACATGGTATCCGGCGTCTGCTCAAATGAGACAAACTGGACAGCTGGGTGGATGATGGTATCCATGGATTTACTTCATTAGCGCATGTCTACTTTTTTATTTATTTATTTTTTTTGAGACAGAGTCTCACTCTGTTTGCCCAGGCTGGAGTGCAGTGGCGCGATCTCGGCTCACTGCAAACTCCACCTCCCGGGTTCATACTATTCTTCTGCCTCAGCCTCCCGAGTAGCTGGGATTGCAGGCGCCCGCCACCACGCCTGGCTAATTTTTTGTATTTTTAGTAGAGACGGGGTTTCACTGTGTTAGCCAGGAGGGTCTCGATCTCCTGACCTCATGATCCACCCTCCTCGGCCTCCCAAAGTGCTGGGATTACAGGTGTAAGCCACGGCGCCCAGCCTAGCATGTCTACTTTTTAATGTGATTGGGCCATTGTATGTAAGGTAATGCTCTGCTTAGAAATATAGAATGTTTTCCTAGGCCTAGGCCCCAAGTCCATGGTGTGTGAAGTGAAATAACTTTGATGTTAAGGAGTTCTTTTTTTGTCTTTTGCGGAACACTGGAGATGATCAGACTTCCTGAATAGAGAAAGCTTATGTGCTTTGTTACATTGGGGAACAACTGAAGAGATTCTTGACTCAACCTTTTAGAGCTTAGTCCATGTTGCAACGAGGAGTGTTGGCTTTGTTTTTCCACTTAAAAACTTTATTTATAAAAAGGAAAAGTAGTTTTCATATTAAGTTTTTATTTCCTTTCCAGCAGTTGGGGCTAGAAAGTATATGTTGGCACTAGAAACATTGTTAAGATTTGTTCTGTGGTGTAGGTATGCACATTCCATAGGTATGCACACGGCCATGTAATACCTGTATATCCCAAGTTAATGAAAGTGTTCATTTACACAGATAATGGAGACCTTTGCATTTTGATCCATAGAACATAGGAGGATGTTCTTAGTCTGTCTCAAAGCTCTATATGTTTACATATTATTTCTGTAGATTGTTTTCAGGAGAAAGTTTTGCTTCTATGGTAAGAGTGAGCACTTTGGCTTATGTATAAGTTAGAAATAATTGTTAGTTTTTAATATGTACTTCATGGGGAAATTTCTTAGACGTATGCAAGCAAGTGAAAACAATTAGGGCCAGTGGTATTAACTACTTTATAAAATTTTATTTTTGTTTGTAAGAAGTTATCTACTTAAGGCCCAGTTAATATAAGTGGAATCATCATAGTTTAAGGAATACCCAGAGATTGCTGCTATTCTATTTATTTTACAGAAAGGATAGCTAGATTGAAAGTTCTTCAGTGGACCTTGAGCTAATAGATCTTTTACCACTAAAAGAGCATTATTCTCATGTCATAATGAGAATAATAATTTACATACTTGGCATAATAAATGCCTAAAAGACATTTTATTTTCTGAATCTATTTTTTTCTTGCTATAATGGGGATATTGTAAATTATGCATTTGTATTAATGGTATTTCTTAAAGCAATCTATGTAACTGTAAATTAAACCAATCTACAAACTATTGTAGGCATCTGTAAATTCTGTTGTAGGTATTATAAACTTTGTTGAAGTCTTAATCAGCAGATTATGTTGTGAATATATTTGTACATTGTTAAAATAGTTTTTAAGATTATTTGTTTAATTGAATAAGTGTCTTATTGGAGTGATAGCTTTGAAGGTGCAAAACTTTATATTTGTATAAAATTCTACTATTTACAAGGCATTTGACATGTGTAATCTCATGTAACCCTCATGATAAATATGTAATACTTTAGATGATATAACTGAACTTCAGGTTAATGAGTGACTTTCCCAAGGAAAACAGATTGCAGGAATATCTGTAGGATATAAAACATGATATATTAGTATTTTTTAGAGAAAATATTTGCTCTAAATGCCCTTTCCTTTCTTAAAAATTAATAATTTGTTAAGAGCTTGTTTATTTTACTTAGCTGTTCTGTCTGGTGAGAATTGATACTGCACTAAAGACATTTTAAAATACAATCTGAAAGATCTAACCTAAATCTTTAGGGTTGAGAGTCTAACAAAGGATACATTGGTGTAGTTCTTTAGGTAACTGTGTTATTTGAACTGCATCCTAAACCAAGTAACAATGAATTTTAGAATATGCATGTGGTAGGAGCTACCCTGTATTCCCTAATATTCGTTTTTCTCCTTCTACAGATTTCCCACCTAATTAGCTAGGGAATGGCATCCTGGAATAAAGATAAAACTTTTCCTAGATTTTATTGCTGTATCTTGGTGTGGCCACACCACCAAGTTTGGGCCAATGGATACACTTCCAGGAAGTATCCTTAAAAGGAGGAGGCACGCCCATCCCTTCCCCCTTTTTCCTGAAAGGTAGACACAATAGCAGAAACTAGAGCAGCCATCTTGGACTATGTGATAAAGGCTTCGTTTTGTGAATGGCAGAGAAATGAGGTAGATACTGTCTGAATCCCATCTTGTGGGTATAGTAGCCCTGAACTACTTGTCTGAATTTTTTTTTTTGAAACAGAGTTTTTGCTCTTGTCACCCAGGCTGGAGTGCAGTGGTGTGATCTCGGATCATTGCAACCTCTGCCCTCTGGGTTCAAGTGATTCTCCTGCCTCAGCCTCCCTAGTAGCTGGGATTACCAGCCTGCCACTACACCTGGCTAATTTTTGTATTTTTAGTAGAGACGGGATTTCACCACAATGGCCAGGCTAGTCTCGAATTCCTGACCTTAGGTGATCCGCCCGCCTCAGCCTCCCAAAGTACTGAGATTACAGGCGTGAGCCATCGTATCTGGCGACCTGTTTGAACTTTTAATAAAAGTGAAGGGAGGAACTACCTTCTTCAAGTGTTAATGTTCTGGCTTCTCTGTTGCTCATAGCCTAACTGGATTCTTGTCGATACAGTGCACTTTGAGCATTATCCATGATTATTTCCATTTGAACTAACTTTCCATATTGTACTAACAACTCCAGTTGTTAGTACAGTATTAGAGATGTAATAATTTAGTAAATACATAGTTGTCCTTTATGTAGTAATTAAGTGAATATTGTAGTTGCTGCCGAGTTGCACTGTTCAGATGCTGTTGCTACGTAAAATTCCACTCCTAGAATTACTGGTGAAAAGTCATTTTATTATGCTCACAAATTGTGTGGGACAGGAATTTGGATGGAGCACAGTGATGGCTGGGGAAGGAGCCAGGGAGTGGCAGGGAGCTTTTCAGCTACTGGCCTGGAGGTTGACATTGGCTGTCAGCTGTGGCCTCAGCTAGGCTCTCGGTTGGAACACCTACACTGTGTAGTTTCTCCCTGTGGGCACATTTGACTTCTTCACAACCTGGCACTGGGTTCTAACAATGAGCCTTCCAAGAGAGCAAGAGAAGTGCATGGCATTTTAATGATTAGTCTTGGAATTCACATGATGTGTCTTCTGTCATACTTCATTGGATGAAGCAGTAACCAAGGTCCATCCAGCTTCTATAGAAGGGTACATAGAGCCCAGTACTTGATGAGAGGAGTGTTAAGATTACATTATAATAAGAAGTATGTGGGATGGGAGATAGTCTTTAGAAAATAAAATCTGTGACACTTTAATCATTTCATTAAGACTGAAGAAATTAGGAGAGACTGAGGATAAGTGGTTTTCCATTTTTTTTCCCTGGGTCAGCCTTGGATACAAGTGAATTGACTGAATGGTGCTAGTAAAATGGAAGTAAAATCACATTTTTGTTTTTTTATTTTGACATGGAGTTTCTCTCTTGTTGCCCAGGCTGGAGTGCAGTGCCATAATCTTGGCTCACTGCAACCTCCACCTCTCGGGTTCAAGTGATTCTCCTGCCTCAGTCTCCCAAGTAGCTGAGACTACAGGTGCCCACCACCACGCCCGGCTAATTTTGTATTTTTAGTAGATACAGGGTTTCTCTATGTTGGTCAGGCTAGTCTTGAACTCCCGACCTCAGGTGATCTGCCTGTCTTGGCCTCCCAAAGTGCTGGGATTACAGGTGTGAGCCACCACGCCTGGCCCTAGTAAAATCACATTCTAATTCTACATCCCCCAGAGTATGTATTCTTTGACCCAGACCTCTAAATAGGTAAGGGTGTGTGTGTGTGTGTGTGTGTGTGTGTGTGTGTAGAAGTGATGGCACATTAACTCCAACATATAGGTACTATGGGCCTTTTAAATCTATATAACTCTTAGAGCTTATTAAAGTTCCTTTATGTATTATCTCATGTGATTCTCCCCAAGAGGGAAGAATGACCATTATGTACCATGTAACCTCATGTTACAGGTAGGTAACTAATACTGAGAGAAGTAAAATAATTTATTGAAGGTTGCATGTAGTAGAGATAGTAATGCTCACTAAACGTTCCATTTGTTCTACATTTCTCAGCTTCCTTAATTAATTTGAGGCCATGTGGTTAACAATGGCCAATGAAATGTGAGTGAAAGTGAATAGAGATGCTAGGTGCCTGAAGAGCATAGGACAGTTTTAGACAACAAAGAATTGTCCTGTATCTCATGACTTCTTTGAACCTCGCTGAATAATTATGTACATAGAAATCCTGTTTATAATGAGAAAGGAAGAGCAACCCCTACAGCTGTCAGCTGGAAGCTGATTTAGCCCTAATGGCTAGGCTATTATATTCTGTTGAATATAAACAATGTTATATAACAACAACATCTGACAAGGCCACTCTGAGTGTGGTGGAGGAAGACAAAAATTAAGACACTCCATAGGCATGTTGGAACTTAGCAAGATTCTGTGTAAATCATAGAGCGACCAAACATTCTTGTCTCTTGGCTTACATGTGTGATATTTGCTCCATTACCCATTAGATCACTCTGTTCCTTCTTCCTCCTAGATTAAAAATTTCAATGTTTACACTCATTTAGAATTTCCCTTGCTTTCTGAAAGCACTTAATCCAGAGTAAAACCATGATTCATGGAGCCCTTCTTGAAATCACCCAACACAACCCCAAATCCTTTAAAAAGCCCTTCCCAGCACCCTCATACTGAGGCACCCCATGGTTCCCCATGGTGTGTGATCTCTCTTGTGTAAAAGTGTGTTGATAAACCCAACTCGATTCAACCGCAGATCTGTTCCTCATGATCTCTGACGGGTGGACGTTGACAATAATTTTTTGAGCTTAGATTATAACTCCATTTTATATTTTTGTTGTAGATCTGCAGTACTTGATTTGCTAAAAAATGCAATTACCAGTTAAGTGAGGGAAGGTTGTAGTCTTTGTTCAGTACGTAACCAAGAGTTTTCTATCATTTTAAAAACTATCACTAGTGGCAACATTGCTCATGGCATTTGAGTTCCAGGTCAAAACTACTGCAGTAGTCTGCATTTGTAGTGGGTACATTAATGGTAATTATATGTACATATGCAAGCATCTAATGATTGTGTCATCAGGAGTTTTGGCCATCTCCAGATTGAATTACACATTACCGTAAGTTGCTTCCTTTTATTTCTCTGTTACATTACAGTTAGATATTAAAGATACCTTTAATCATGATAGATGATTTAAAAATATGCCTCACGTAAGTTATATTGTTTGTGTTTTAGAATAATAAAACATGTTTAAAAATATTTCTGATAAAAAGTGGCTGTGGGCCTGAAGGGGCGAAAACCATTAGTCTACAGTCATTGATGAACAGTCTGTCCCTTAGGCCCTCTTAGTTGGAGCTGGAGAGTGTATAGATACGAACTTGAACTCTGGTGTTCTAATATTCTGTGTTGCTTACTGAAGGTAGATGCCATGTGCTTTGGAAACCAGCATGGACATTCTATGAAATTTGAGAAGAGAAGCAGTTTTCTCATTTAGATGGTCTATCATGGTTGGTAATGTCTAGTGTTCTAAGTGAATGTAGTAGATGCTGCTTATATTAATTTAAGAGAAATCCTATAGATGCTGCTTATATTAATTTAAGAGAAATCCTATATATCCCATTAAAAAAATCATAGAGAAACATTTCCAGAATGGTGGAGTATGGATCTTTGAATATCTGATTCTGCATAAAATCAGTGAGGACACTGGCAGGAATGATCAAAATAAACTTTTTTAAACTCTGGAAATTAACCAAACGATTGCAACAACCCAAAGAAAATGTATTTGAGAAAAAAGCTGACTTTCCGTGATCAATAAGGTTTGTGGTGTTTTAACTTGTCCTGTCCCCATTTTCTTCTCAGCTCCACAGTAGCCTTGAAAATCAGCAACCTTGAGACCACAGTAGCTGTGACAACCAGTAGCCTAGAAACCACTGAAGGAATTTAGAGTCCCCCCAAGATAGGTTTGGAGTTATCCAAGACGCCCCATCCCCAGAGATTTGTCACTCCTTGACCTGTCTGGCAGCTCCCTGGAATAGTCCCAATCACAGGGCTTGTCTTCATTTAACCCAACTCAGGTCACTCAATGAGGAAACTATCCTCAGGTTGTTTGTTATAAACAATTGGTGGCAATAATTTAAATAGCACAGTTGCCTGACATGGCTATACTAGTTGGGACAAATGAGACTGGCCAGAAAACTTAAAAAAAGGGGAGTGTGATGTCTACAGAGGCTTTGAAAAGTGCCAAAATATTCTTGGGAGCTAGAAAGTCAGGTAAAGGTGAGAGACTTATGCTTCAACCACTTAAGGAAATCCCTGTCTAATCATATGCTCAAGACTAAAGTAACCAAGCAGAGATTTTGGTGACTGCAACATGACAAAGAACACAGACTAAACAGAATTAGTCGAGGAAAGGTACTAGACATACCACCATTGCAATAAAAATAACAAATAGTAACAAACTCTACAAAGATGGGTGTGGGACAAATCTGATTTGCAGAGTTGCCACCTTATATTATTTAAATTTTCCAGTTTTCAACAACAACAAAAGATGTGAAGAAACAGCAATTACAGCCGCCTATATATGGGGGAAAAAACTTAGAAAACAGAAACCATCCCTGAGAAAACCCAGACATTAGATCTATTAAACAAAAAGTTTGTCAACCTTTAAATATGCTTTAAAAACTAAAGTAAACCGTGGACAAAGAACAGGAGAAAGGAAAATAATGTATAAACAAAGTGAAAGTATCAGTAAATAGAAAACATGAAAAATTCTGGAGCTGAAAAATTTCTTAGAGGGGTTTACAGATTTAAACAGGCAGAAGAATCAGCAAATTTGAAAATAGGACAAATGTAATTATCCAGTCCGAGGAACAGAAAGAAAAAAGAATGAAGAGTGAACAGAGCTTGAGGGATCTGTGGCATTTTATCAAGTTACCAACATACGCATTAAAGGAGTTCCAGAAAATGAAAAGAAAAAGGCAGAAATAATATTTGAGGAAATAATGGCTGAGACTTCCCAAATTCAATGAAATACATGAGCTACACATTCAAGAAGATCAACAAATTATAACTAGGATAAACTCAGAGATCTATTACTAAACACATTACAATCAAGCTGTCAAAAGCCAGAGACAAAGACAGTCGTTAAAGCAGCAGGAGAAAAACAACTTATCACATACAAGGGATCCTGTGTAAGATTAAATGCCTACCACTCATCAGAAACTACAGAGGTCAGAAGGCTGTAGAATGACATATTCAAAGTGCTAAAAGAAAAAAACTTAACAGAGAATTTTAGATCCAGCAAAACTATCCTTCAAAACTATAAGAAAGGATGAGCATGGTGGCTCACACCTGTAATCCCAGTACTTTAGGAGGCTGAGGCAGGAGGATTGCCTGAGCCCAGGAATTTGAGACCAGCCTGGGCAACATGGCAAAAAGCCATCTCTACAAAAAATACAACAAACAGCTGGGTGTGGTGGCATGTGCCTGTGGTCCCAGCTACTCAGGAGGCTGAGGCAGGAGGATCACTTGAGTCTGGCAGGTTGAGGCCTTGATTGTGTCACTGCACTCCTACTTGGGTGACACAGTGAGACACCCTCAAAAAAAAAAAAAAGTGGAAATTAAAACATACCCAGATAAAAACTAAGAGAATTCACTGCTAGCAGACCTGCCTTAAAAGAAATGCTAAAAGACATCCTTCAGACTGAAATGAAAGGACACTAGACAATAACTCCAATCCACATGAGGAAATAAAAAACATCATTAAAGGTAACTACATAGGTAAATATGAAATATAGTATAAATGTATTTTTGTTTGTAATTCTTTTCCTGTCTGACCTAAAAGACAACTACATAAAGCAGTACTTATGAAATAATGTTGATAGGGTTATAACTTATAAAAGATGCAATTTGTATGATGATAATAGCACAAAGGAGGAGGAAGGGAATAGAGCTATACCAAAGTTTTTGAGTATTATTGAAATTAGGTTGGCATTAATCTGAACCTACTTTATGTTAAGATATTAATCATAGTCCCTAGGGCAACCTCTAGGAAAAAAAACTCAAAAAATACAATAAGAGGAACAAGAAGGAAATCAAAATGATATACTAGAAAATACCTATTTAATACAAAAGGCAGTAGTGGAGAAATTAAATCAAAAGACATAAGATGCATAAAAGGAAAAGAGCAGATATCCCACAAGTGACTCCCACCTTATCAGTAATTATATTAGAAGAAAACCAGTTAAATAATTCAGTCAAAAGACAGATTTGCGGCTGGGCACAGTGGCTCACGCCTGTAATCCCAGCACTTTGGGAGGTCTAGGTGAGCGGATCACTTGAGGTCAGGAGTTCAAGACCAGCCTGGCCAACATGGTGAAACCCCATCTCTGCTAAAAATGCAAAAATTAGCTGGGTGTGGTGGTGGGCACCTGTAATCCCAACTACTCTGGAGGCTGAGGGATGAGAATCACTTGAACCCAGGAGGCGGAGGTTGCAGTGAGCTGAGATCACACCACTGGACTCCAGCGTGGGTGACAGCGAGACTCCATCCAAAAAAAACCCAAAAAACAAAAAACAGATTGGCAAAAAACATGATCCAACTATATGTTGTCTACAAGAGGCACACTTTAGATTCAAAGACACAGGTAGAAAGTGAAAGTATAGAAACAGATATACCATGCAAGCAGCAATCAAAAGATAGCTGGAGTGACTATGCTAATGTCAAACAGTAGATTTTAAGGCAAAAACTGTTTCAAGGGACAAAGAAGGACATCACACATTGGTAAAAGGACCAATTCATCAGAAAAACATAACACTTAAAAACAAATATGCACTTAAAAAATCCCACAACATGAAACAAAAGCTGACAAAACTCTCCATATTGAATAATTATTAACAATTAAGTTACTTTTTTTTTTTGAGACAGAGTCTCACTCTATCACCCAGGCTGGAGTGCAGTGGCGCTGACTCGGCTCACTGCGACCCCCAGCTCCCAGGTTCAAGCAATTCTCCTGCCTCAGCCTCCCGATTAGCTGGGATTACAGGCCTGCACCACCATGCCAGGCTAATTTTTGTATTTTTAGTAGAGATAGGATTTCACCATGTTGGCCAGGCTGGTCTCAAACTCCTGACCTCAAGTGATCTGCCTCCCTTGGCTTCCCAAAGTGCTGGGATTACAGGCGTGAGCCTCTGAGCCTGGCATAACAATTTACTCTTAATAATTATTAATAACTAAATGAGATAATCCACATAAAAGAGTAAGCATAGTCCCAGGTACACGGTAAGCACTTGATAATGATAACTCTTATTTAGAAAGAAAAACTGAGTTGCTTTGCTAGTTAAAGGTAAAGAAGTCAGAAAATCTAACAATAGTGGCTGGAGACATCAACACTTCATTTATAATAATGCATAGAAGTAGGCAGATGATTAACTAGGAAAAAGAGGATTCAAAAGCACTATAAACAAACTAAATCTGCCAGGCACGGTGGCTGATTTCTGTAATCCCAGCACTTTGGGAGGCTGAGGCGGGCAGGTCACTTGAGGTCAGGAGTTCGAGACCAGCCTGGCCAACATGGAGAAACCCCGTCTCTGCTAAAAATACAAAAATTAGCTGGGTGTGGCGGCGCATGCCTGTAATCCCAGCTACTTGGGAGGCTGAGGCAGGATGAACTCGGGAGGTGGAAGCTTCGGTGAGCCAAGATCACGCCACGGCACTCCAGCCTGGGTGACAAATGAGACTCCATCTCAAACAAACAAAAAAACCCAACAGACATCTGTAGAGACTCTGTCCAACAACAGCAGAATACACATTCTACTCAAATGAACATGGAACATTCTCCACGATAGACTATATGTTAGGCCATAAAACAGGCTTCAATAAATTTAAAATAATCGAAGTCATACAAAGTATAATCTTTGGTCAAAATGGAATTAAATTAGAAATGAACAACACAAGGGAATTTGGGAAATTCACAAAGATGTGAAAATTAAACAACATACTGCTAAATAACCAGTGGGTCAAAGAAGAAATCACAAGGGAAATTAGAAAATACTTTGAGATTAATGAAAATGAAAACACAACATACCAACACTTATGGGATGCATATATAACAGTGTTTATAGAGAAATCCGTAACAGTAAACACTTATTTTTTTTAAACAAGAGATCTCAAATCAAGTCTCACCTTTCATCTTAAGAAACTAGAAGATGACCCTAGTAAATCAAAGTAAGCAGAAGGAAGGAAATAATAGATTAGAAAGGAAAGAAAAAACATAAAGACTTGAAAAACAGTAGAGAAAACAACAAAACTAGAAGTTGGTTCTTTGAAAGGATTAGCAAAATTGACAAACCTGGAATCAGATTGAAAGAAAAGATACCACTAATGTTTACTGAAAAAGCAATCCTTACTGAATGCTTTTGTAAAGCGATTGGTTATCCCAATAGAATATACATCACTTTACACCTATTTTTTGTGTGAACATTCTGTTATGTAAGCATTCGAGCATTGTTTTTTCTCCAAAAAGTGCTTTCCACGAATTGTTTCATCCTCGTGACATTCTTAGAATGCAGAAGCTGTTGTATTTAGTAAACTGTAATCATTAAGAACTTGTATTTGATTCAGGCAGATCTGAGTTGTGGATCCAGTTCAATATCCTTTTTTAGATTTTGAGAAAGTCACTTATCCCATTTTTACAGATGAAGCAGCAGGCTGAGAGTCATAAGCACAAGTAAATACTTACCCTCTTGAGGTGGAAGGAGCTTGTGAGGATTAAATGAGATAACTCATGTAAAATGTTCAGTATAGTCCCAAGCCCACAGTAAGCACTCGATAATGGTAACTTGCTCAGATGGAAAACCGAATTGCTAAGCTAAAGTTGCAGCAGTCAGGAGAGCTAACCCCTAGTTAAGTGGCTCCTCTTTTAATTTAGATTCTCATCTAGTATATGGCATGGATAATCCAAATGCAGCAAAACAGTCAATTATAGGAAAGAATGCTGATTTCATTTTATTTTTTATTTTGTTTAGAACAAGTTAAAGATGATAGAAGTAAAACTTTAAACAAAATAAATGTAACAGAGCAAAGAATGATTCATGGGAATTGGGCTTTGCTCTGAAACATGGGCAGTGAGTATTTACAGGCAGAAAAAGGCTGAAGAATGCAGAAACAAAGAACACAAAGTGGATTGGTTTTTTCAAAGTTACTTTCCTTGTGAAGGTTAAAGTAGGGGGACTTCCTTATCAGGCAGGCTAAAACTGGCTGTTCGGAGATGTGGCTATTATCTCCCTCTCGCTCCTGATTTCTTGGAAGGTCAGATAACAATGTAGTTTTGGCTTGGTGGCCTGGAACTTTACCGTGAGTAACTCCATTTTGGTTTGGTCTACTGGGGCCTAGTGCAGGAACTTACTTCAAACCAATGACCTCCTATAAATTTTATTTAACAGAGATCATAAGTTTATGAGCCGGTAACTTACTATAGCATTCATTTCTAATTTATAGTTAAAACACATCCTGTTATTTATTTTTTTCACATAATTGTTGAAATCCAACACAGCTACGAATGAGTCTTAATGTTTTTTAAACATTTCTTCTAGGATGTTGCCTTTCTCCCCAAGCCCCAGTTCTCTCTTGCTTGTAGCTTGCACTTGGTCCTCTAGATGGCAATATACTAACATATGATGTAAATGAAACCAACGCATACTGGAGCAGCCAATTTACTTGGTTTAGTAAGAAATGATGGTTTTCCTACAAGTGGTGAGTTAGGACTAAATCCATGCATCTTATTGTGAAATTAGTCAAAATCAGTGCCAGGGAATGAATAGATGCTGAATAAATAAGTACAATATAATACCCACAATGTACCAGAGATCAAGCAAGACAGGTACTGTAGACACAGTCAGACATAAGAAGAACTATGAGTGCTATGTGTCTGGCTTCCTGATCTCGGCAAACCCTGCCATTTAACAAGTGAGGAAACTGAGGATTGGGGGATCAGTAGCTTTCCTGGGGTCATATAACTAGAGAGAGGTGAAGCCAGGACTTGTCAATGGTGAGGCTTCGATGATGAGCTTGAATTTAAGATATGTCAGATTTGAAGCCAATGGAGCATATCAAATTAGCAAAGTGCAGTGGAAACCTGGAACTCAACCTCAGGATTAGGCCAAAGGTATACATTTAAGAGGCATCTCTGTAGAGCAGAGTTGAAGCTGTAACAATGTAGGAGTGGTCTACAGCAACTGTGTCTGTTAAAGAGCTGATAACTGAAGTGTAATTCCCAAAGACCAAGGTGATATGGCAGCGGGTAAAGGGCATACGCAGTGCAGACAAACATGAGTTTAAATCCTGGCTTCATACTTACTTGCTGTGTTGGTCATGGGCATTTAACTTCTTAAATATCATGAGATACTTAATCTCTTTGACTCTTTGCAATGACCGTGTGAGGGAGATACTACCACCATTTTACAGATGAGGAAACTGAGGGTTAGAGAATGTAGGAGTTGACCCAAGGTCATGGTGCATCTAGTACATGATGGATCCAAGGTTCCTATCTGGACAGTCTGCCTTAGGCTTACAGTGCTAAGCACCACATGCAGTTTCCCCAATCATACACCTTAGGACACCACCTTTGTATGTGGGTCTCGTGCCAGAGATGAACGTGGGCGCATGCACACGCGTGCATGCACACACACATGCACACACACACACACGGAGAGAGATTTATTTCAAGGAGTTGGCTTACACAGTTGTGGGAACTGACAAATCCAAATTCTGTAGGGCAGGCCAGCAGGCTGGAACTCTCAAGCAGGAGCTGATGTTGCAATCTTGAGGTCAACTTTCTACTTCCTCAGGAAAATCTTAGTTTTGTTCATAAGGCCTTTAACTGACTGGCTGAGACATTCCCACACAGTAAAAGAGCAATCTGTTTTACTCAGTGTTAACAGATTGTAGATGTTAGCCACATCTATAAAATAGCTTCAAAGCAAACAACACCTACATTAGTGTTTGATTAAATAACTCAGTACTAGCCAAGTTGACACAAAAAATTAACCATCACACGCTTCCAGCTGTCTGTAAACGCTATGACAGCAGGAAGCCTATCTTTGTCATTCGCCTTCCCATTGTCAGTGCATGACCCAGTGCCGGGCACCTAATGGCACTCAATAAACATTTATTGGGCATGTGCCCGCCTTTTAACAGTGTAGGTGAAAGCCATTGTATACATGCTGTTTTCAACTGCTGACCTGTGCTAGGTACAGATTTCCAGTGTGTTCAACTCACACATTACTTTCTCTGGGGCTCCCTGGATGGAGCAGTGGAAGGACTGATCTCAAAGCAGGAGACAGAGACACCTCATTCCTGGAGATCTGGCTTGGCCAACTGGGTAGTTTTCCTTTTCAGAAGATGAAGCAACTGATGGTCATTGCCAGAAGCCAGGAGGAGGGCTGCCACTGCCAAGAGCCGAGTGGTGGTCCTGGTAGGACACTGCTCATGCACTGTGTCTGTTCTTAGGTTTCAGCTGGCATCTGTTTCCAGCTCTTGGTGCTATTTGCAACCTTGTATCTTAGGATGAAGGCATAAAGGTTTTCAAGCAGCAAAACCTTCCAGGGTTAGATAAGAGTGTTTCACTGTGGATCTGTGAGCACCTATAGCCACTGTGTGCATCCCTCTGGGACCCCAGCAGCTGCTTCTGAGAAAACAGAGGGATGGAGAAGAGGACACCACCCAGATGGTGGAAACATCTATCAAAAGTTAGGATGTCCTCTGGAAAGCCTCTTTGGGTGTCTGATTTCATATCTCCTTCCTCATCAGAGAATGGCGTCGCCTCCTATTTGATGAGAATTTAAACACATCTAGAACATGTGCTTATCTTTTTCCTATCTCCTGTCTCTGGGATCACATCATACTGCCTCCAAGAATCCTGTCCTTAACCCCCTTCCTTAGAATTTACAGCATAGCCTGGAAACAACCAAGCATTCATCTTTATTCTAAAGTACCTAGAACAGAGCTGGATCTGTGACAGATGCTCAATGGCTGTTTAATCAAACAGGAAAAACTCATATTTGGAGTAGGGAGTAGGGGGAGGCAAAATGGTACTCTCAATGAATTATAATATTTTAAAATTTGTCAATAGAGAATATAATACAAACCAGAGAAGCATAAAGGAAGGTCATGCTAATTTTCATGAGGTAGTTTCTAACTCCAGGAACAAAATGGTGAAAGGGCATTCTAAGTCAAAGGAATTTATCATGTAAAGACGGGAGTAACACACACACACACACACACACACACACACACACACACACACACACCCCACTCTGCTACAACCACAACAAACACTTTGTTGTTCTTCAAATGCACCAAGCTCTCTTCAGCAGTGTTTTGTAGTGCGTATAGGACATCTTTGAAATATTCTGGATATTTAACCTTTGTCTTCTTGGCATGTTAAAAATATCTTCTGGCGGCTGGGCGCGGTGGCTCACGCCTGTAATCCCAGCACTTTGGGAGGCCGAGGCGGGCAGATCACGAGGTCAGGAGATCGAGACCATCCTGGCTAACACGGTGAATCCCCGTCTCTACTAAAAATACAAAAAATTAGCCGGGCATGGTGGCGGGCGCCTGTAGTCCCAGCTACTTGGGAGACTGAGGCAGGAGAATGGCGTGAACCTGGGAGGCGGAGCTGGCAGTGAGCCGAGATTGCACCACTGCACTCTAGCCTGGGTGACAGAGTGAGACTGTCTCAAAAAAAGAAAAAAAAAAAATCTTCCAGCCAGGTGCAGTGCTCATGCCTGTAATCTCAGCACTTTGGGAGGCCAAAGGGGGTGGATCACCTGAGGTCAAGAGTTCAAGACTAGCCTGGCCAACATGGTGAAACCCGTCTCTACAAAAATACAAAAATTAGCTGGGCATGGTGGCGGGTGCCTGTAATCCCAGCTACTTGGGAGGCTGAGGCGGGAGAATCGCTTGAACCTGGGAGGCAGAGGTTGCAGTGAGCTGAGATCGTGCCACTGCACTCCAGCCTGGCAACAGAGCGAGACTCTGTCTCAAAAAGAAAAAAAAAAGAAAAAAAAGGCCTGGCGGGGTGGCTCATGCCTGTAATCCTAGAACTTTGGGAGGCCGAGGTGGGTGGACTGCCTGAGCTCAGGCATTCGAGACCAGTCTGGGCAACACAGTGAAACCCCATCTCTATTAAAATACAAAAAATTAGCCGGGCGGCATGCACCTGTAGTCCTAGCTACTCGGGAGGCCGAGGCAGGAGAATCACTTGAACCCGGGAGGCAGAAGTTGCAGTGAGCCGAGATCGCACCACTGCACTCCAGCCTGGGCGACAGAGCGAGACTACGTCTCCAAAAAAAAAAAAAATTCTGCTCTATAACTTCACTTTTAACATTGTTTAGGGAGTTTTTTGTTTGTTTGGTTTGTTCTTTTTAGAGGGAATCTCGCTCTGGTGGTGCACAGGTGTGCACCACCATGCCTGGCTAATTTGTGTATATTTGTAGAGATGGGGTTTCACCATGTTGGTCAGGCTGGTCTGGAACTCCTGACCTCAGGTGATCTGCCCACCTTGGCCTCCCATTGTGCTGGGATTACAGGTGTGAGCCACAGTGCTTGGCCAGGAGTGTTTTGACTTATATAAGTTTTTTTAAAAATGTAGCCAAACTTACCAACTTTTATGACTTCTCTTTTCAATATTCATTGAAAACACTATCAATGTAATAATGATATGCTGCATTTTCTTTTAAAGTTATAAAATGCTGCTTTTCATATTTATCTTTTAAAATTATCTAGAATTTATCTTGGCATATAGACTGAAGTAGGGATCTCATTTTATCTTTCCCCATGTAGACAGCCAGTTGTATCAGCACCCTGTATTGAATAATCCAGATTTTCCTCACTGATTTGTGATGCCATTCTGTCAAATACCAAGTTCCTGGTGTGAATAGGTCTATTTTTTCCTTATTTATTTATAGGGGTACTTTGTGTTTTCTGAATGCTAATTCTTTGCCACTGATATATATTGTGAATGTCTTATCTCACTTTGAATTTCTTATGAATAGCAGCTCAATTAAAATTATCAGTCTTTTATAGTTTCTGTTTTATGTTTCATATTTGTGAATTTCCTTTTTACTCTAAGAACATAAAGATTTTCTCCTATATAGTCTCTTAAATGTTTCATAAGTTATGTCTTTAAGCCTCCTCAAATTGATTTTTTTGGTATGGTGTGAGGTAGAATCTGTAGTAATTTGTATTATTTGCTCACAATTCTTTCTTTCCTTCCTGCCTGTGCCATGATTCATTTTGAGCAGAATATACTCCACTTCCCCACTGTCTTTTAGCTTAACCACGTGACTTGTTTTGGTGATTAGAATGTGAGCAGATATAATGTATGTCCCACCCAATAAGAAACTTTAAATGTGTGGTTTGATTTACTCTCGTGTATTCCTTACCTGCAACATGAGAAGTGCATGCCCCGGGTGGCCACACTCCTTCAGCTTGGGTCAGAGAATGAGAGACATGTGGAGTAGACCTGATCTGACCTCTGTGTGACTTATAGACCTCTGTGTGACAAATATATGTTTGTCGTTATATCTTACTGAGATTTGGAAGTTGTTTGCTGCACAGCAAAATTGCAGCAACATGGCTAACACAGAATCACATTTCTTTTTATTTCCCATGTGGCTAACCAATTACTGAAATATCTGTCCTTTTCACATTAATCTCCAATGCCAACTCCATCATAAACTAAGTTTCTCTATATACGTGGTTCTCTTTCATGCCTCTCTTTTCAGTTACATTTCTCTATTTGAATATCCCTATACCAATACCCACTAACTTAATTAGTAGAGATTATAATAATTTTGTTTTTTTTTTGAGACGGAGTCTCGCTCTGTTGCCCAGGCTGGAGTGCAGTGGCGTAATCTCAGCTCACTGCAAGCTCCGCCTCCTGGGCTCACGACATTCTCCTGCCTCAGCCTCCCAGGTAGCTGGAACTGCAGGCGCCCACCACCACGCCTGGCCAATTTTTTTGTATATTTAGTAGAGATGGGGTTTTGCCATGTTAGCAGGATGGTCTTGATCTCCTGACCTTGTGATCTGCCTGCCTCAACCTCCCAAACTGCTGGGATTACAGGTGTGAGCCACCGCACCTGGCCAGATTATAATAATTTTATAATCAACTTGTTAAGTACCAAAAAAGCTCTGCCAGAATTTTGATCATAACTCCATTGAAACCGTGTATCAAGTGGGGGGAATTCTCATCTTTGTAATATTGAATCTTCTGATCCATGAACATTGTATGTCTCTTAAGTCCTTGATTTCTTTAAGTAAAGTTTTTATAATTTTCTCTATAGAGGTCTTTTCTATTTGTGGTTAGCTTTATTTTTGGGTACTTTACATTTTCTGTTGCTATCATTAGTAGTATTTTATGCCATCACATTTTTTTAAAGGTTCATTTTAAATGTATATACTTTAGGATTTTTGTGTAGATATTTTGGGATTTTTATCTAGACAAACATGCAAACTGCAAATGATGACAGATTTTTTTTCCTTCATTTCCAATCTTCATGTTTTTTTATGCGTTACTGCGTTCACTAGGAACTCCAGTATAATTTTGTAAGGACATGGTGGTATCAAGCACCCTTGCTTGCCCCCAGTGTTAAGGGGAACATTTATAATATCACAGTTAATGGTAAAATGTTGAAAGCTTTGTTTGAACATGTGTGGATGTCCACTTTCAGCCATAATGTGATAACAAGAACCAGACTTATCCTCCCACTGTGAGTAACTAGAAAGTGGACAAGATACATAAAATAACTTATTTCAGGAAGTACATGTTTGTGATCCCTGGGAAAATGGACATAAGTGAAAAGAACCCTATAATTGCCTTGGCTTTCTACCTGGAGGCAATTTCTGACAATAGGATAAGGGAGGAGGAATCTAAATAGAGCCTAAAATCCTCTCTGAGTTGAGAAGATGAAAGATGACCCAAAAAAGGGAACCCAGAGGACGTTAGGTGATCTGAAACCATGTCATCTGGAAAATAGTTAGAAGTCCTGGGCTGTTTAACTGGCAGTAGGGAAGACTGAGGGGCAATATGAAAACTGTCTTTAGAGATTAGAAAAACTGTCATGTTGAGCAGGGGTTGTTTGTGTTCTGTATGGCCCTGAAAGACAGAGTTTAGGACAGCTGGATGGAAATGAGAGAAAGAGGATTTTGGTGAAATCCAAGGAAACACTTTCTAGCAATCATGGTTGATCAGGCTGGAGTGGGCAGCCTTCCTCAGCTGGAGGATGAAGGCACTGAGCAAGCATGCTGGGTTGTTGCTGAAGGAGCTTCTGTAGTGGCAAGTGACCAAGCTAAATGGCATCCAGGGTCCCTTTTACTCTTAAAGTTTTTCATAGTTTGGTTTGCATAGCTTGGCCTCCATAAAAGGCAGCTGTTAACCAAATGACAGTACTTTTTGTTTGTTTGTTTGAGACGGAGTCTCGCTCTGTTGCCCCAGCTGGAGTGCAGTGGCGCGATCTCGGCTCACTGCAAGCTCCGCCTCCCGGGTTCATGCCATTCTCCTGCCTCAGCCTCCCAAGTAGCTGGGACTACAGGTGCCTGCCACCACGCCCAGCTAATTTTTTAGTAGATACAGGGCTTCACCATATTAGCCAGGATGGTCTGGATGTTCTGACCTCATGATCCACCCACCTCGGCCTCCCAAAGTGCTGGGATTACAGGTGTGAGCCACCGCGCCTGGCCACCAACTGACAGTACTTTTAAGGCATGTTGAGAAAAATGAGTCCTTGAAGACCCCAACCTTTAAAAAACTGAGTAGACAGGGTTTTAAAAGAGAATTTTCCCCATGCTTAACACGCAATTTGTGTGTGTGTGTGTGTGTGTGTGTGTATATTTATTTGAGATGGGGTCTTACTCTGTCACCTGGGCTGGAATGCAGTGGCATGATCATGGGTCACTGCAGCCTCGAACTCCTGGGCTCAAATGATCCTCCTGCCTCACCCTTCCAAAGCTCTGGGATTACAGTCAGCAGCCACCATGCTTGGCTTGTATTTATATTTTTGTTTGGCTTCTCACCTCTGTGTGTCTTTTCTTGAAGGCAGGGACCATGTCATATACATGTTTTCATGTTCTAGTATGGTAGTATGTGGATACCAGGTGCTTCTTCAATACCTAAGTGAATGAAAGATGTATTAGTCTGTTTTCACACTGCTATAAAAAACCACCTGAGACTGGGTAATTTATAAAAAGAAGCGGTGTAGTGGACAGTTCTGCATGGCTGGGGAGGCCTCAGGAAACTTATAGTCATGGTGGTAGGTGAAGGGAAAGCAAGGCACATTTAACATGATGGCAGGAGAGCGAGAGAGAGTGGGGAACTGCGACACACCTTTCAACCATCAAATCTTGTGAGAACTCACTCACTATCACAAGACCAGTATGGGGAAACCACTCCCATGATGCAGTCACCCGCACCAGGTCCCCCCTCGACACGTGGGGATTACAATTTAAGATGAGATTTGAGTGAGGTCACAGAGCCAAACCATATCACAAGGTGACTTGGCCTGAGGAAGGGTTGGAAAACCTTCATCTAGTGTTCTCCTCTCCCTCTTGTATTCTGGGCAGACATCACTAGTCAACCATGAAACTCTTCTCTACTGAGCCCAGTGGAGCTCTTCTCTACTGAGCCCAGTCTTAGCCATGGAATTCTTTGGAAAACACAGATTCTAGACAATCACTTTTAATTAATTACAGTTAGCACAGACACTGTCTGTTTGTCATCCCAGAACTAAAGGAATGCTTAGGATTCTCTAAGGCACAGTGACAACCTGTCCTAGTCACAGTCTACTTTGCTGACCAGCTGCTGAGAGCCCAGCTGTCATCTGCTTTCCAGATGTAGGAGTTACATAGGTATTGCTGGCATGCTGATGGTTCAGCTGAGTGCCAAGGGGGACATTTTGGGCCCCTGAATGCTAGGGACGCCTTCTGGATGATGCACATGAAAAGCTTTTTAGCTTGGATGTGCCGTTGATACAGTACGTAGCATTGCAACCATATAGGGTAGAGTTTGGGACACAATCACATCTCTGAACCCCCTTATATTTGGGTAGATCTTGATGCTGTATTGGCTTCACCTCCTGACTCTTAGTGCCTATTGGGTTCTCTGTGACAGGCTGTGAACATTCTTTTTTTTTTTTTTTTTTTTTTGAGATGGAGTCTTGATCTGTCACCTAGGCTGCAGTGCAGTGATGTGATCTCGGCTGACTGCAACCTCTGCCTCTTGGGTTCAAGTGATTCTCCTGCTTCAGCCTCCCAAGTAGCTGGGACTACAGGCGCGTGCCACCACGCCCAGCTAATTGTTTTTGTATTTTTAGTAGAGACAGGGTTTCACAGTGTTAGCTAGGATGGCCTCGATCTCCTGACCTCATGATCCTCCCGCCTTGGCCTCCCAAAATACTGGGATTACAGGTGTGAGCCACCGCATCTGGCTGAGGCTGGGAACATTCTTGAGTGAGAATTCTCTTATGGTGCAGTGGGAAGAGAATGGGCATGAGACTCAGCCCTTCTGAGCTCACCTTCTGTTTCTGCCGCCTGCCAGCTGTGTAGTCATCTGGATGTTACTTACCTTTATCGGATGTGGCTTCCTCCTGTTTAGGGTGGGATGGCAACATCCACCTCAAACCATTGTTTGGAGGTTTAATGAGACAACCTAGGTAATGTGTCAAGCAAGTGATGGATATAAACAATTCCCAGCACCCATATAGGTCGACTGTGCACCATGTGCTACTCCAAGCCCTCTACATATATTAACTCATTTAATGCTCATAACAACTTGATGAGGTGGATGATAAAAGTATCACCCTTATTGGATAAGATGAGGAAACTGAGGCATGGAGTAGCTAATTCTACTCAGGGAGGGTCAGACAGCTAATACTTGGTAAAGACAAGATGCAGATCATAGAAGTCTGTGCTCTTAACTACTGTGCACCTGTTAGAGATCAGTACCCATTTCTCTGCCTAACTATTGATGCGTATTTATTGACCACCTGCCCCCTGAAAGAAACTGTGTTAGATGCTGGGAGGATACACATATTAGTAAGGTACATTTAGGACTGAATGAACAGGGCTATGAAATTGAGTGGGACATAGTCCCAAGCCACAGAAAGCTTATTATCAGTTGGGGGGTGACAGGGAGGCGGAAAGGGTAGACAGCCAAGTAGTCCACAAAAAGGCATGTCCCATGGAAATGACTGGTGTGCATTATCCTGCCAGGAATCTCTGTGGGTAAATTATTAAATAGACACTCTCTTTTATAAAGCAGCCTCTTTTGGGTTGGCTCAGCAAGAGAACTGACTGATGGGGGGCTTGCTCACCACTTGAATAGATATGATTGAGTTTCTGAGCTTGCACACCTAGGGTGAGATGCCATGCCTGTGCTTTTCCCAGACAGCACACACTGTGGGATGCCCTGCTGAAGTAGGGCAGACAAGCAGGATCTTCTAGTCTCTTGTAGCCAAGGCCTCTCTCCTGAAGTTTATGCCCAGGTCTGTGATACACCTGCTGGATGTTCATACTTGGGATGTGTGGCCATCACCTCAAACACAGTCTTTCTGGAATCAAACCTACCATAATATTGCTAACTCTTAAGGGATGAATTGTCCACCCCCACCCCCAAATTCATATGTTGAAGTCCTAACCCCACATTACTTTTCAAGGTGACTGTATTTGGAGACAGGACCTTTAAAGACATGATTAAGATAAAATGAGGTCATATGGGTAGGCCTTAATTCAGTCTGACTGGTGTTCCATAAGAAGAGGATATTAGGACACAGACACACAGAGGAAGGACCGTGTGAAGACGAAGGGGGAAGATGCCGTCCACAAGCCAAGGAGAGAGGCCTTAGAGGAAACCAGCCCTGCTGACACCTTGATCTTGGGCTTCCAGTCTCCAGAACTGTGAGTAACACATTTCTGTTGTTTAATCCACCCAGTCTAAGGAACTTTGTTATGACAGCCTGAGCTGACTAATGTACTAACCATCTCTTCCTGCTCCCCGTTACATCCGTTACCAAGTCCCTTAGATTTCCTTCACAACCAACCCCTGTATTTCTTCTCCATTCTTGCTGTCGCCTCCTGGCTGTGCACTGCGGCAGGTGGCCTTTGGCCTCGCTGTGTGTATTAGTCTGTTCTCTCATTGCTCTAAAGACATACCTGAGACTGGGTAATTTACAAAGAAAAGAGGTTTAATTGGCTCATAGTTCTGCAGGCTGTACAGGAAGCATGAGAACATCTGCTTCTGGGGAGGCCTCAGGGAGCTTTTACTCATGGCAGAAGGCAAAGGGGGAGCACGCGTCTTACCTGGCAGGAGAAGGACAGAGAGAGTGGGTGGAGGCCACACACTTTTAAAATAACCAGATCTTATGGTAACTCCATCAGGAGAACAGCACTAGGGGTGGTGCTAACCGTTCATGAGAAGCCACCCCCATGATCCAATCACCTGACACCAGGCCCCACCTCCAGCATTAGGGATTACATTTCAACATGAGACAGGCAGGGACACAGATCCAAACTCCATCACTGTGCCCATCATTCATTCATCTTGCTCGGGTCTGCAATCCACCCAGAAGACATTTGGAGACCCTAGGGCAAGGGAAGCGCGTGGTGAAAGCTGGGATTTAGGATCATTAGGGTCTCCATTCCTTGGCTGTGGTGTTCAGAGACTTGTCCTCTATCACCTGGCCTTCCTGGGTTCTGATTCTCCACTAATAAAAACAATTTATAACGATACCCGTATTTGCACTCTCCTCTGAATCCAAAGTACTTTTTCAGCATGAAAATCGTATCTCGTGTAGTTCATTTTTCATTGCTCACGTCTCAGGCTCCCAACTGGGCCTGTATGTTTCCCGAGTGGAGGCAGGATTCCCCTCTGAGGGGTTAATTCCCCAACAGCGCCTGGCCCGGTGCCTGGTTCACATGGGTGCTTGTCTTAGGTCAGGTCCTCAGGAGCAGACGCTTACATGAGGATTCCTACACAAATGATTTATTTCTGGTTCCATGAGAGTAAAGTTGAGTTGGGGGAGCATCAGGTAGGAGGGTGTAATTTTAGGTTAAGTTCCAGGGGGTTCCAGGCTGAGTTCTGGATTGCACAGGGAGACTCTGGAGTGTACGTTATACCTTTGCACGTTTTTCCTTTGTCCCTGGGACTCAGGGAGCAGGGCTTTCTTGCTCTCACATCTGTCAGTCATCGACTCAGGGCCATGCCCACTGTGGGTATGGGCACCCTAGCCACCTCCGGCTTGTGTATTCTGGCAGCTGTGTTTCCGGTACCCCAAAGACAATCCTGAAAAAAGGAGTTGCACTTCTGGGCTGTTGGAAACCTAAAGCACACTGAAGCTCGGGAAAGATGCCCCTAACCTGTAAAAGGGATCCGCGGGGATCTGGGTGGCACACTCATGGTGTTTGCCACAGCCATGTGCACTTCCCTGTTGTCTCATCCTCCAGAGAAGGGGCTCAGGTTGGATCCCATTGCTCAGTTTCACACCTGTGTTGTCCTCTGTGGCTTTTTGTTTCATGTGTATTTCCTGTAAGTAGCCCTTGTAACAGGAGAGGTCTCAAGTGCTGAGTAGAGTGAACCCTTTTTGACATGGCAAGATTTTGTATTATTTTATGTGTTTAATCTTTGACCCCAATCGTTTACATTGTAGAACTCTCTCCGTTTTACCAGTTTTGCCATAAATTGCCTACATTATACTCTGCCACACTGATGTCAGCTTGCCTATTTCCCTGACCTTTGGAATTTTGTGCTCCTTATTTCCATTTTTTTCCTTTCTTTCATGCTGTTTGTTTTCTGTCACATACAGTTTAGCCTTTTTGTCATTCTTAAAAGTAATAAATAAATGCCAGAGCATGCACACGCTTCTTTAACCAAGTAAATAAATCAGAAAGCTATATAGGTCTTACAAACATTTTAACATGCAGTACTAAGTTGAAAAGAGGTAATGTGTTTAATGTTACAACAGAAATCCTAAGATTCATTTTTAAAGATTGAGTGTCTGTTTAGAAACATTTCCTGTTCTTTTGAAGTGTCCCTACTTACTTGTCGTTTGATTTGTTTAAGCCACACAGGCTATGGTATTTTGTTATGTCCCAGCTGAGGCAGGACAGTTGAAAAGGCTGCTCCAACTCGAAAGAAGATTCTTAGCTTTAAAAAGTATGTTTGCTGCCGGATTGATGGGCCATATTCACCTTGAAAGTCCAGCCTCTGCTCCTAAGCAAGTAGCCCAGAGTAAATAGCTGCACCCCATGAACGGTGATAAGAACGTTCTCTTGGAAGCGTGCGGAGGATGCTTCTCAATGCTGTGGTTTTCTGGTTAGTGACAGGCCCTGGGTCTCTGGGCCTCCCTCACCGTCCGCCCCTGCATTCAGAGCATGCTTGAGAAAATCATGGAAAGCACTTTCTACATCCAGCTTCTTCTGCCCTATGCTGAGATTCAGACAGTGGCTTTACTTCACTGCCTTTTCTATGTTTCTGTGTTATTTTAATGTGAATTAGGGAAAGGTTGCATGGAGCCGGTGGGGTGGTGATAGTTAGGGACTCAGGTATCCATTTTACTGGATGTTTCAGACTGTTTACAGATCTGCTGCTCATGTCTTGCTGGGGAAAGCCAGGCAATGCCAAGAGCTAAGCATTTGGTGGATACTAACCTCCTGGTTGAAAAGAACCCTTTGTCCTGCTGTTTGATGCTGTGAAAGAGAATCCTCAAACTGTCAGAAAGAAAAGAGAAAGCATTTTACCTCTTTGCTTTTTAGATGGCTTGAGAGATTTAAAGTTATAAATCTTGGTCCCTTGCTATCGACGCTAGGACTGGACAGCCCTTCAAACATGACGTTCAATCCCCCATCTCAGGCTGGAGCTTCCTCTATACTTATCAATTCCAGTTGTGAAAATCTAAATAAAGAAAACGGATAACTGTTTTAAAGAAGAAATACTCAATTGTTTTCACATAGAAAGTTTTTTAAAGCCTAGTTTAAAATTCAGTCCACTTTCAGGATATTTTTAGTCTCTTGAGAATGTTCCAGATTGCTGACTCAGTAAGCCCAGGCTCTTAAAAATGCATGTTTTTAAACTCCACAATGTGACATTGTCTAAGCTCCTTGCCATTTGAGTCTGACCGTATATTCTGAAGTCTGCCTTGGCTTCCTAAGGACTGTTCCTGGCCTTCTGGAGCCCCCAATACTCCCCCACTCAAATCTGATGATGGGGCAAGTTCCTCGCATAGTACAAAGAGAAGGGGCCCAGGAGTGGCATGCAAAAGAACAGAAAGTTACTGTGTTTATGGCCGTTAGAACCAAAAGTGCTTCTGAGAGAATGAAATCTAGCATCCTAGCTTTCTAGAAGAAGAAATTAAAGCCCAGGGAGGAGAGGGGATTTGCCTAAGGTCCTACATAGCCCATATGTGAAATGTCCTCAGCCTTCCCAAGCAGGGGGACTCCATGGGGATGGATGGGTCATCTCCCTTTTGATTTGACATAGTCCTTAATCAGCCATCTTTCTTTGGTCCAATTAGGTTTGGTCATGGTAGTAGGATTGACTTGCTTGAAATACAATGGCTGCTTTAGGAGTTGGTAACTTAATATTTCCTGATCTGAACTATATATCTGTAATAAAGATGTATCAATGATCTTCTATCGGCTATTTAAAATTTACATATATATATATGATGTTCGTGAAGCCAGCAATATGCAAAGCAGAGAGCATGGCTTCTAGTAGTTTGGGGATTGTGGCAACAGAGATTGCTTTCCACTTGGGGACTGGATTTCACCAGATGGGACAACAGACTCTCCTTTCTTATGAACCTTCGAACATTGCAGGGATTGTTTGAGTGTTGTCATAGTTACTGGTATTGGTGAATTCCCCCTGTAGACTTGTCCCCTTTGTGTCTTCTTATGGAAGGTCCTTTTGGGATCCCAGGGTGATATGGAGAGAGTTAGAGCCTGGTCTTGCCAGAAGGACTTTAGATCTCATGATTTCTTGCTCACGAGATAAAGCCTGGATTAAAGAAGAAAACTCTGGTAAAGATTTTACAAATGAAACCTGTCATCCTGGCTTACAGTGTCTTTCCCAGTCTCTTCCTAACCCCATCCACTTCAACATCAGAGCAACCCACATCCCAAGAAAGACAGAAGAGGAGGCCTCTGTGGTTTGTCTTTCTTGGTCCTTCCAATAACCATGTAAATCAGTGGTTCTCAAGTGTGGTCCCAGGACAAGCAGCCTTCACCATTCCCTGGGAGTTATTAAAAGTACAAATCATGCTGCCCCACTCAGATCTACTGAATCAGCAACTGTGGAGATGAGACCCAGCAGCCTGTGTTTCAACAAGTTGTCCAGGTGATTTTTGAGAAGAGCTGTTCTAAATACCCACTAATTAAACCATAATTTCCAATTCCTTGAATCTTCCTGGCACTTCTATAATTAATTTCTCTGCAAGTAAACATTAGAACTATCAGATTACTTAATTTTACATATTAGATATCAAAAATAGTATGAAACTATCATGAGATCATATCACATTAGATATTGAAAGTATCCAGTATTTTTCCAGAGTCACGAAACACAATTGAAAGGAAAAAATATATAACAGTGGTATTCTTGAGCCATTGAGTGGGGACAAGGGAAGCCCATTCCATAAACTTGGGGACATTCTGATTGAAGGAAGGATAAGGACTGGAACAATTCTTGGATTAGAACAAAAAAAACTGGGAAAATGGAACCAATTAAGAAATCATCTCTTTCAGTTTCTTAACCATGCAGAAACCTAAAATTGTAGGGCTCCCAGAAACTCTACTAGTACTTTAAATTTCTTAATGATTCAAATTCTTTAGGACCTAAAACCAGTTGTTTGGATTCCTAGAAACGGCAGTAACTTTTAGGATGCTGCTGTATTAATGAATTACAATTAAGGCTTCCAGTGGGGCAAAATTGATGCCTTTAAGATCAGGGACTCTGTCTTTATTATGGTGACACATGGGAGTGAAATAGAGCCCTTGTTCTTGATGGCACTGAGCACTTTCACTTCTGTAATGTCATTGTTTGCTCATAATAACCTCTCACATTTGTCTGGCTCTGTGGTTTTTAAAGCTCTTTGAATTTGGTCTTGTATTTTATTTTCATAAAACCTCTCTACTGTAGACCGGGTACCTGTGATTAACATTTATGATCCTGTTTCCCTAGCTATGAAATGCAGGAAGGGGCTTGTCTAAGGTCCCATGACCTGTGGGTGGCTGCCTCTTCCATTATCTTTTTTTTTTTTTTTTTTTTTTTGAGACGAAGTCTGGCCCTGTCACCCAGGCTGGAGTGCAATGGTGCAATCTCAGCTTACTGCAACCTCTGCCTCCCGGGTTCAAACGATTCTCCTGCCTCAGCCTCCTGAGTAGCTGGTATTACAGGCACCTGCCACCACGCCTAACTAATTTTTGTATTTTTAGTAGAGATGGAGTTTCACCATATTGGCCAGGCTGGTCTCGAACTCTTGACCTCATGATCTGCCCTCGGCCTCCCAACGTGCTGGGATTACAGGCATGAGCCACTGCACCTGGCCCCATTATCTTTTTAAAAATAAAAAGGGCCAGTGATAACTGCTTTTCTGTTTGTTTAAGAAAATATATGAATATGTATAAAAGCACTGACATGTTGCTAGAACTTGGTAAATGGTAGTTATTATTATCCTATTGTCTCATTTAATATGGGTAATCATAGAGGAATTAGTGGCTTTTTGGTGACATACAGGCCATTGCAGAGTTGGAACTATGACTAAGGTAACTGGGCTCTTAGCCAGCTGTTTTCACCAGCCGTTTATAAGCATTCCCTTTTCTCCCCAGACTGGCCAACGTCTGGTATTTTTTGACTTAATAGTAGCCATTCTGACTGGTGTGAGATGGTATCTCATAGGTTTTGACTTGCATCTCTCTGATAATTAGTGATGGTGAACATTTTCTCATGTTTATTGGCCGCTTGTACGTCTTGTGTTGATAAGTGTCTGTTCGTGTCCTTTGCCCACTTTTTATGTGGTTGTTTGCTTATTTCTTGTTGATTTGTTTGTTAGCTCAAGTCTTAGTCCCTCGGGTCTCACCATCATCTTCCTCCAGCCCAGCTCTCTTCTCTACTTCCTCCTCTGGAACTCCTCACTAGAACCCCGAAAAAAGCAAACAGAAACATTTCCTGAATGCTTGCTGCAAATCAAACACAATTCTAGACATGGGCGATGCAGAGACACAGGCCAGCTGGCCACCACATGTCATTCATTCTAAGTAGCACTTTTGCTGTTTTTTTAAAAAAGTCAACGTCTCCGAAATCAGGGTATGTCTTACCACTCATAGCCCATTGGCAGGTTCTTTTCTTTTTTAGAGGTACTTGAAACAATGATTCATTTTACAACCATGGCATCTTAGGTTTGTTGAAATATAATAGTTTCTCCCTTCAAGGAACTTACAGTCTGCCTTCAGGGTGAGGCAAGAGCACAGTAAGAGCCAAGTGAGAGCATGCCATGTGAGCCAGGGAAGGAGCACTTCCTTCTAACCTGGAGCATCAGAGGGGTCTCCCTGATAGGGGAGGATCTGAACTAGAGCTTGAAGGATGAGTGGATTTTTCTGTATTTTTCCCTTGCTCTGTCGCTCAGGCTGGAGTGCAGTGGCACAATCATGGCTCACTGCAACCTCCATCTCTTAGGCTCAAGCGATTCTCTCACCTTGGCCTCCCAAATTGCTGGAACTACAGGTGTGAACCACTGTGCCCAGCCAGATGAATGGAATGTTAATAGGCAGAGGAAGGATGGAAGGGCATTTTACTGTCAGGGATCTGTATAAGCAAAGACCAAGAAACTCGCAAAGGTGCAGCTGGTAGGAACCACCACTTGGAAAGAAGGTGCGGTCAGCGCTGATATTCAGCACTCCTGGCTGTCAACTTTCTAAAGTATTTCCTGACTAGTTGTAGCCAGCAGCTGCTCCAGGCCTCCCAAGTGCATCCTGTCCCCTGGGCTGTCCCCCTACCACCTCCCCTTGGTCCAGCAACTAAGGGGTTTATGTGGGCTGAACCCAGAGCCTCCAGGTCCTTCTGACTGGTTGGTTGGTGCCAGGCGCCTCCCTCTGTTAGAGGTTGTGTTTATTACTCTGGTTGGAGGACAACCCTGGGAGCTGATATAGCAAGAAAACCTCCCTGAAACCAGATCAGAGAATGACAGACAGGCGCTGTGGGCCAGGACTTTGGCCGCCAAATCTTTAAAATTGTGCCCTTCCACATTTGCTCATGCATCCTCAGTAACTGCATATTTATTTACTAATGTAAACAGCTATTACTGTGCCTTCATGTAAATCTAAAACATACCCCAAAATAGAAGTTAAAAAATGAGATAAATAAAAACTGAAGTCAGAACATTTTCTGTCCCCAGTGCAGTGACTCATCGGGGTCTTTCCCCCTGGCAAGTGCCCCTAGTTTACCAGGGTGCTGTCTAGACACTGGAGAGGCTGGGGCTGCAGTGAAGTTGCTCTTCACGTTAGAGGCATGAGGAACACAGGGAAGGAAATAGCGATAAGAGACAAGACCAAGAAGTAGATCCAGAAATACCCAGAAGTATTTTTAAACATTACAACCATACCTTGGCCCATGCTCGTTTGTAAGCTATTAGTGGGTCATTTTCCTGGTCCCAGAGCAGTACTGCACAATGTAAATGCGTGACTCAGTAAGGTGGTGGAGCTTTGGGTATGGTGAGAAGCACCAGCGAAGCCACAGGGAGGGGAGCAAAGGCATGTGAGTCCTAAGGGAAGAGCGACTGGAAGTTGGGACTCCCCAGTCCTCCGAGGAACAGGAGGGGTGCTCTTGGCCAGGTGGGAGCAGGGTGTGTGAGCATCTGCAGGACCTGAGCGGGATGCTGCCTACCTTGGCCCATTTTGGCCGGGCAGTTACATGGGGTCTGAGTAGAAAGCCTCATCCTATGATTTCTCTCTATTCCTTCCAGAGGGCTTTGGGGACAGGACAAAGACCACAGAAGCCCAGCTCTGTTTTTCCTTCCTTTCTCATCTCCAATGAGGGGCAGGTGGGGTGGCTGTTAGAGGGAGGTGGGCAAGAGAATCAGAGTACACCAGGGTCAGGTGGAGGTCATGGAGCCAGTCCTCACCAACTGAGAGATGCCTTCAACCCAGCAGAGGAGTACCTCCTAGGGATGCAGTCAGTCCATGGGACGCATATGCAGCTTGGCCTCTGGGTTGATCTGACTGAATGGTCAGACCACAAGTATTTACAAAGGTCCTGAGCCTGCCTATGTCAAGAGATGATTCTCCTTGCCTGGCTAGTAACTAACACTTAATAAACATTACAATATGGCAGTCACTATGCTAACACTTTCACCTACTCATTCATTTACTCCTTACATGAACTCGAAAGGAGTGGTACTATTTTTATCCCCACTTTACAGATACGATGGAGGCATAAGAGGCTATAGACTTTCTTTTTTTTGTTATTTAGTTTTTTCTTTTCTTTTTTTTGAGATGGAGTCTCGCTCTGTCACCCAGGCTGAAGTGCAGTGGCGCCATCTCGGCTCACTGCAAGCTCCGCCTCCTGGGTTCACGCCATTCTCCTGCATCAGCCTCCCGAGTAGCTGGGACTACAGGCACCCGCCACCAGACCCGGCTAATTTTTTTGTATTTTTAGTAGAGATGGGGTTTCACCGTGTTAGCCAGGATGGTCTCGATCTCCTGACCTCGTGATCCGCCTGCGTCGGCCTCCCAAAGTGCTGGGATTACAGGCGTGAGCCACCGCGCCCGGCCTATTTAGATTTTATTTCATATTCATAAACTTAACTCTACAATCCAGCTAGGCATGGAAGGGAACAAGGAAAACATGGAACCCAAAGGGAACTGCAGCAAGAACACAAAGATGACAGGATAGTGTGAGCAAATGGGGTGGAGGGTGCTCTCTCTGAGCTACAGAAGGAATGGTCCAGTGGTTAAGATAAAGCGTAAGTGAAACTTATTAGAGTTGTCCAGTCAGCAATGGTGATCTTCTTGCTGGTCTTGCCATTCCTGGACCGAAAGCGCTCCATGGGCTTCACAATATTCATGCCTTCTCTCACCTTGCCAGAGACCACCTGCTTCCCATTCAACCACGCTGTCTTGGCAGTGCAGATGAAAAATTAGGAACCGTTTGTATCGGGTCCTGCATTTGCCATGGACAAGATGTCAGGACCTGTATGCTTTAGGGTGAAGTCCTCGACATCAAATTTCTCCCCGTAGAGGCACCAGTGCCATTATGGCATGTGAAGTCACCGCCCTGACACATAAACTCTGGAATAATTCTGTGAAAGCAGGAACCCTTATAACCAAATCCTTTCTCTCCAGTGCTTAGAGCATGAAAGTTTTCTGCCGTCTTTGGAATCTTGTTTGCAAACAGCTCAAAGGAGATGCGGCCCAAGGGCTCCCCGTTGATGGCGATGTTGAAGAACATGGTGGGGTTGACCACGGCTGATAGTGTGTTCTAGTGGGTTCTTGGTCTCACTGACTTCAAGAATGAAGCCGCGGACCCTCGCGGTGAGTGTTACAGCTCTTAAGGTGGCGCGTCTGGAGTTTGTTCCTTCTGATGTTCGGATGTGTTCGGAGTTTCTTCCTTCTGGTGGGTTCGTGGTCTCGCTGACTCAGGAGTGAAGCTGCAGACCTTTGCGGTGAGTGTTACAGCTCATAAAAGCAGCGTGGACCCAAAGAGTGAGCAGTAGCAAGATTTACTGCAAAGAGCAAAAGAACAAAGCTTCCGCAGTGTGGAAGGGGACCTGAGCAGGTTGCCACTGCTGGCGCCCACAGCCTGCTTTTATTCTCTTATTTGGCCCCACCCACATCCTGCTGATTGGTAGAGCCCAGTGGCCTGTTTTGTCAGGGCGCTGACTGGTGCGTTTACAATCCCTGAGCTAGACATAAAGGTTCTCCAAGGCCCCACCAGAGCAGCTAGATACAGAGTGTCGACTGGTGCACTCACAAACCCTGAGCTAGACACAGGGTGCTGATTGGTGTATTTATAATCCCTGAGCTAGACATAAAGGTTCTCCAAGGCCCCACCAGAGCAGCTAGATACAGAGTGTCGATTGGTGCACTCACAAACCTTGAGCTAAACACAGGGTGCTGATTGGTGTATTTACAATCCCTGAGCTAGACATAAAGACTCTCCACGTCCCCATCAGACTCAGGAGCCCAGCTGGCTTCACCTAGTGGATCCCGCACCGGGGCTGCAGGTGGAGCTGCCTGCCAGTCCTGCGCCGTGCGCTCGCACTCCTCAGCCCTTGGGTGGTCGATGGAACTGGGCGCTGTGGAGCAGGGGGTGGCGCTCGTCGGGGAGGCTTGGGCCGCACAGGAGCCCATGGAGCGGGTGGGAGGCTCAGGCATGGCGGGCTGCAGGTCCCGAGCCCTGCCCTGCAGGAAGGCAGCTAAGGCTCGGTGAGAAATCGAGCACAGCGCCGGTGGGCTGGCACTGCTGGGGGACCCAGTACACCGTACGCAGCCGCTGGCCCGGGTGCTCATTGCCCGGGGCAGCAGGGCTGGCCGGCTGCTCCGAGTGCGGGGCCCGCCAAGCCCACGCCCACCCGGAACTCCAGCTGGCCCGCAAGCGCCCTAGGCAGCCCCGGTTCCCGCTCGCCCCTCTCCCTCCACACCTCCCTGCAAGCTGAGGGAGTGGGCTCCAGCCTTGGCCAGCCCAGAAAGGGGCTCCCACAGTGCAGTGGTGGGCTGAAGGGCTCCTCAAGTGCCGCCAAAGTGGGAGCCCTGGCAGAGGAGGTTCCGAGAGCAAGCGGGGCTCTGAGGACTGCCAGCACGCTGTCACCTCTCAATAGTATGGGGCTCCCGGTGGCGGTGGTATCTGCAAAAGCCAAGACTTTCTTGAGTTATACAGGAAGGAAACAACAGTGCTGGGATTTGAACCCAGGAATGTCTCGATCTAGAATCTGTGCTCTAAACCAGTAGGCGTCACTGCCTGAGACTGGTGGGAGAATTGACATGTGCTCCACAGCCTTGTAGGTCCACCAACAAACTCCCAGCCCACCCACAGGCTCATCAACATCACCTTGGATCAAAGATTTCCATGAATATTGGAAAGACATATAGTCTGGATATTTTCTAAACACTGACATGCAGGGGTTTTTTTTGTTGTTGTTGTTTTGTTTTGCCTCCTTTGTTTTGCTGGATAGGTTTGCTTTAAATATTAAAGGAATAAAATGTCTAGGACTATAGCCCCATGGCTGCCTTCATTACCACTACCTCTTCAGTGTTGAGAACACACATGCGTTGAATGTGTAATCAGTATATAACTGTGGGTCTGTGTGGCCTGGGCTGTGCATGATGCTGACTCAAATAAACAGCGGTTTTATTGGACCCTCTCCTTCTTCCAGAAGAAGATCAATGGAAAGTACCTTCCAAGTTTTGGTCCCTCAAGAAGCCCCTGAAGGTCAGAGGGAGGGGAGGAAAATACCTTCTTGATGCACCAGAAATCACCTTATAAACCTCATCCTCCGTGGAGCACAGTGGCTCACACCTGTAATCTCAGCACTTTGGGAGGCTGAGGAGAGAGGATCATTTGAGGCTAGGGGTTTGAGACCAAGCTGGGCCAAATAGTGAGACCTTGTCTCTACAAAAAAATTTTAAAAATGTGCTGGGCATGGTGGTGCGTGCCTGTAGTCCCAGCTTGAGCCCAGGAAGTTGTGGCTTCAGTGAGCTGTGATCACCCCACTGCACTCTAGCCTGGGCCAAAGCACGAGACCCTGTCTCTTAAAAAAAAATTGTCTTTATTAAAATGATTCTCAGTATCCTTCATGCTACTGCAGCTGATTTCCAAAGCTGCCTCATCTTCCGCGCTCTCAACTCTTAATAAACCCATCCAAAGCGCAGCTCTTCTCTTCCAGCAACTCCTTATTTTTATGTTCATATCCAAGTAAATCTTAGCCTTGTCCAGAAGCAAAAGCCCCATGACCACGACTTCAATTCTGCCTCTCTTTTCTGGCCACTGCCTCTGTGTCACCAAACCCCAGGGACAAATTGGCAAAGACAAAGGTGGCTCTGAGAGGAAAAGGGAGGGAGAAAGGGTGTGAAACCCCACACATCATAGTCTTGTTCCTGTTGAAAATGCAGGAATATAAAGCCCAGTACCAGAGCTTCCCATTATTCAGGCCTAGGCTCCTGGTTCCTGGGCTGTCTAGTGGGTGAGGGCCCAGGGCCTGGAGGTGTTTCAGGATCCTCAGGCCTGATTTGGTGGACAGGACCATGTTCAGGGGAAAATGTGGGGATAGGGCTGCATGCTTGCTCTCAGGAGACTGGGCTCTTTTTTCTGAGTGTCCCTGAGAAACCATCCTTAGGTATTGGTACTACTCACAGGGTTGTGCCTAGCTTCCTGGCTTTGGAACTTCATTCACTTCCTCCCACCCTTCCCAGCCCTTCCATTCCCCCTCCCAAAAGGCTGACACCCACTCCTCCTAGAACCCTACCATAACTCACCATCCTACAAGAGCTTCCTTCTGTTTGGGATAGAACTTCGGTGGCCTGCATGCTAGCCATGAAGCCTTACGATGGCCTTTTCCTAACCATAACAACCACTTATTTCCACTTCATTTACTTTACATTTCCCTCTCCTCATAAGATTTCAGCAAACCATATACTTATAAGTCAACTTGCACAGAATCTCCTGCTAGCTTATTTTGGTGAACACAAAACTGAATGCAAAAATCCCCATCCTTCAAAGAATTTGACATTCTAATGTCACCAATTTTTCGACATGCTAATGCCAGCAATTTTTTTTGAAAGTTGAAATAGAACATAATAAGGCAACAAAACGAGACTAAGAGGGTTCTGCACCGTGTTCCAACAATCTTCAGTCCCCTTCACTGTTCATGTCTAAGCACTGAGGCGTTCTAAAGCAGGTCACCTTTTGCCTCAAGGACTTTTCTTGAAATATCATGGTCTTGCTCTGTCGCCCAGGCTGGAGTGCAGTGGCGTGGTCACAGCTCATTGCAGCTTCGACTTCCTGGGCTGAAGCGATCCTCCCATCTCGGCCTGTCAAGTAGCTGGAACCACAGGCGCGCCACTACACCTGGCTAATTTATTTTTATTTTATTTTTTGTAGAGACGGTCTCGCCACATTGCCCAGACTGGTCTGAAAGTCTTGGGCTCAAGAGATCCTCCCGCTTCCGCCTTCCAAAGCGCTGGGATAACAGGCGTGAGCCGCTGCCCGGGCCATCCCTCGAGGAAGTTTCATCAGGTAGACATTAATTCTTTCACGAGGATCACGGATCGAGCTCTTTACTGGAAACCTGCGCCCCGCCTTAGTTCTCCACCTCTTCGTGCGGCTCCAGGCAACTGCCAACAGATGGCGCCCGCCCGCCTATTTCTCTCCTTGCGGCTTTGGGCCTGGAGGGGAGGTGGGGAGAGTCCCAATAGCAGAGGAACTGGTGAGCCCGGGCCAAAATTTCATCTGGCATCCGGAATGCATTAAAAACAACCCACAAATCTGAAGCTCCTCGCAGGAGAGAGAGAGAGAGAGAGAGAGGAGAGAGAGGAGAGAGGAGAGAGGGAGGGAAGAGAGTGACGGAGAAGGAGAGAAAGAGACGGGAGAGAGGAGAGAGAAAGAGAGAGAGAGGAGAGAGAGAAAGAACGAACGAACAGGGAACTTGTAAAACTAAGGGGAAAAGGGCAGAAGAGAGGCAGCAGCGTGGTCCCTGCAAGCGTCCGCTTTCCTGGCCAAGCAGCCCCCAGCACGCCTGCTTTGTGGGGCAGGGCCATGCGGCCCCGAGGAAGGATGCGGTGAGCCAGAGGGTTCCAGACAAAGGAGGGGATCCCCAAGGCTCTGGGCCAGCCAGTCCCTGTTTTACTGGCACCACGGTCCCTCCTAGGCGAGGACGAAGAGGGAAGGGGTGGAGACCTCCACCTTCTCTGCGTGTGGCTGCGTCCCTTTACAGAATGACAGGCCCTTACTTCCGAGGGCGGGGACTAATGTGTAAGGCTTAACAGATCCAATTCCAGAAATTATCTGTGTTTTTTTCAATCACCCTCTTGTGCCCCCCCACCCCCCATTAAATTTCATCTTTTATCTTTTTTTGGGCCTTCGTAATGAAAAGTGGTTTTAAAGGTTGACCAGTTTTACTACTTAGTGCCTAACAGGCTGAGTGATTATACCGTTGAAGGAGGTCACAGCGGGAAGGACATGGAGAGAGATGGGGGGTCTGAGGCCTGGGGAGTGAGGTCTGGTTCCCTCTCCTCCCCTTGGAGCCAGAGGGCACCTTCGTGACTAAGAAGGGAGAGGATCTGGCCTTGTGCAGCTCTGCCCACTGAGAGGTAACACCTGTTCTCCAGCTGGGTGGCAGCTCCCTGAATCAGGCCAGTTTGTACTTTTTCACCTAACTCACATGATTTCCACTTCAGTCGCACTACCGCTGGCTGCCCCATTGTGGACAGCTTCATTAACCTCCGTTGCTCCTAAAGGCAGTCTTTTGATGGAAATGAGTGGCGGAAAAGGCTGAGAGCAACCAGGCCAGGCTCAGCCCACTTACTTACTATAGTTAGCCTCTCTGTTATGCCTCACTTACCCCAAGGACTCTCTGAGGAGTGGCCATTAGTCCTACAGCTCCTGAGTGCATATTGTGGCCAGTCCCACAAATGTGAAGTTCTCTTCTTTCCTCCGTGAGTCGTTGGGTCAAATAGAACTCTTGTTAATAGCTCACCAAGTCAGTTAAAGATTGGGAAGGTGGGCATTGTGAATTTGGGATTAAATAATGTCCAGGTGGTTAGAATGGACTTAAAGAGAAATAGAGAGGAAAAGGATCTAGTGGTCATAGTGAATCCCAAGTTGAAATGAGTCAACAGGAAGGGACAGTGATGAACAGGAAGGGACAGTGGGAAAACCCTGACAGAAATGCTTTAGCTACATCCTGTACCTTCCCACTTTTATTAGAAGATGCTTGATTTTTGTTCTAAGAAGGGAAATATGTATTCTAGGTTCAACAAGTTATAAATTCCTTAAGGGCAGACATCTTTTGCATCTCTCACCAGGTTTAAAAATTAATAATTGTGGCCAGGCGCGGTGATTCCCACCTGTAATCCCAGCATTTTGGGGGGCCGAGGTGGGCAGATCATGAGGTCAGGATTCCAAGACCAGCCTGGCCAACATGGCGAAACCCCGTCTACTAAAAATACAAAAATTAGCCTGGTGTGGTGGCGCACGCGTGTAATCCCAGCTACTCAGGAGGCTGAGGCAGGAGAATTGCTTGAACCTGGGAGGCGGAGGTTGCAGTGAGCTGAGATCACGCCATTGCACTCCAGCTCTGGGCGACAGAGCAAGACTCTGTCTCAGGGAAAAAAAAAAAAAAGAGTTTACAAGACATTTTCACACATGATAAATTTTCAGCAAATTCTTAGTGAAAGAATGAATAAGTAAATTATAGAATTAAAGTGATCTCACAAGTTCAAAGAGGTCAAATAGGAAGTCTACCATAATAATAAGCATATATTGCATGGCCTGAATTGTCAACCTTCCATGGCTGAGATCACTCACTTCTCCTCTTTATTTGCTTTCCATGTAACCACCTCTCCTTGGCTTATGTAATTTTTCTCTCCCCCTGATGAGGCAGAGTGAAGTGTTAATAGCTGGGATTTGGAGTCAGGCAAGTCCTAGGTTCGAATCCCAGTTGCTTCAGTGATCTTGACCAAATTGCTTATGTTCTGTTCTTTGTGCAGCAGTTCTGTGTCTATACAATGGTGGAGGGAGTGGGCTCTCCTGGGACAGCTATAAGGGTTAAGTAGGATGTGGAGGTGATAGAGCCTTGCAAAGTGTTCCAGGGTGGGCTGGTCATATTTCATAATATGCGGCACAGCTTAACACTTTCTGCCCATTACTTCCAATACAAATTGGTTAAAACAGGTGGTAACATGGTGGGTTGATATGTGGGACAGTTTTTAAAAAATCAGAATGGGCTGGGTGTGGTGGCTCACACCTGTAATCCCAGCACTTTGGGAGGCCTAGAGGCAGATCACGAGGTCAGGAGTTCAAGACCAGCCTCCTAACCAATATGGTGAAACCCTGTCTCTACTAAAAATACAAAAATTAGCTGACTGTGGTGGCGTACACCTGTAGTCCCAGCTACTTGGGAGGCTGAAGCAGGAGAATCGCTTGAACCCAGGAGGTTGAAGTTGCAGTGAGCCAAGATCGTGCCACTGCACTCCAGCCTGGGCGACAGAGCGAGATTCCACTTCAAAAAAAAAAAAAAAAAAAAAATCAGAATAGAAGCAGAGAAGGCATGCAGCTCCTTCTTTCCTGGAGCTGGGGCAATAGCCCAGGCTGGATCCCTGAACAAAATGTGGGCTCCGATCCTCAGAGGTTTTTCTCAGAAGGAGAGTTAATAGCCACCAGAGCAGGGAAGGTCTGTGATAGGGTTCGGGTGGCCTCTGTGATGTTCACAAGCATCCTGGCATGTGGCAGAGACCGGCTTTTCATTTGTTAAAGGAGACTCCTGGGGCACCTGCATCTCTGAGGGCAAATTACAACCCCACATATCCTAGAGGAAGATTTGTCATCCAGCCACCTGGAAAAAACACTCAGCAGTGTTGAAGACACACAAAACTACCCAGAATTTCTTTGGGGGCTTGAGTCATCACATTTCTGAGCTACTTTTACGGTGGGGAAACTGAGGCACTGGGTGATTTGCTGGAGGTCAAAGTTATGGCAGGAGCAACACAAGAATGCATGATCTGACAGAGTCTGTTTTCTTGCCCATGGGCAGACTCTGATCACGTTAAAAGGGGAGCCAGAACCGAGGTTGTTCACCCACTGGCTTAGAATATGATGCGGTGACAGTGGGGACGGTACCCTGGAGACACCCACTGAGAGTTTTTCTACCTGGGTAAATTAGGTCCGTTTGGTGTGAAGAGGACAGGTGGACTCCTTAGAAGGCGGCCCAAGGGGCTAGGGCATCAGAAGGGCCAGAGTGAGCCTGGAGGACCCAGCACACCACAGGGGCTGTTGCAGTGCTGGTGACACTCGGAACCTGTTGCCAGGGCAGGCGAGTAGCTGAGCTTGTCCTGGGATGAAACAGGCATGAGCTCTGGGAGCAGTTGGGATGTGGGCAGGCCATGGCCACCTCTGTGGTGCTGACTTCTTCCCAGTTGTCATTGCAAGTTTAATCAAGGACAGGGACCGGCGTGCAAGGGGCTCCTCTGGGCATTGGGCACTACCTGGGCTCTCTGAGTCCTCCATGCTGCACTTGCTTCCTGAATGGCATGGCTGAGCTCCAATAGCCTGACTCTGCAAGCTCACTTTTCTTCACTCCCACTTACCTTGTGCCCACCCTTCTATCCCTGTCTGACTCTGCTTTCCCTGTACAGCCCCACTCGTGGCACCTACCCACCTCAGCCGCAGCCTGCTGCTCTTCTGTCCTGTCTTTACCTGGTGTGGAAAGCCTGCAGAGCTGGGAATTATCTCCCATTTTCCCTCTAGACTCAGCACAAGGTAGTGATGGACAGCACAGACTCTAGAGCCAGTGATGGACATCAAATTCCATATCTGACACTGTGTGATTTGGGGCAGGTTACTCAGTCTCCCTGGGCTTAAGTTCATTTCCTCATCTGGAAAATGGGGATACTAATAGCATCTACATCACTGAGTTTTTGCTGGATTAAATGAGTTAATGCGTGTAAACTGCTTAGTTGGTGCTGGACACAGGGTAAATTGTCAGTAATGCTAGCTATTATTAACATCTTCCCATCTAGCCCTAAATCTGGCTCTCCTCAGGAAGTCCTGCTCTGTGGGAGAGGAATAGGGGCTGACAGGGTCAGTCTATGCCTAATCTTCCAGGCTAATAGTTTCCAAATGGGAAACCTTGCAGAGTGCTCAAAAACTTTTCTGGGATATGGGGAGACTTGAATTTCTGTGTCAGAGTTTGCTGTGTATTGACTAAACCTCATTGCCTTTTCCTTCCAAGCATGAGCTAGACTACATTTCCCAGCCTCCCTTGCTGGGACCACATGACTGCCTTTGGACGAATGGAGTCAGGGCAGCCATGATGCCATAATGTTGCCCCTTCCAGGTCTAGGTCTTAAGTCCCCTTGCACCATGCAGGCCTCAAGTCTTCCTCTCTTTCTCCATTCTTTGGTTAAAAGAAGAGGATTCCAAGGCCTTAGAGGATGAAAGGGCCATGAGATGGAAAGATCCTGCATCCTCAAATGAATGCAAGGGGCCAACGCCCTCTCTACCAAACCCAACATGAGAAAGAAAGAAACTTTATTCTGTCAAGCCACTGAAATTTGGGAGATATATTTGTTATAGAGATTCACCTGTATCATGTCAACTTCTATTAAAATTTATTTTAAAAATATCATCTTTTAAAATTCCCTATCTTTTGCTATGTTTCTCTCTCTCTCTCTCTCTATATATATATATGTATACACACACACACATATATATATGTTTTTATATATAGTGGTTTCCAAATGTTTTGATCACGTCATTAAAAAGTTTAATGCCCAAACTTTTTAATGACTTGTGATCAAAACATTTGGAAACCACTGCTCCAGACTATTGGAACCAACTTAATTCCTCACTCAGGGGCCAGTGCCCACCTGACTGAAGTCTCTTGTCCACTTACCTCTTTCCAATTACACTGTTATGTTTTATTTCCTTGCTGTGTCCTGCTGTCATATTGGAGAAAGTCAGTACTGGACAAACAAACAGCATCACCAGTTTTTTTTTGTTTTTTTGTTTTTTGTTTTTTTTTTTTTTTAGAATGATAGCAATGGATAAAAGTGGTCTGCACTAGGAATTAGAAGACCAGAGTTTTATTTTCAATTCTAACTGACTTGGTAACAATGGGTGGGGCACACTGTCTTTGGGTGTCTGAGTCCTTATCTGCAGAATGAGGTCCCTAGACTGGATAATTTTGGAAACACTTCTCAGTTCTAAGGTTTGATGAGCTCTGTAGTTGATTTATGTGAGTGGGGTGTGTGTATAATTTTGGGGTAAGCTTTAAAGGATGGCTTTAAAAATGATGGGAATTGTGTAGTTACGCCCTCTCCCCCTTGCCAGGAGAAAAAGACTTGCTTTGACTATAGCTATCACTTGTTGGGATTAACTTGCTGCTTTCTGGGAACTTGCATCTGTATGGAAATTTCAAGATAGAACTTGTCTGAAACTGCTTATTTTCTTCTATTGAAAAGGATCCACAGGCTTCTCAGAACTCCAGCTTCTTTTAACCACCTCCTCTTTCCAGTTCCTGCCTTCACCCTGGTTTCTGTAAAGGAACTTCTAGTGCTTCTGAAGACCCCAACGCTCAAATGATCTGTTCCAAGGAAACGTTCTAAATTACAGATGTTTGTTCTCGGTGCTCTCCAAATGTCTCTGAGGCCAAAGCACTTCTTGCATAGTCATTGAGCACGTGCTTGTATGGTAGTTAGAATGAAAGCCAAGGCAAAAATAGCTGTCCTCAGGTTTTGGTTTTTAATCGTCTGATGTTGGTGACTCCAGGGTAAGTATTTACGCACTTGAGCTTTGTTTGCCCCATCTATAGAATAAAAATCCACATTTTATTTTCAGCCTCTACATTTCTGCACAAATTTGGTGTGTAGGGTGGGTGGGGGTTGGCTCCCATTTTCAAGCCTTGTAACTTGGCTTTGCAAGAAAGGAAGCTTTGTTTATTATAATCATTATAGTATTACTATCATTGCTAGAGACTAGAGTCTCAATCCTGAGGTTCAGTTTCACTTAATACCAGAAAGCACAGTCTTACCAATTGAGAACTCAGTCACTTCAAGAATTTTCTGTGTTTCTTTCTTAAATTTAAGTCTAGAATTCTTCCACCTCCCAGTGTCCTTCAGGAAAGGTATCTGAGTTCGGACACCCATTATCTAACAGTGGGGCAGGGGTGGAGTGGGGTAGTGGTGAGAGATGTCAGTCATAGGGATGTAATAGGTCTGCACTGGTACCCAGTGATGTGTCCTTATCCCTGTCTGGTCTTGAGTCATGTGGTCCCCACTGTATCTGCTTTGGCATCCTGGCCTTCACACATCAGGTCTGCTGGCTCTCAGCTCCATCCCTGCTCCCCTCTGTGCTACATGGGAGAACAAACATGTGGCTGCTCCCTAACCCTGAAGGGTGTGTGGGACTCTATGAAGTTACTTCAGGCTCAGAAGCCTGGATACCCCATGCAGGATTGTCTACTCCACTCTCCTGGTGGCTGGTCTCTTTCCCATTGTGGGGTTGAAATATTATCACTTGAGATTAGAAGCTTCTTATGGAGGAGAGAAAGATGAAGGGGAAGCAAAAGAGTTGTTAAAAGATAAACTCAGGCGCATTAAAATGTTAACACCGTTATTTGAGCATTCAGCAGTTCATGAACTGGGCAGCACTGGATGACAGGTGTTTGGGTGCTACACAGCAGCGGCTTCAGGAGAACCTTTCATAAAGTGTTTAAGAAAGCAAGACAAAGAAAATATTTGATTGGTTAAAGTGGAGAGTCCCTAGATAGAGGTTAGTTGGCTGTTTCTGATTGGTTAGGCTTACGTTTTATTTCACTGCTTGCATTGAGTTGGGTTCTGATTTGCTTACGTAGGAACCCAAGATGCTGCAGCTGCCTCAGCCTGATAGCCTCCCAATTAATTATTTTAACACAGTTAAGCTTTGTTAGAAGGCCTCCTGCCCCCTGCTCTCTCTCACAAGGTTAACTACAAAGCACGAAGTTAGGAGGTGGATAAGAGAGCCCCCAAATGGCAGCAAGCCCACCTCTGAACTCCATTCCCTCCCAGTGGGAATGTTGCTTTTGCCTTGAAAAATCCATCTTCAAAATATCAATGTGATATATCACCCACGTTAAGCTAACTTGAAGTGGTAAAAATGGCCTTTCCTGACATAGCTTTCATCAAGAAAAAAAAATTAACTTGAGTTCTCCTTTCAAAACCCCAAGTAAGTACTTTTCCCTTTGAGTGACTGCATTCTTCTGAGTGGGAAAGGAGAATCGTGAACTTGGGCTCATTTCTTCGCAAGAGAAGTTTAAAAGATGAACTTTCAGTGACCACAATGTGACCATATCCCCAGTTTTCATGATTTATTTCGACAGTCAGTTGTTGGCCTAACCTCTGCTAATCAAGCAGGCTGTACCAATATCTAGCTTTTCATCATATGGAGGGCAAGATGCCTTCTGAGCTTCATGAATCAGAAAGTAATCATTATCTTAGCTACAACAACATCTCTTCTTCTACAGCATCAATTTTAAAAGAACAAAAAGTCTTCAAGACCTTCATTTATCATTTTCCCTCCTCCTCTCCTCCACCCCCCCCATCCCCTCCTCTGTCTCTCCTCATACAGCTGGTTCATGTTCTGTGTATTAGTGGTTGAGATCAGAGTTTCTCAACTTCAGCACCACTGACATTTTGGGTCAGAAAATTCTTTTTGGGGGTTGGCTTTTTCACTGTAGGATTTTAGCAGATTTCCTGGCTTTGACACACAGACACCAGTAGCACTCTCTTGTCCCTCTTCCTCCTCAGCTGTAACAATGAAAAATACTTCTAGATTTAGCCAGATGTCCCCTGGGGGGCAAAATTGACCCCTGTTGAGAAGCACTGGCTTAGACAAATTACAGATGAAAACATCTGCAGTCACTGTCAGTAGTAAGTGCTCTTATACGTGGTATTACTGATATTATAGTATCCAACAATATCATCTGATAAAGGAATTTGCCTATTAATAAATTAGAATAAAAGCCAACTGCTTTATGCTAAGCTCAACATTTATCATGGAGTCTCTTTTTCCAGCATCTTACAAACAGTGTGTACTGTTTTTGCTACTTGGGTATAATTTAGAAGATGTGTCTATATTTTGGTTTCTTCTCTTAGTGACCAAATTAATGAGCTTTTTTCTTGGTAAGTATTATTTTGCACTTGTTCTACAGAAAATTAATTGACTTCCCAGGGAGTGGTTTAATATAATTTCTTTCTTTTCTTTTCTTTTCTTTTCTTTTTTTTTTTTTTTTGGAGACGGAGTCTTGCTCTGTTGCCCAGGCTGGAGTGCAGTGGCATGATCTCGGCTCACTGCAAGCTCCGCCTCCTGGGTTCACGCCATTCTCCTGCCTCAGCCTCCCGAGTAGCTGGGACTACAGGCGCCCACCACCACTCTGTATTTTTAGTAGAGATGGGGTTTCAACATGTTAGCCAGAATGGTCTCGATCTCCTGACCTCGTGATCCGCCCTCCTCAGCCTCCCAAAGTGCTGGGATTACAGGCGTGAGCGAGACTCTGTCTCCAGAAAAAAAAAAAAAAAGGACTACTGGGAACACACTGTTTGCATACGCTTTTCAAATATGTGAAAATGTAGTGAATAATTGGACTTGTTACCTTTTCTTTGGATAGCACTATCTTGCCCAGTGTGGGCTGCTGTAACAAGATGTGGGTTAAACAACAGACATTCATTTCTTGCAGTTCTGAAAGATGGGAAGGCAGAGATCAGTGTCTGGTGAAGGCCCTCTGCCTGGCTTGCAGATGGCCAGGCATCTGCAGAGGGAGAGAGAGAGAGGAAGGGAGGGAGAGAGAGAGGAGGGAGGGAGAGAAGAGGGAGTGAGAAAGGAAGGGAGGGAGGGAGAGAGAGAGGAAGGGAGGGAGGGAAAGAGGAAGAGAGGGAGAGAGAGAGGGAGAGGGGGAGGGAGAGAGGGAGGGAGAGAGGAAGGAAAAGAGGAAGAGGGGGTGGGTGAGGGAGAAAGGGAGGAGTAGGGGAGAGAGAGCAGGAGGATGGGAGAGAGAGGGAGGGAGGGAGAGAAGGGGAGTGAGCAAGCACACTTGCTCTGGTCTCTTTATCCCCTTATAAGGGCACTAATCCCCTTCATCAAGCTCCAGCCTCATGACCCAATGACCTCCTGAAGGCCCACCTCCTAATACCAGGAATGTTGGTGGTTTTCACACCCATGTAAGAAAGGCTAAGTTAGTGCTGTTAACATTAATTTAGATGAGAATGACAGACCCCAAGATAGACAGTACTGCAAATGCCTATGAGTTCCTTCTCCAGGCTACACAGCAGGCTCCCTGAGGGCAGGAGCAGGTTTCTGGATCCCTGTGAGTCTCCCCAATGGACTCCCAGCACAGGGCTCTGTCCCAAAGCGGACAAAGCTCTTGGCATGACAGGGTGAGACTGCGTGGCGTTTCTGTTCTGGCTGCCTGTGCCGCTGGAGATTCACATTCACCAAAGAGTGAAGCCCAGAGTTGAAATGCAGACAGACAGGTCCACAATGGCCAGGCCCTGTGGGGTTTAGCTGCACAAATCCATTCTTTTGACAAAGATTGGTGCTCCCAGGGCGTAGCACAGCTCAGCAATGGAAGCTGACCCCCCGCGGTGGCCCTGGCAGCAGCCTGGGGCAGGCTGTGCATGCCATGCCTTGCTCTCTGGGAGGGCACAAGGCTGTGCTTTCTGTTCAGCAGCTGTTCCTCTTCCAGCTGATTCGCTTCTAACCTAGAACCAGGCTTGGACTAGGGGGCAGGGGGCAGGTAGTCTGCTCCTTCCTGTGACCAGTCTCTAAGAACACACCTGTCTTCATGTCCCTTGGCCCTGCTTGCTCTCTGATCAGCCCAAGACTTCACCCACGTTCACGTCCATTTCTCTTTGGGAGTCTGGGGGTCCTTCTGTGGGGGGCTTGAGCATCGCTGCTCCTTTGGGTGACTCCCCATTGCCCTGCCGCAGAAGGAGCAGGATTGTAATTGATGGTTTTCCATCTGGAGCACAGGTACGTCTTGGGGAAATGGGGATGTGAAAAATAGAAGTAGGCTCATTTAAGAACTATTTTGTTTTATGTCCATTTTTGAAAAGTCTTACTGAAGGGTGCACAGCATTGGTTAGGAGGATGGTTTGGGTGTGGTTCTAGGGGACAACCTGCTGCTGGGAGACCTGGGTGGCAGGAACAGCAGCTGTAGTGATAGTGAGATGATGATGATGATGATGACGATGATGACGATGATGATGATGACGATGATGATGATGGCAATGTAACATCTATTGCACACCTACTGTTTCAAAATCGAGTAAATATACTCATTAGTTCCCCACAATCCTACTGTCATCCTTGTTTGACAATTGAGGAAATTGAGACCTGAGAGGTTGAGAGGCTTGTCCAATGTCATGGGCTATGAAGTCAAGATACCAGGTATTACTCCTGGCTACGGGACCTTAGAGAAGATGCTCAAGGTGGTGGTCTCCATAGTTGAGAAATCAAAGATGGATTGGTTGACTCCCAGATGTTTTTTTTTTTCTCTAGCAAATGTTAACAAGTTTAGCCCAAGCTGCCTCCTTACATATTTTAAGTTCCACCTAAACATTCCGCTGTGCAGATGATAACCTAACTGGATGTGTACAGAGACTGTAACCGAGGCTTGTAGCCACTAGCCCAGTGTCAGCCCATCAGAGCAGCTGAGTGTCAGCTAATCACAGGCGATCAACTGCTCAAACTGTGTTCAAATCAGGCAGACACGGAGCCGTAAGCAGCCTAGCTGTTTCTGTTTTCTGTAGATCACTTTCTTTTTCTGTCTATAAATCCTCTCCGACCATGCACCAGAGTCACTGTGGGTGTGCTGAGTCTGTCTAATTCTTGAATAATTTTTTGCTCAATTAACTCTATTAAATTTATCTAACGTGTTTTTTTTAAACACAAATATTCTCTTATAATCTCTGAAAGTCCTTTTATTTAGGCCAAACCCTAAAAAATATGCGTGAAGTGGAATCTTCTCTCTGTGCTTCTTCCCTTCCCACGACTCTCACCAGTCTTACTCCAGCCCCTGAAGGGAACCAGTGCCTTTGCATAATTTACTGTTATTTTTGCTTCCATAAGACGTTTCTTGAATCCTTCCCTTATACCAAGGAGTAAATGCATGACAAAATGTTGGAGCATTTCTTTTCTATGTAATGATGAAATGACAGGCAGCAGCCAGCAGGTAGTAGCAAATAAATGTCTAGCATCATTCCAGTTTTAAAAAGTCTGTTTTTCCAAAAGTTTCCCATCCTGCCCCCATCCCCAGTTAAAAGTATGAGAACAGTAAGGCCTAGAAAGGGGCCTCAACCATGATTATGAGTTGTCTGTAAACCTGGACCAGAGTTCAGGTCTCCGGATCCTCCATCAGGAAATCACAGGGTGGGGTGAGTAACATGAAGCCGGCTTCCACTCTGGGATGTCAGATTCCTGGCATGGGGTGATGCAGGGGGCTTGGAACATTCCAGAGGAAACAAAAGCGAGATGAGCAGAGACAAAGAGCTGTGAACACCAGGTTCAAAATGCATGAGTGAGGGTGTTGGAAAACTTCCCAGGGGTGGTGGCTGCCCAAGTCAAAGGACACCAACAGGAAATGCAAAGTCCCAGGGTCCCAGGGCTAGCAGGAAGCTTTGCCTCCAGGCTGTGGTGCTTGCTGGGCCTCTATGCTTCGAAGAGCCGGCCCGAGGTGACTCAGATTTCCTGAGAAGCCTCTTATCACAGCCAGCACAGACATCTGTGCCTTTCCTCGCCTGAGATGTCACCAGCTCAGGGCCACTCCCTGCCCCAGCCAGATCAATGGGCCTTTCACGGCTTCTGAGGGTGGATCCTAGGAGTGCCCCTGTGACGAATGCTCAGATGACTGCCTCTCTAGGATTTCTGTTTGTTTCTGCTTCGCAGTCTTCCCTCCACCCAGAAGCTCCCGAATGTCCAGGAAGAATTGACTAATTCTCTCCATGAGTTTCTTGCCCACAGGACGAATGGAGCCATTGCTGTAACAACCTTATTTTCCACTAAGTCAGAATAAGAGACCTGGACAGAAAGAGAGTAATGGCTGAGGCACAAGGAGCGAGTATTTTAAATCAGGCTTATGAATGTGCTCTGTGGATACGGTTTGCCCATAGGGAGGTGGTTTTGGGGGTTGCGAATCATACTCAAGCTGTCCCTGACCGACTCACCAGTATTCTACAAACTTACTACAAACCTCTCAAAGGACCATCTTGGAAGACACTAGCAAGGGCGTGAACAATCCCCTCTGACGTTGCTGGCTGGTGGTGGAGGCCACGGAGCCTCCCTGTGTGAGACTGTACTATGTGGTCACTAGAACGTTTTGAAAGACAGTTCTCTGCAGGCCCGGCACCGTGGCTCACGTCTGTAATCCCAGCATTTTGGGAGGCTGAGGCGGGTGGATCACGAGGTCAAGAGATCGAGATCACCCTGGCCAACATGGTGAAACCCTGTCTCTACTAAAAATACAAAAATTAGCCGGGCGTGGTGGCGGGCACCTGTAGTCCTAGCTACTCAGGAGGCTGAGGCAGGAGAATGGCGTGAACCCGGGAGGCGGAGCTTGCAGTGAGCTGAGATTGCGCAACTACACTTCAGCCTGGCGATAGAGCGAGACTCCATCTCAAAAAAAAAAAAAAAAAAAAAGAAAAGGAAAAAGAAAGACAGTTCTCTGCAAATAGATACCCCAAGGGTTATTCTTTTTAAGTTGATCTTTAGTCTTAGAGCTGTGAAGGATCCCTAAAATTCTTCCACTTTAGAATTAAGGAACTAGAGTTTTGGAAGAGTTAGGTGATTGCCCTAAACCTTTATAATGTTAGTGACATTGTTAAAACTCAAATGTGAGCTTCCTGACTCTCAATCTAAGGTGCTTTCCACTCCCCCCAACCCCCACAGCAGATCGACCCTCTTCCCACAGAGAAGGCAGTTTTTATTTTCCAAACAGCTCCTTTGCCAACCAGTAAGTTAACAGAAGATGCCAGACTCAATATGACACCATCATAGCCAGGCCAGGTTAATTCCAGATACCGGGTCCTCTGATTTAAACACAGCCTTTTGGCTGGATGCAGTGGTTCACTCCTGTAATGTCAGTGCTTTGGGAGACTGAGGCAGGAGGATGGCTTGAGGCCAGGATTTTGAGACCAACGTGGGCAGCACAGTGAGACCCCCTCCTCTACAATTTTTTTTTTCTAATTAGCTAGAGTGAGCTGTGATTGTGCCACTGCACTCCAGCCTGGGCAACAGAACGAGACCCTGTCTTTAAAAAAAATACAAAAAAATTAGCTGGGCATGGTGGCGGGCGCCTGTAGTCCCAGCTACACGGGAGGCTGAGGCAGGAGAATGGCGTGAACCCAGGAGGCGGAGCTTGCAGTGAGCCAAGATTGTGCCACTGCACTCCAGCCTGGATGACAGAGTGAGACTCCGTCTCAAAAAAAAATAAAAATGAAAATAAAAATAAAAAATTAAATTAAAAAACAGCCTTTTAAAGAAATTCCAAAGATAAAGAGAACAGCTAAGAAAAAGACACCCAAGATCCTCACCCCTAGGTTTCCAGGGACTTTCTGTCCCTAGGCAGAGATACTGAGAAGGGGAAGCGGAAAGGATGCTGCATGAAGCTCCTCGCCGGCCTGCTTGCTGGGCTGCTCACCCCAAGAAGGGAGGCCCACCTGCCTCCAAAGTGGCAGTTCTGGGGCATAAACATTCCCAGAGCCCAGCATCACACCATGCCCTTGGGAAACCCATGTGGAGGAGGCCCCATTGCTGCACCCGAGGGGCTTGCAGTCTGGTGTTGAAGACACCAGTTGATGACAGCTGTTGATGACAGCTGGAGCAATGACCATGATAAGAGCTTTCATCATAGATGTGATGTTCTGTAGAAACACAGGGGAATGAGGGGCTGAGAGTAGAGAAGGATTCCTAGATAGGGCACAAGCAGGACTGTCTTGTGAAGCATGGGTAGAGTTTCTACAGGTGGAGGAGGGGAGAGGATTCCAGGAGCTTGGGCTGCTGCACAGCCAAGTGTCCTGTCTGATGGGGGCGACGTCCCTGGGACTTGTTCCTTGGAACTCGAGTCCTTGGAGATGAGCCAGTAAAAGAGGAGGTTCTGGGGTCAAATATGTCAGGGTGGGTATCCCACTATGTGGCCTTCTTAGAGTTCCACGATGTGCAAAGCTTACTGCAGGCTCTTAGCAAACCAAACCAAACACGACAAAACCTGTTTAACCATTTTTAAGCACAGGGAATTCTCTCTTTTTGTTTCAGAGAACATCTACTTTCATCTCGGGGAACCAGGACTCCACTGGATTCATTTTGACCTAGGGCAGTGGAAAGGGAGGGGAGGAAGAGCTTTGACTTTGGAAAAGCCAGCGCCTGCTAAGGAGTTCAGGATTGCATCCCACAGGCAGTGGCAGCAGTGGTAGGACTTTTCCCCCTTATATAACATTTTTTCCTGACTATCTAAGTAATGTATATTCATTGTACAAAACTTGCAAGGCCCCAAAATCTCCCCAAACAACAAACAACCTCAGAAAAGAAATCTGGTTGCCCATAAGACAGTGCACAGAAATAACCACATAACCACTGAAGATAGATGTCTATTGAGTGCCTTCTGGGTGCTGGCCTCTGTTCTAGGTCCTGTGGATTCGACAATGAATACATCCAGTGAAAATTCCCACCCTTGTGCAAGTTACCTTCTAGTTGGTGTTGCAGGTAATAGACAAAATGAATAAGTATCTAGTGGCCTAAATAATCAGAAGGATAATGAAGAAACATGAAGCAAGAAAGTGATTGGGGAGCGTATACCACCACCATGGGCAGATGTGGGCTGCCAGGAGGGCCGCTTTGGCAAGTGACAGGGTGATGTTTGGATGATGACTTGAGAGAGGTAAAGTAGTGACATATGTCATAGTAATGACATAGATAAATGGAGGGAGAAGGAGGAGCAGGTGCAAAGATTTGCGTCTGTAGTGTGCATGTTTGAGGCACAACAAGGAGGCTACAGTGGCTGGGGCAGGAGGAGCCAGGAGGGGGACAGTAGGAGAAGTGAAGATCAGAGATTGGGGAGAGAGCGTCGGTAGAATGTGAGGCTTTGAATGATGATGCTTCTGTCTGCATAGTAGGGGGAGCCAGGGCAGAGTTTTAAAATAGCTCTACAGTGGTCCCTCCCCTTATTGACAATTTTGCTTTCCAAAAGTTACCAGCTTGAGTTACCAGCCATCAACTGTGGTCCAAAAACATAAAATGGAAAATTCCAGAAATAATTCATATTTTAAATTGCACCTCTTAGCCACTTAGTAGCTGACTCAGTTATCAAATCCACTGTGGCAGCATTGCAGTGCATGTGTTCAAGGAACCCTTATTTTACTTAGTAATGGCCCCTGGGTGCAAGAGTGGCAGTGCTGGCAATTCAGATATGCCAAAGAGAAGTCATAAAGTGCTTCCTTCAAGTGAAAAGGTGAAAGTTCTCAATGACGGAAAAAAAAACATCTGCTGACGTTGTTAAGTTCTACAGTAAGAATGAACCTTCTTCAAGCCTGTAATCCCAGCACTTTGGGAGGCCGAGGTGGCAGATCACGAGTTCAAGAGATTGAGACCATCCTGGCCAACATGGTGAAACCCTGTCTCTACTAAAAATACAAAAACTAGCTAGGCATGGTGGCACGCACCGGTAATGCCAGCTACTCAGGAGGCTGAAGTAGGAGAATCACTTGAACCCGGGAGGTGGAGGTTGCAGTGAGCCGAGACTGCACCATTGCACTCCAGCCTGGGTGACAGAGCGAGACTCCATCTCAAAAAAAAAAAAAAAGAAAAGAAAAGAGAAAAGAAAGAAAAAGAACGAATGTTCTATCTGTGAAACTGTGAAATTGTGAATCAGGAAAAAGAAATTCCTACTAGTTTTGCTGTCGCAATTCAAACTGCAAAAGCTATGACCATGATGTATGACAAGTGCTTAGTTAAGATGGAAAAAGCATTAAATTTGTGGGTAGAAGACATGAACAGAAACATGTTCCACGTTCTGACTAATGGCAATCAGGTTTGGTGCTATCCACAGTTTCAGGAATCCACTGGCGGTCTTGGAATGTAATCCCTGTGGATAAGGCGGGACTACTTTATGGAGATAGAATTCATGTACCATAAATTCACTCATGGCCAGTGTACCATTCAGTGGTTGTTAGTATATTCATAGAATTGTGTAATTTCAGAAACTTCATCCCTATTAACAGTCACACCCCATTCCTCTCTCCCCTAACCCTTGACAACCATCAATGTACTTTCTGTCTGCAGATTTGCTTATGCTGGTCATATCACGTAAATGGACCACAGGATATAGGGTCTTCTGTGACTGGCTTATTTTATGCAGGATAATATCTTCAGGGTTCATCCACATTGGAACATGTATCCGTACCCGAGTTCTTTTTATTGACAAATATGATCTTGTTATATGGATGTACCACATCTGCATGCCCCTTGCAGGGTTTGAGCAGAGGAGTGGTGGGATCTGATTTTGATGGGACCACTATGCCTGCTGTGTGGAGATAAATGGAGATGGGCAAGTGTGGAACCAGGGAGGCTGGTTAGGAGGCTGCTGAAATGTAGTTGAGGATGTTTTGGGCCTGGGTGATAGCCGTGGAGGTGGTAAATGTTGGAGCACCCCAGGACTCAGATTGGTTTCTCTTTATCTATATATACTTCCTAGGTGACCTCACCCAGTCTCTAAGTTTCAAATATCTTCTTGCAATGGACTGAATGCTAGTGTGGTAGGAGTTATTAAGAAATTATTTTAGGGTGAGTGTGGTGGCTCACGCCTATAATCCTAGCACTTTGGGAGGCCTAGGTGGGCGGAGCACTTGAGGTCAGGAGTTGGAAACTAGCCTGGCCAACATGGTGAAACCCTGTCTCTACTAAAAACTTCATCTCTGCAGCCCAAATGCCCTCTAGGTGTTTGCTTATTCTTGCTTGACCTCTCTACTCACCAATTCTCTGGTAGACACTACTTTTCTAGGCTCCTTGGCTGGGCTATGAATTAAATTGACATAAGACAGAATAGCAGGAGAAAAACTACGTTTAATTATGTATTAATTAATTAATACATTAATTATGTGGGACATGGGAGTCCCACAAAATATGAGACTTGAGAGGTTAAGTGATTGAAGCTTGTATAGCATCCTCAGCTACAGAAAGGAATAGGGACTTGGAACTTCTGGGGGGTGGTAGCGGAACAAGTTATGGGAGGGTGAGGGGAGGAAATGAGTGGCAAATAAATGTTGTCTTGTTAAACGTCTCTCAGGTAATAAACGTTGCCTGAGAGGAGTAAGTGATGGTCTGTCAGTGCTGGTGTCAATCTTATCTCCTTTCCTGTGTTCTTCCCTGGTTGATGAGATTCCTGGGGAAGGAATTCATGACAATTGAATTCCTTTTGGAGGATCTGTCCTTAGGCAGATAAGGGGAGCTCAGAGAAAGCCTCTGCCTGCATCTGCTGCTCCCCAAATGCCCTCAGTTAAAAGTAATCGGCACACCAAAGCATCAGCTTTCAGGTGGCATTTCCTGAACTTCTTCACCTCACATTTGATGCATTCCAAACAGAACTCCTAATCCAATCCCACCCCAAATCTGCTCTCCCTGCATCCTTTCTTGTTTCAATGATTGCAAGTCAACCCTTTCAGTTGCTCAGGCTGAAAACATTGCAGTCATCTTTGATTCCTCTCTCTCTTACATCTCATATCCAATTCATCAAGAAATTTGTCAATCTCATCTTCAACATATCTAGAACACAGCCCTTATCATCCCTTGCTTGAATCAGTGCAAATATTCTTAACTGATCTTCTTCCTTCATCCTTCTCAAGGGACCAAAGAGGTCCTTTACAAATGCAAATCAGGTCATGCCGCTCCTCTGCTCAAAACTCTGCAACAATTCCCCACATCGTTCAACATGAGTGCAAGTCCACACATTGGCCTATAAAGCTCTATGTGAGTTGGCTTCCTGTGACCTTGGACCTCATCTCTCACTCTTTTCCCCGCTTGCTTTCTCTGTTTCAGCTGCTTGGCCTTGTTGCTGTTCCTTGAACTTCCAGGCACTTCTCCGTCTCAAGGCCTTTGCACAAGCTGTTCTCTCTGCCTGGAACACTCTTCTCTCTGATACCCATATAGTTATTCCAGCTCATTTTTTAAAAGATATTTATTTCACTGTTACTTTTTAATGAAGCATGCTGTGTTTTGCCTGCCAAACATCACAAACTGGACACTTTCCTGAACTTGCTTTACATTTTCTTTTCTCTTAGAGCTTGACAGTACCTTTAATATCCTATATAATTTACATTTTAGGTTTGTATTTTATCAACTATTTCCCCTTGCTTGGATATAAACTCCATAAGAGCCGGGATCATTATATGTTTTATTTCTAGCTACTAGTATGGTGCCTGGCACATAATAGTCACTCATGAAATATGAATGAATCAATAAATACCTGTTGATTGGATGGATGCACAGATCCCTTGTGTTAAAATGTATTCCAGATACCTTCGTGTGTTTGCATGTTTGGCATTCAGCCTCCACCCGCTGTTTCTTTGGTAATGATATATAATTGGTAATGATTTTCCACAAGGAAAAATCTTCATCCCTCTTTCAGACCCTGTGGTGTGGTGGAGGCTGGCCCCTTCCCCAAGATTCAAGTCACTAAAACTTGATTTCAGGTCTTTTGTTGGAACTCCTGGGAAGAGAAGCCCTCCTCCAAGAGAGGACTTGAAACTGGGAAGTTGTAAGTCAGGGGCTTCTGGGGGCTACCACGTAGTGACCACTTCCACCACATAGTGACCACTTGCTGGGGAGTGGAGCCCAGACTGCGGAAAGCAGAACTTACAGAAACCTGGATGAACTGAGTCCTGATGCTGCTGCTTTCTGTGCTTAAGCCAGTGCTTATCTGTATTATGCTCCTTGGGCTGCTATCACAAAGTACCGCAAGCTGGATGTCTTCAACAACAGCACTTTATTGCTTCATAGTTCTGGAAATTTGAGATCAAAGTGTTGGCAGAGTTGGTTACTTCTGAAGGCTGCGAGGGAGAACCTGTTCCATGGCCCTCTCCTTGCTGCTGGTGGTTTGCTGGTGAGTTTTGACATTCCTTAGCTTGTAGATGCTTCACCCCAATCTTTGTCTTCATCTTCACCTGGTATTTTCCCTGTGTGCACATCTCTTTGTCCAAATTTCCCCCTCTTCTGACTCCATACCAGATTAGGACCCACCCTGATGACTTCATTTTAACTGAACTAGCTCTGTAAAGACCCTGTTTGCAAATAAGGTCACATATACACAAGTCCTGGGGTTAGGGCTTCAACATCTTTTCTGGGGACGCAATTCAACTTATAGAACTCTCTCTTGCAGCTGAGAGCCTTACATGCTTAACGTTTCAGTTCCATGTAGAAAATCTCATATTTTATGGGAAGCCATTCAAATAAAGAGAAGGAATTTCCATTTTTTTCATATAATTTTTTCACTGGCCAGAAACAAAACAAATGATCTGAGGGGAAGAAGGCAACATTGTATATTTCTTGCATTCTGTACCATATATATCTTCATATACGTACACATATACATATGAATACATATATGTGTATATATATGAATTCCATCTATGTAATTCTATTTACCCATCATCTTTCGATCATCTCTGCATTTCTAATTTAGAATGTCTCACAGTTTTTATGCTTTCTTCCTCACGTGTTTATCCTGAAATAAAAACCGTATCTAACCTGACTCTGGCTGGTCTCCCCAGAAGTGATTCTCCTTGTTTACCTGGATGCCGTTAAAACCTCTCCAGAAGATGCTGGTTTCCCAGCCCAGCAGCTTCAGAGTTACGCAGGGAGGGGCAGAGGCTGGAGCTGGCGGCTGCCCCAGCATGAGGAGCTCATGTCCCCATTGGCATCTTCTCTGTGACAGATGCCCCAGGTGCCGGGTGAATAAATTTATGTCTTCACTTCTCTGTTTATTTGGTTTCTTAGCGAGTAAACAAAAGAATGGCAAGTACCTCTTTTGTGTCAGGCACTTTTCTAGGTTTGAGGACACAACAGTGTGCAAGGAATACACAGACATGGATATTACAGAGCTTATATTCCAATAGGGTTAGCAGAGTTCCTATTTCGGTCGGGGAAGCCAGTCCAATACTGTAAAGACGCCTGACCCCATCATTTTTAGTGAGAAGTCACTAAAGGGTGGAGAAGCGTGGAGACAGCCTTGCTTTGATGTTGCTTATGGGGTGATGGGGCTGGGCTCTCAGACTGGCATGGGGTAATTCTGATTTTCTCCATCAGGAAGCCTCCAGCCTGTGTACCTCCAAATTAGGGGAAGTTGTGGGGTCCAGTCCTGCGTGCCCTCTACCCGGCTGTGGGTGTAAATGTCATCCTTCTCATGCCGAGGCAGTATTTCCTGTCACCATTGTCATTTCCACTCATCATAAACAGGGGTTGGGGGTCTGCCCTGGTGTGCCTCTTTCTTACCAGGCTTTCTTTGGATTTCATTTCACCTAGACACTCTTCCAAAAGGACACAAAACCCAGTGACAAGGCTGATTTTTAGTTTTCTTCTTTGGTTGCTGTGGTTCCTATACTCTTGATGGTTTAACCTATTTCTAGGGCTTTCTATGCCTGGAACCAGCATAGACCATGAATATTTCTGTTCCTTTATGTTCAGCAGCTTCTAGCTCCATGGCTGAAGAAAAAAATTCAGTCATTAAATGTAGTACAGACATATTTGGAAATGTAATACATGCTTCAAACATGGGATGTTTTTGAAGTTTTCTAGAAAAATCTCTTTAGCTTTCAGGCTGGGTGGAGGTTGATTCCTCAGAAGGGAGTGGGCTATTAGGAAAATAGAAATGATGTGTGCCTGTTCCAGGAAATGCGAGTTGAGAGCGGCTTCTCATCCGTCATTGAGCAAGTTTATTCGTGGTGAGAGTGGACAGCCCCAGGCGTCTCAAAGGCTCTGTCTGGGATGGGGGTGCAGTAAGGTGGGAAAAGACTGTGGTTCTAGGGAAGACCTGGGGGGCAGTCTCACCGGGCTCAGCTTCCTCATGTGGAAACATGGATTTAAAAAAATACCTATTTTGTGGGGTTGTTAGGGGTGACACAGGAGGGGCTCCACGAGAGCGCGTGGTGTTTGAGTGGGTTCAGGCAGGGGCCTTCTAGAATCAGTGCCTCCCAGGGCAGCTGTTCTGCTGAGCGCTGCTGCATCCGGTTCCCAGGTGGGCTTCACATGGTAGAAGCTCAATCTGGAGATGCTCCAAAATGGCTTATCCATTGCTGGATGAAAATCAAATTGAAACGATGAGTGGTATGTTAGTGAGTTTGTTAAACCTCTCAGAGTTTAGGGATTCAAAGCCTGGCTCTGCCATGCTCTAGCTGTGTGTCTAAGCAAATAACTTTCCCTCTTATTTATTTATTTATTTATTTATTTATTTATTTATTTATTGAGACGGAGTCTTGCTCTGTCGCCCAGGCTGGAGTGCATTGGTGCGACCTCTGCTAACTGCAGCCTCTGCCTCCTGGGTTCAAGCAATTCTCCTGCCTCAGCCTCCCGAGTAGCTGGGACTACAGGTGTGCGCCACCATGCCCAGCTAATTTTTGTATTTAGTAGAGATGAGCGTTCACCATGTTGGCCAGGCTGGTCTCGAACTCCTGACCTCAGGTGATCCTCCCACCTCGGCCGCTGAAAGTGCTAGGATTACAGGCGTGAGCCACCCTGCCCGGCCAACTTTTCCTCTTTTGAGGGGGCATCAGGTCTTTCATCTATAAAATGGGAGAAGTAAGAATATGGATCTCATAGAGGTGCTGCTAGTTCCTGAGTTAGGATTTGTAAAAGTTTAGAAATGGGCCTGACACATATACATTTGTAATAAGTGTTAGCTTGTGTTATAAATGCCTCATCTGGAAACAAGATAGCTAATAACCCCAAAAGTGGTTTTCAGCTGGCGAGGGAGAGTAGTAGGGGGTCATCTTGGAATCATGATATTTAATGATTATGATTATTTTACTTATTTGGAATTTCAAATAAGATAAAAGGAAGGAACGAGATTTTCTTTTTTTCAAAAGATGGATTGCGTTATAAAAAAGGTTGCAAAAGCCTGTCCTACTAGACAATGCACTTGGGCGTGCCTACACCTCTGTGCATTATTAATTCTAGCTTCATTTCGTAGGGAGTATATGCTGTGTCAAGTGTTTTTGGCATGCAAACGGGACTATTCTCCTTGGCAAGCTAGGCTCATCCACTTACAAAGGAGAAGCTAAGAGTAAAGCTTTTGCATGGCCCTTGGACAGTTTATGAACCTCTCCACAACTGTTATTTCTCTAGTTTAATACTAAAGGCATTCTTGCAAGGTGACTAGGGCAGACGTTATTATAATTTCCTTTCTATAATGAAGACATTGAGCTCTTAGGGAGGGAAAGGGAGCTTCCTAAGGGTCACACATTGTAAAAGGCAGAACCTACTTCCTACTGTGCCATAAACTGCTTGGAACTGGAATACTTACTGCCTGGGTCTCACAGGTGGTTAGTAGCCATGGGAGAAACATGCTAGGAAAAAATCACTGCAGAGTGGCTCAGGAGGCTGGGACCTGCCTTATGGGATAAGTATGGGCATATGGTGCCCTTTCATCTGGGCTGGAAAAGACAGGGAGAAGTATCAAGTTTCTCTTCCTGTAGGAAAACCACTGGCTTCTGGCATTGGTCCATCTTCAAGGAATTTTGCATTGAGGTAGCAACTGATCAGTGGTTATTTCCTGAACATTTTCTGTCTAGGACTTTGATGTATGCACAGGGGTTGTTGGAGATCAAGGGAGCCACAGGCCACTTCAGAGTTCCTGGAACTGTGAAAAGCAGAAACAAGAAAACAAAGTTCCAAGCTCACTGAGATATTCACAATGCTTACATTGAAAAATAATGCTTGTCAGTCTACTAAAAATGCAGTGTCATATTATCATATGATCTTAAGTTAATTGCAGGATTTCTAAAAATTAATAATTTAGTAGTGTATGGCAGGAGGCCTGCCAGCCCTGTGTGCCTTGGATGTGGGGCAACTAAAGCGCACTCCCCACTTTTAAGAAGCCATTGACCCAGTGGAGTAAACAAACATGAACAACCAACAATATCACAATGAAATAAGTGTGAGTGGTATGTCAGGAGAGCCCCAAAGAGGGAAGATCAGAAAAGGCCTGACAGAGGTGAAGCTGGGCTGGGAGGAAGGGAAGTGCCTCTTGATTGAGGCTCTGCTCTTTCTCCTCTTCCCTTCTTCCTGTGTCTCCTCACTTTCCTTCCACCAGATCCTTTCCACTTCCCCAGCCCCGCTATTGTCTGGTCTTAGAGGGCAGGAAAACGAGGTCTGCTGGTCTGCTTTCAGATTTTGTTTAACTATAGAAGTGCTTTGGTTTCTTTGTGGTTTCTTTGAGCTTTTCAGTGAGAAAGAAGAAGGCAGTGGGAATACATTGGAAATAAACTTATCAGTGCTTTGTAGCATCACCACTGTGGTGTGATTGCCCCTTGAGGCGTGTGAGAGGAAAGGTGGAGGAAGATGAGGCTGACAAGGTTAAGTGGGGCAGAGTGCTCTGGCACTACTGGGATTGTAGGGAGGGGAACCGAGGGACATCATGGCACAAATCTGGAACCCGAGCAAAGCGAGTTTTCTGAAAGATAACTCCAGCAGTGATGTGGAGAATTCTTTTAATGGCAAGAGACCAGATGCTGTGGTTACCTTGCAGAAGCAAGGTGGATCCCCACCCTAAATTTAGTTTGGATGTCAAGATTGACGCCATCACACATACCAAGAGAGCATGCACATGTTTATTACTTACATCAAGCTTGTCCAGCCCACAGCCTGCGGGTCGCATGTGGCCCAGGATGGCTTTAAGTACAGCCCAACACAAATTTATAAACTTTCTTACAACATTTTGAGATTTTTTTTTTTTGCTAGTTGTTTTTTTTTTAAGCTCATCAGCTATCGTTAGTGTTAGTGTATTTTATGTGTGGCCCAAGACAATTCTTCTTCCAGTGTTGCTCAGGGAAGCCAAAATATTGGACGCCCCTGACTTACATGATGAGGCTTTCTGGGGAAGAACAGGGAAGACATCCCAAGCTAGTTCAAAACAGCTTGGGAGAGCAAGAAAAAAGACTGGCTTGGGATTTGATTTTCATTTATTTTTATTTTTAGAGATGAGGTCTCACTATGTTGCCCAGGCTGGTCTTGAACTCCTGGGCTCAAGCAATCCTCCCACCTTGGTCTCCCAAAGTGCTGGGATTACAGACATGAGCCACCATGCCCGGCCAAGGCTTGGAATTTTTTTTTTTTTTTTTTGAGACGGAGTCTCGCTCTGTCGCCCAGGCCGGACTGCGGACTGCAGTGGCGCAATCTCGTCTCACTGCAAGCTCCGCTTCCTGGGTTCACGCCATTCTCCTGCCTCAGCCTCCCGAGTAGCTGGGACTACAGGCGCCCGCCACCGCGCCCGGCTAATTTTTTGTATTTTTAGTAGAGACGGGGTTTCACCTTGTTAGCCAGGATGGTCTCGATCTCCTGACCTCATGATCCACCTGCCTCGGCCTCCCAAAGTGCTGGGATTACAGGCGTGAGCCACCGCGCCCGGCCGGCTTGGAATTTTTAATAGTGGTTACAATGTGGGCAGGGGCTTGTGTGGTTTGGATTTCCTGCTTGCACCAACAAAGAGCATCCAGACTTTCACATGAGCTTGCCCAGATGCAAGGCACAAGGGGGTGAGGGAAAGGGAAGGCTTAAAAGTTGTTAGCAGGCCGGGTGTTGTGACTCAAAATACTGTAATCTCAGCATTTTGGGAGACCTAGGTGGGTGGATCACTTGAGCCCAGAGGTTTGCAACCAGCCTGAGCAAAATATTGAGACTCCTGTCTCTCCAAAACAATAAAAAATAAATAAACAAATAAATAAATAAATGGCTAGACATAATGGTGTGCACCTGTAGTCCCAGCTGTTTGGGAAGCTGAAATGGAAGGATCGCTTGAGGCCCAGAGTCTGAGGCTGCGGTAAGCTGTGTTCGCACCACTGCACTCCAGCCTGGGTGATAGAGTGAGACCCTCGTCTCAGAAAAAAAAAAAAAAAAAGTTGTCAGCAGTCAAAAAAAATAGATTTAGACTATTACAGCAGAAGGAGGAAGGCCAGTTGGGTGCTGTTGTGGTAATCTAGGCCAATGGTTCCCAGACTTTTGTTAAAGATACAGCTTCCTATTCTTTTAGCACATTTGAAATGTACAATACGTTATTATTAACTGTGGTCACCATGCAGGGCAACAGATCACTAAAACTAATGAATTCAGTCTAACTGAAATTGCGTCTTCATCAATATCTCTCCTTTCCCGGCCTCTTTCCTCTATCCACCCCTGCTGCCCCCACCACAGCCTCTGATATCAGCTTTCTACTCTGTTTCAGTGAGATCAACGTTTTTAGATTCCACTTATAAATGAGACCACACAGCATTTGTCTTTCTGAGTCTGGCTTATTTCACTTAGCATAATGCCTTCCAGGTTCATTCATGTTGTTGAAAATGACGTAATTTCCTTCTTGTTAAAGGCTAGCTAGTATTCCGTTGTGTATATGTACCACGTTTTCTTTATCCATTCATCTGTTGATGGACACAGGTAGATTCCATATCTCAGCTGCTGTGAATAGTGCTGTAATGAACATCAGAATGTGGTTATTTCTTCGATATATGAATTTTAGTTCCTTTGGATAAATACCCAGAAGTGGAATTGCTGGATGATATGGTGGTTCTATTTTTTCATTTTTTCAGGAACTTTTGTACCATTTTTCATAATAGCTGTGCTAACTTACATTCCCACCAACAGTGTAAAAGGGTTCCCTTTTCTCCATATCCTCACCAACACAGCAAGTGTGAGGTGATAATCTCACTGTGGTTTTAATTTGCATTTCTCTGATGATTAGAGATGTTAAATATTATTTCATACGCCTGTTGGCTGTTTGTATCTCTTTTTTTGAGAAATGTCAGTTCAAATCCTTTGCCCATTTTTTAATGTTTTTTTACCACAAAAATGTAAGTTGGTGAGCTGAGGATATGTTAATTAGCTTGACTGAATCTTTCTATAATTTATACATAGATAAAAACATCACATTGTGCCCCATAAGTGTACACAATTATTATTTATCAACTAAAATTAATAAATAAATCAATACACTTAAAACATTTAAGAAAACACTAAAAAACAAAAACTAACCAAACAAACAAACAAAATACAGCCTCTTAGACTTCACTCCAGATCTATTAAACCTACATTCCAGGGTGTGGATTATGGAAATAGGTGTTTGTAAATAGCTCCCAAGTAATTTAGAAGTACCTTTCATGGAATGACATTTGGGAACACTGGGCTATCATAATGAAAAAGAGAGCAAGGATTGAGAAACACTGGACAAGAGAGTCCAAGATATAAGACCCAGGGGAACCTTTAAAAATTTGCACATTTTGGGACTGGGTGACATGTGGTTGGAAGGAACGCTGGCTTATGGATTTTGCGGAGGGAACGGAAAATCTTATGGGTCTATCTAGAAAGCTGTGTGGATGTGATTGTGAATCTCCACACACATTTCTATGTGCATTACCCACCGTATGCACTCAAAGCGTGGAAAACATTTCACAGCCTGCTCGACTCCTCCCGTCTCAGCAGGCTGTGTATCTCCAGAGTTACTTTGGGGAGTGTGAACTCATACTATTAGTTGCCAATGAAAAATGGAATTAACTATGAGACTCTCTTGCAAAATAAATTACGTAATGTGTTCCAAAGATGAAAGAAATTCCTAAGGGATTGCCTGCCCTTCTGGATAACTATATTGCCACATTCTTTCTCTCTTGAGTTGAGAGTTAAGGGTTGACTGGGTAAAATCTGTCTTGTGCTCCATCATGAAAACACAACTCAGAGCTGGTTTTTGATGTACATCTAAGAGAAGTAACAGACAACTCAAAAGATTTGGGCCACCAGAACTGGTAAGAAAGTGCTGAAGGAGCCAATGGAGGGAGCACTTGTGTATATGTGGCTTGGTGTTTAATTCTGTTGGTTGTTTGCCATCTTCTTAACAACTTAGTAACTTACATAATTTGTTGATCGATCTCTCATCCTCTCAGGTTGCTGGTTTGGAAGGGACAACATGAGAAAATCAACAGGAAACTGATGTCTAAAACTATCCATCATCTATCTAGATATCCACTTAGCTAAGCAATATAGTCTATCACTGTGTGTTCTTTTCTTTTCTTTTCTTTTCTTTTCTTTTCTTTTCTTTTCTTTTCTTTTCCTTTCTTTTTTGAGACGGAGTCTCGCTCTGTCCCCGAGGCTGGAATGCAGTGGTGCAGTCTCAGCTCACTGCAAGCTCTGCCTCCTGGATTCACACCATTCTCCTGCCTCAGCCTCCCGAGTAGCTGAGACTACAGGTGCCCGCCACCACGCCCGGCTAATTTTTCATTTTTGTATTTTTAGTAGAGACGGGGTTTCACTCTGTTAGTCAGGATGGTCTCGATCTCCTGACCTCATGATCCGCCCGCCTTGGCCTCCCAAAGTGCTGGGATTACAGGCGTGAGCCACCACGCCCAGCCCACTGTGTTATTTTCTTTTTGTATTTTTCATCTATTTTCTTTCTCATCTTGCTTTCAGCATTTATTTGGAAAAAGAAAGTTCATTAGATATTTCTCTTTTCAAACACCTTTATGAGATATAATTCACATTCCATATAATTTTACAATTTAAATCATACAACTTAATGGTTCTTAGTGTCTTTACTTAAGTTGTACAACCATTGCCACAACCAATTTTTAGGACATTTTCCCCCCAAAAAGAAACCTCTTAGCCTTTAGCAGTCACTTTCCAAATATCCTATTCTCTCCCAGCACTAAGAACTCTACTTTCTGTCTCAATGGACTTGTCTATTCTGGATATTTCATATAAATGGAATCCTACAATATGTGGCCTTTTGTGACCAGTTACTTTCACTTAGCCTAATGTTTTCAAGGTTTATCTGCACAGTAGCTATTTTTCTTGAAAAGAACCCTTGGATCAGGTAAGACACAAATGAACACAACTCTCTGTATTGCCTTAATGGAAGTAGAGAAGGAAATTTTGCATTCTGTAGTTGCCCAAGGAAGTACTGTTGAATTAATTTTGCTTTATTTAAACTAAGGTGCTAGACACTGAATCTCCCAATAGGATTGGGACACAAGTCCTGTCTTTCAAAATAAAATGCTGGTCAAGCAGGTAGACTGCGGAGCCAAACTGCCTGGGTTCCAATCCTAGCTCTGTGCGCCCATCCTGTTGGTAGTTGTATGACCTTGAGCAAATTATTCAACCTCTCTGGGGCTCAGTTTCCTCATTTGAAAAATGGGGATTAAAAATTGTACCTAGCTTCAAGGGTGGCTGTGAGGGCCAAGTGAGATCATGGATGTAAAACTCTTGGCATGTTGCCTGCCCACTGATAAGCCCTCAATAAAGGCTGGCAATAATTACCAAAGTTCTTATTCAAAGAACTATAGTCCGATACGGTATAAGTGTGTCAAAAGAAGTATGATCAAAGGGCCATGGGGCACAGCAGAGGGAACATCAGTTCTATACTGGGTGGGTAGTCAGGGAGAAGAATCCTTTTTATGTGGGATTGTAATCTGGAGCCTAGATCCAGATGTGGTCTACAAAATATGTTTGGGGGCTACTGTTGTGTTTTAAAGATTTTGAAATTCAACTCCTTTAGACAGGCAGTCACCCCTACCACAACTTAATGGACCAAACTGGTTTGTTAGGGACATTAATGTTGCTTGAGTTCTGTGCCCCACGATGGAAGGTGACCTTTGACCTGGAACTTAAAGGTTGGCTTTGAATTAGCCAGACAGAGAGCAAAAGGTGATTGGTGTCACTCTTTCTCTCTTTTTTTTTTTTTTCAAGACAGAGTTTCTCTGTCGCCCAGGCTAGAGTGCAGTGACCATCTCGGCTCACTGCAAGCTCCGCCTCCCAGGTTCATGCCATTCTCCTGCCTCAGCCTCCCGATTAGCTGGGACTGCAGGCACCCACCACGGCGCCCAGCTAATTGTTTGTATTTTTAGTAGAGACGGGGTTTCACCATGTTAGCCAGGATGGTCTCAATGTTCTGACCTCGTGATCCGCCTTCCTCAGCCTCCCAAAGTGTTGGGATTACAAGCGTCAGCCACCGCGCCTGGCCGGTGTCGCTCTTTCTCATACTTTCTTTTTAATATTAGTTCTTCTGTAATCAATATGTCACATAGGCATGTGGTAAAACATTCCTACAATGAGCAAGCCTCCCATTTCTTCCTCATCAGTTACTGTGAGTGGAAAAGCACATCACCCAAAGTGATTTTTCTATTCCCTGACTCCATAACAACGATCAACATAGAAAATACCTGTGACCAAACATGTGGGGGTTTCTCTCCACACACCAAGCAAGCAGTCAGTTCCGCAGTGGCCACAGCTGGGAGCCCTCCAATTCAGTTTCAGCACTGTCTACTTGGAAACAGCGTCAGATCCCACAGAGTGAGGGGCTGGATCTTACAAGACTGTCTCCCTTTCAGACACCAGTCACAAGTCTGGGCCTTTGGAACTTCTGGCTGACTGGCTTCAAGCTGGGGTTCCCAAGAACTCTTCTTTGGGTTTGATTAATTTACTAGAGCATCTCACAGGACTCAGGGAAACATGTAAATTTACCAGTTTATTATAAAGGATATTACAAAGGACAGAGACGCATAGGGCTAGGTATGGGAAAAGGGGAGGGGATCTTCCATGCCCTCCCTGGGGCATCCTCCAGGAACCTCCATGCATTCGTTTGTCTGGAAGCTCTCTGAACCCTGTGCTTTTGGGTTTTTATGGAAACTTCATTACTTAGGCATAATTGATTAAACCATTGGCTAATGGTGATCAACTCAACCTTCAGCACCTCTCTCCTCCCCAGAGACTGGGGGCTGAAAGTCCCAACTGTTTAATCCTGCCTTGGTCTGGTGACCAGTCTCATCCTGAAGCTACCTAGAGGATGCTAACCCTCAGCCAGCTCATTAGCATACAAAAGGACAACACTTTTGAAATGGTAAGGGTTTTAGGAGTTGTATGTCAGGAAACAGGTTGAAGACCAAATATGTATTTCACAGTATCACAGTTACAGCTGGAATTTCATAGCATTCCAGAGACCTGTCTTCTATGAATATCCAAACATTTAAATGTAGGTTTAATCTCCCTTCCATTATTCACAAGGGATGAATTTTGAAATATTTTAAATAAGGAATGAAAACAAAATGAAAAACACACTAAAAAACAGGGCTCAGACAAGTGGTTTTGTTTTTATTTTCATTTTTATTGCAGAATTTTCTCAAACATACACAAGAATAGAGAGACTGGTACAATGAACATCTACATACCCATCACTCAGCACACTAACAGTCATCCACTCTTGCCCATCTTATTTAATTTGCCATTTACTTTCTTTGGCTTTGCTTGTTTTGGGGGGTCCTGTAGTATTCTGAAGATCTTGCTGTTTTTACTTAAATATATATTGTGATCATTACGCATATAGATTTGCCTCATTAGTTTAGAGACATCGAATTTCCATTATATGGATATTCCATATTTTAATCAGTCTCCCTTTGATCAGCATTTAGATTGTTTCCAGATTCTTGACATTATAAGCCATGTCACCAGGCACATTCAGTTTTATACCATTATATTACCTTTTTTATTTTTTGAGACAGAGTCTCGCTTTGTCACCCAGGCTGGAGTGCAGTGGCGCAGTCTCGGCTCACTGCAACCTCCGCCTCCCGGGTTCACGCGATTCTCCTGCTTCTGCCCCCTGAGTAGCTGGGACTGCCGGTGCCTGCCACCACGCCTGGCTAATTTTTGTATTTTTAGTAGAGATGGGGTTTCACCGTGTTAGCCAGGATGGTCTCAATCTCCTGACCTCGTGATCAGCCCACCTGGGCCTCCTAAAGTGCTGGAATTACAGGTGTGAGCCACTGCACCTGGCCTATACCATTATATTACTATTTGAGGTGTCCATTCTCCTGCCTGGGCTTTCAGCCATCTGGTAGAATTAGCATTTCTCGCCAATACCTACAAGTTCTAGTAAAGGCTCATATAATCCATTTTCATTCATTTTGATAGGTCTAAATGGTTGTGTTCTTGTCTTTAATTCAGAAAATGTTTATCGAGCATATACTATAAGCTGGATATCCCTGTAGGCTCTGGAGATGTGAGAGTGACTGGGATATAAACTGTGTTCAAGGAACACCTAGTTCAGTGGAGAAAAGATTGCATTGCATTTTGCCTCTTTTCCTCCTTTACCTGTGTTGTATCAGCTAGGATTAAATTTAGTTGTGAGTGGCAGAAAATCCAATAGCTGCCTTAAACCAGTTCACTACAAAAATCCTCAATAACTTTAGCTACTTTTGGAGTTTGCGAATATCCAATATATTCTTTTGAAAACCTGCCAATAAAGGAGAAAATATTCAACATTTGTGTTGCCTTTCTCATAAACTGCAAGGAAATCAAACAGTTGATGAGAAGTGTCTCCTTTAGAGGTGTTCCAAATAAAAAATGAAAAAGAAATGATAGCTTGAGAATATTACCAATCTGCAACTGTTAATTAAATAGTGTTTCTAGTCAATAAATCATTAATAGCTGCTAACACCGCAAAAGGAGAGACAACCCTGTATTCTGTACCTCCAAATATTTACACCATCATTTATGGAAAGCAAACCTAGAGCTGATCAAGGCTCTAGATATGACAGCTGCTTTATAGGGGGTAGAGGCGCTTGCTAAAGGACACTATGAAGATGTAATCGGTTCAGTCCAGACCATGGGAAACTCAGTTCCTTCTGCAGATAAGGACACATTATTGGAGAGGGAGGGGCAAACTGTACAGGCAAAGAGACTTAAGAAGTTTATAGACCAATTTGCATCGAAGTTTGGTTTGTCAAGACCTCTCGTGGCCTTTGTGTTCCTCAGAGCATCCTCTGTGCTTTGGCTTCTGAGGCCAATTGCCTGTTCGTTTCCTACCTCCTTTTGCGTTCCTGAGAGATAATTGGATTGGCCCAGGTCCTCTTTTTTGTTCTAGGCTGTAGGTCAGAGGTCAGCCGGTGGACTACCTGGTTTGATCATATGTCCTCCTTTGACTTACTCAGCTGGAGGTAAAGGGCCAAGGGGACCTCATGAGGAAGGGGTGATGTGTGCAGCTGCTCAACACCCTGAAAGGCAATTTGGGGACCAAGAGGGAGAGTTAATAAACTGACCTAACGCATTGAGTTTTTTCTGTGTTTTTTTATTTTTTCATATAAAACTTGAGCGTGGAGGCCAAAGGGATACACCTGAGTCCATTTGGCCAGTTATTTGGGGTTCTGGGGCAAAAGGAAGAGCAGCCAATGTAAGTTGGGTAGGGGTGGGGGCTCTGGGCAGGCTCACCATGGATTTCAGGGGGATTCTCAGGTGGGGAGAGCTGCCTCGTGGCCCCTTCTTAGTGGTGTACGTTCTGGAATTTGCACTTTGATTTTTCTACTTATGAATTGTGTATCCGTGGGCAACTTACTGAACTGTGTGCCTCAGTTTCATCACTTTGTAAAATGGGGATTAGAGTAGTGGAAACTGCCTCGAAGGTATTCCTGGGAGTTTTGAGCCCAGAATAAGCTAGTGTGTGAAGAGTTGAGAGCAGTACCTGGCATGGGGTGTGTGCATGGGTGACCTGGAGCCAACTCTGGAACCCCAGCTTTTTAATTCATTCTGCCTTGAATGAAGGGGCTGGCTGCACTTAGTACCTGCCTGTGGGGAGGTTACCAAGCAGCCCAGTGCTGAGGCCAGCAAGATACACTGAGGGACCCCAGAAGCACTGAGGTCAAGTCCCTGAGTCCCATGGGGCATCTCTGGGTTGGTCAGCACTGGGGTCACATTGCATGTTTGCTCAGCTTGCCCCTTCTCAGTGCCAGTAGAAGCCCATGGTGAGCCCAGATACAGGATCTGTTGACTCACGGGGAATTTGCTGCCCACAGAGGAGGGAGAAATGCACCTCCCCAAAGCCAACAATCAAAGGCCAGGCAAGCCCTGTGGGAGGAAAATAACTTGGGCTACAGATTTTCTTTTCTGGGCTTGGAGTCTTGCCATGGACAACACAGAAACAGACATGATTAGCATCATGGCTTCCGGAAACACTGTGAGTGCGCACTAGCAGGTGGTGGGCTGATGTCACTCTCAAATGGCTTTCTCGAGTCCGAGGGTCTGGCTCCCTGCCGGGCCCTGGCCCATTGCACATCAGCGCTAGGTATAAGCAGCTCAGAGAGTCACTTCAAGCTGCAGAAGACTTCTGGGGTGAGTCTTTGGAGGTTCTTGTGGAACCACAGGGGAGGTCCCCTGCTCATCCGCTACACTTCACACCTGGCCTGTGCACTCAAAGATGTCCACTGTCTTCCCCAGACTTGCTGGGAGAGAGAGCAGAACCTTGTCAGACTGGCCCACCCCAACTCCCCCCCATCCCCCTCACCTGTGCATTTCCCGTAGCATTTCCAGACGCCCAGGCTGTCCCGCACCTCCGTGACTTTGCTCAGATCCTTCCCTTGTCTAGAACTTGTTTGAAGAACTGAATGGAGATACTCAGGGCTCAGGGACACTGAGCCACAAAATAGGGGCCCATGGAAAGGTTGAAGGCATGGCTCCGCTGACACGGGAGCTCCAGAGCGAGAATGAATTCAGGGAGTTTAGGGCTGGAGTTGAAGAGGAACTAGAGCCTGGAGAGAGGGGAGGATAGAGAAAGGCTTTTTGAGAACCGCAGCAATGAGGGCTCTGCCTGAGGCTCTAGGTACTGACTCGTGGGCAGTGAGGAGAGGTAGATTTTTGTTGGGGATCCACTTGATGTATGTTTTCTTACAACTAAATGATAAAACTGAGGCTGAAACACAGGTGTTTTCTGCCTGGCCTTTTTCTAGAATGCACCTCTCTCTGAAGATTATAGAGAACTATGAAGAAAAGGAGATCGTGGGAAATATATGATTGAGTCAGTATGATTTGGAGGAAGCTCAAGTGCTTGCTGTGGTTGCAGAGAAGTGAGGGGACTTTACATTCCTGGCTGGACAGGTTGAACTCTGGGATTGGAGAGGTGGTGGGGGAGTGGAGAGGAGCAGAAGGAACAGACACAGGGAGAGACATTTCAAAGGATTGTCAACAGGGCATGATGATAACACAGGGAGAGCAAGTCCAGCCTGTCTCCTGGTGCTGCCCCGAGTTGATGACTGCAATTAAACTGCCAGACTTTACAGCCTGCTCTGCACTGTGTCCTCCTGGCATCTTGGGGACTTTTTCACGGTTGGGGCCACAGGGGAGGTTAGAAGCTGCTCGCTCTCTCCATTGCCAAGCACTGGCCGGTCAATGGAGTTGGGGAGAAGGAGGCTAATTCTCAACAGCCTGTTAGTGACAGCCATTCTCTCTCCAGCTTATCTAAAGAGGATTTTATTTCAGAAGAAGGCTGAGAGCTTGTTAGAAAGGCAAGTTCTTGGGCCCCACCCCACATATACTGAATCAGAGACCCTGGGAGTGGGACCCAGCAATCTGTCTTAATAGACCTTCTAGGAGATTCTGGCACTAAGGAAAGAGACCACAGGTCTTGTCTATCTCTGTAGTTGGCTGCGTCTGGGCCAGAGTAACTGCTTGTTGAAATGATCAGAGATCTCAAATGAGGTCATGCATGTTGGGGTGTGTGTGTGTGCATGTGTGTGTGTTGTGTATCTTTATGTGTGTATGTGTTTGGTCTAGGGTCCAGCACATAGTAGGTGTTCACTCTTGGGGGTGGGAATAATCACTCTAATGTCCGTGTTTGAGGACTGCATTGCTGGTGACCGCTGAGCCTGCAGAGGAGGAAGAGAGCAGGGCAGAAGATTCAGGAGGGGGTGCATGGCAACTTCTGATGTCACAGTGCCCCCCTTCACTCCTGACTTCTGGCTCATGGGTCACTTTGGGGCAGGGGCAAGAGGATGGTTAGCTGCAGCAAAGAGAGAGCCAAAGAGAAGTGGGATTGAGAGCACAGGGGACAGCTGGAGACAAAATATAAACGCCGGGCAGGGGAACAGCCAAGATAGTGCAGGAAGGATGGGGAATCACAGAAACTTCTCAGGTAACAGTCTGGGCCAGAACACTGGGTGTCCCCAGAGAGGGAAGTCGAGGGTGAAAGTGAAAAGGCTCACACTCAACTTCCAGGAGAAGGTCAGGTCCTTCATCAAAGAATAATCCTGCCATTAAAGGGTCCCCAGAGTCCCCAGCATTACTTCCCTTAAGTGGATCCCAATCCTGGTCACCCAATCCCCTCAGGACTTTGTAAAACGTACTGATGCCCAACCCTTGCCAACAAGCTCGTCCCATTCCTAGGATTCTGATTTACTTTGTCTGCAGAGGGCTTGAGCTCAGGTATGTCTATAATGACAGCCAGGTGATTCTATTGTACACTCAGGGCTGACCACTCTACTTAAGCAAAACACACACACACAAAATATACCCCCGTTCCCCCCCATCCCCTGGGGGTGATGGGTTGGGGATGAGGGTGATGATGTTCCCACAGATGCATTACCTCTCCACAGAGCTCAGGACCAAAGGAATGTTTAGCCAGAACTGGTAAATACCTTTAAAAAATTATTAAGCACCTATAGAAACCTATAGGGACAAAGGTGACTAAGAGGATTTTTACAAAACAATAATAATCAAGTCACTTATTTAAAAATAATTAATCATGCTTGTAATCCCACCACTTAAGGAGGCTGAGGCAGGAGGATTGTTTGAGGCCGAGAACTCAAGACCAGCCTAGGCAACATAGCAAGACCCCGTTTCTACAAAAATAAAAATAAAAATAAATTAGCTGGGCATTGGTGTGCACCTGTAGTCCCAGCTACTCTGGAGGCTGAGGCAGGAGGGCCCCTTGAGTCCAGGTGTGTGTCTGTATTGAGTGTGTGTCTGTGTGAGCCCAGGAGTTTGAGGCTGCAGTGAGCCATGATCGTGCCACTGCACTCCAGCCTGGGTGTCAGTGAGACTGTCTCTATAAAAGTAAAAATTAAAAAAAGTAATTTAGAACAAGGAATAAAAGACACCAGTGAATGAAACAAAAAATTAGTAAGAAACCTTGCGATCCATGAATGCACCTTGGTGTAGATAGGGGTGGGGAGAAGAGAACAGAAGAGACTCGTTTCTGCAGATGAGGCAGCCCTTCCCTTCTCCCCATCTGGGTGGAAGCTGGCCCAGCGCCCAGGCTCCCACCCCAGGCAGTGTTTCTGGAGGCCTGAGCCCGAAGCCCACTGTTTGTGCTGGAAGCTCTTGCTTTACACTTGTTTGAGCTACATTGAGTCAGTATGAGAGAGGCAGATAGGTGACGCAGGTTAAGAACATGGGCAGCCGAGTCCCTGGGTTCAAATCCAGACTCTGTCACTTGTCAGTTCACCCACTGGCCTGGGTCAGGGAGCTGACCTGGGTCCCAGGTCGCAGGCTTCCTCCAGGCTTCCTGGTAGGCTCTGCCCTCCCTCCCCCTCCCTTTCCCTCCCTCTCCCTCCCTTTCTCTCCCTCCTTCAGGGATGTCTTCTAAGTGCTTACCACTTGTGCAGGGCACAAAGAGGGTTTCCCCACCAGCTGTAGAATGCTCAGGCCCTGTAACAACTGGATCTGCCCCCAGGTGCAGCAACTCTAGGATCCTCTGTTGCCCTCCTGCTGCTACCACCCTCAGGGGTCTGGAGTCCTCACGATGCGCGCTGCATGTCCTCCCCACGGTGGATGGCCAGGCTCCCTCCCCCTCTTCCCTGACCACAGCAAGAGCCCCTTGGCTGCCATATTGGAAGGCGTTAGCATGCGTGTCTGTGCATGTGTAGGCATATGTGTCTCCGTGTTTGTGATATGACTGTGTGTTTGTGTGTTTTGTGTGTTGTGTGTATCTTTGTGCGTGTGTGTCTGTGTTGTATGAATGTCTTGGTGTGTATCTCTGTGCTGGTGTATGTGTGTCTGTGTGTTGGTGTGTGTGTTTGTACCTAAGTGTCTTTGTTGTGTGTGTTTGTGTTGGTGTGTCTGGTATTGGTGTGGGTCTGTGTTGTGTGTGTCTGTGTTTGTATGTCTGGTGTTGATGTGTATCTCCGTTATGTGTGTCTGTGTGTTGGTGTGTCTGGTACTGGTGTATGTCTGTGTTGGTGTGTGTTGTGTGTGTGTGTTGGTGTGTGTGTTATGTGTGTCTGTGTTGGTGTGTCTGGTGTTGGTATGTGTCTGTGTTGTGCATGTCTGTGTTGTGTGTGTCTGTGTGTTGGTGTGTCTGGTGTTGGTGTGTGTTTGTGTTGGTGTGTGTGTTGTGTGTGTTGGTGTGTGTCTGTTGTGTGTGTCTGTGTGTTGGTGTGTGTCTGTTGGTGTGTCTGTGTTGGTATGTGTGTTGTGTGTCTGTGTGTTGGTGTGTGTGTGTTGGTGTGTCTGTGTTTGTATCTGTGTGTTGGTGTGTCTGTGTGTTGGTGTGTGTCTGTGTTGTGTGTGTCTGTATTGGTGTGTGTCTGTGTTGGTGTGTGTCTGTGTTATGTGTGTCTGTGTGTTGGTGTGTGTCTGTGTTGTGTGTGTCTGTATTGCGTGTGTCTGTGTGTTGGTGTGTCTGTTGGTGTGTGTGTCTGTGTGTTGGTGTGTGTGTGTGTTGCACCCACTTGCACTTTCTTGAACCCTGCTTGATGTCTGTGCCTCTGTTCCCGTATCCCTGCTGGTTCCTTTCTGTGCTGGCTGTCAGCAGAGCTGCGAGTGTGGATGCCAGGCTGGAGTGAGTGAAAGAGCAACCGCTGGTATGGGCCATTCGCTGGGGGATTTTGGCAGAGAAAAGGAGCAAAATACAAGTAACGGAAGCTTGGGGGTCAATGGAAGAATTGTTTAGAGGAGGGGAGACTTGGCAAGGTTTGAAAGCAGAAGGGGAAGGGTGCATAAGGAGGGACATTTGGAAAAGTGCTGGAGAGGGGAGCAGAGGGAAGCTGCCAGGGAGGTGCACCAGCAGAGATTGGGGTGAGGGCACAGGAAAGGACACAGAAACCCCACCCCAGGACTTGTTACCCAGCTCTCAGATTGCTAATGCCCAGCATCTAGTGCTGCCTCTCAGGAATCAGCTCCAACTAGCAAGGGGTGGGAAGGGAAGAAGCGAGCTCGGAAAAGGCAGCCGCTGCTGCAGTGAGGGTGATATGTAATGCTCATGGACCCGTGCTAATCATTTCCTCCTTTGACTTGTGCCAGGGGCCAAGCCTAGGGCAGGTGCTGGTCTCTGCCTTTGACGGGCTCAAGGTCTATTTGGAGTATGGATGCATCAGCTCTCAAACCTGAAGGCTTGCCTGGCGTAGGGGTCTCCACATCTACCCATTGGCATCTCCATCCCCATCCCTGGCCCTATCCCCAAGCTCAGTGACACATCACCAGAGAAAAACGCGGCCAGAGAGGTTAATAAGTTACCCAAGGTCACACAGTTGGTCAGAAGCAAGACTCGAACCTAGCACTGCCTAATGCCAACATTCGAGGTCTGCCCCTCCATGCCATACTCCTAGAGGGCATTGGGTTCCTGGTCCCCGTGCTCTGTCTGACTTCTGACTCTGTTACTTGCTTGACCTTTGAATATCACTTTGCCGGCTCCTCTGCCCGCCTGACTTGGACCCTTGCTGATTTCACCCAGCTTGTTAGTCTCAGCTCAGACTTCCCCACCAGCTACTGATCCCTGGCCAGACCCCAGCCTTGTATCTTCCCTAGGACCTTCTGGGGCTCCCTCAGACCCCATTTCCTCAGGCCACCCACATCTCTGATGACAGACGGGCAGGCGGGAGGATGCTCAGAAGACGGTGTTAAGGAGGAGATACTTTAGGTTGGAATCAGCTAGCATAGCCTCTGGCACATGGCACAGTGGAGAGTGGAGAGCCCACCGCAGAGAGGGCAGCTGGGAGCAGCTTCATGGCTCACAGAGGGTGGAGCTGCATGGAATGTGCCGGGAAAGTCAACGAGGAAAATTTGGCCAAGTTACAGTGAGTGCCTAGCTGAAACCGGACACCAAGAATTTGTAGCAGGTCAGGCCTGCTGCCTGGGAAATAGTTGGCCTACTTTGCTTTTCAGTTTTCATTGTTTATTTCTAAAATAAATGTTTATTTTACCTTTGTATTTAAGGTTTTTAGGAACATGGGAAAGAATGATTTTGTTCTGGTTTTAGACACTTACTTTTGGCCTTAGAGAGACACGAGCCAACTTGCTAATTACAGCCTAAAAGTCAGTGTTTGATGGTGGAGTCTTTCTTTGATAGGTGCAGCTGCCTGGTGGCACATCTCCAGGCTTTGCGTTCTCCACCCCGGCCCAGTGATCCAAAATTTCAGCCCAACTCATAAAAACCCTAGCCCTCCCCTACCCACTTCCCCATTGTTTCCCAACACGCCTGATCTTCTCTCCTTACCCTGAATCCAGGGCTCTTGACTGATGCTGAAGAGAATGGCACACTCACACCCACACACGCATGCATAGCCCTGCAGTCATCTCGACAATCTTCATTTCCCTCCTTCTAGCAGTTTTTGTTCCATTCCTGTCCACCTCCTCCCACCCCCATCTCCTGCTCAACTATCTTAATATCTTTATCTTTAAAAAAACAAATTTGAAATATGAAGTGCTCAAAGCGAGGCATACAGCTTACATCTTGGTGATGTGTCTAAAGTGAACACTCAGTAACAGTCACCCATGACAAGAAATGCAACACTGCTAGCTTCTAGAAACCTCCCTCCTTCCTTCTCCCATCGATAACCCCTTTCTCTAATCCTCAGAGGTCACTACTCTCCTGAATTTATGGAAGTCACACACTTGCTTTACACTAAATGTATTTCTAAACCCTATATTTTGCCTGTTTTTGAACTTTATGTAAATCGACTCATGTTTACTCTTTTGTGCCTGGCTTCTTTCACTCAGCATTATGTTTGTGTGATTCATTCATGTGGCTGCAATAGGTGTAGCCTGTTCCTTTTCATTGCTGTATAGTATTCTTCTGAATGAATGCCCATATATATGGGCAATTCTGTCTGCAGTGTCCAGCTAAGGAACCCTCTGTTTCCCCATAGGACCCAGCCCCAAAGTAGGGTCCCTTCATGGTTTGACTTCTACTTTTCTTTAGAATCTTTTTTTTTTTTTTTTTTTTTTTTGAGATGGAGTCTCACTCTGTTGCCCAGGCTGGAGTGCAGTGGTGTGATCTCGGCTCACTGCAAGCTCTGCCTCCTGGGTTAACGCCATTCTCCTGACTCAGCCTCCCGAGTAGCTGGGACTACAGGTGCCCGCCACCACGGCTGGCTAATTTTTTGTATTTTTAGTAGAGACTGGGTTTCACCGTGTTAGTCAGGATGGTCTCGATCTCCTGACCTCGTGATCTGCCTGCCTCGGCCTCCCAAAGTGCTGGGATTACAGGCGTGACGACCACGCCCGGCCTAGAATCTTTTCTTGCTAGAGACCTCTCCCCTGACCCTTGAGCACCCTCTGTATTAGCCATTTCTGCAGTTCCCTAAGTGTGCTGTGCTCACCTGGCTTTTATGCAGCCTGGCCTCCTGCTACTAATTTTTTAAGGGACTCGAATCTGCTGTTTACTTCAGTCTCACCTTCGGCCAGTCTTTGTTTTATGCTTTATGCTTCAGCAATATTGAAATATATTTTAATTTTTAAGACTACATACTACTTTGTCCTTTTCCTCAAGTTTTTTCTGTTTTTCATCCCTTCAGTAATGCCTACTTATTATTCAAAATGAAACCTAGGTTCCAGCTCCTCCAAGAAGTACCTACTGATACCTTTTATCTGTAGCCTATATTTATATATAGCCTATATTCCTATCAAAGCAAATGGCGCACAGCATTGCACTGAGCCATACTGATGGTGATCTGTGGCAAGAAAATGGTCCAATCTGGTGGTTCTCAAAATGTGGTCCCTAGATGACACTGGTCTTCACCTGGAGACCTGTTAGAGATGCAGATTCCTGGTGCTTACTCCAGGTCTTACTCCAGAATTAGAAACTCTGGGCATGAGACCCAGGAGTCTGTGCTTTAAAAGGCTCTCTAGGTGATACTGGTACTAAGGAAGCAGACCACTGGTCTCATCCGTCACTGTAACTGGCAGGTCTGGTCCAGAATAAATGTTGAAATAAAATAAACTCAAGTCATCTACCCCAGGAAGTCTTCCCAGCATTCCTAGGCTGGGTGAGGAATCACTCCTGTCCTTGTGGCAGCCCGCATGCTGTAGCGGAACTGCAGAGGCCGACTTCCTTAAGGGCAGGGATTCTGCTGCCTTCGCCTTGCTATCCCTATGCCTGGCACAGAGCTCTGTATTATAGTTTTAGGTCCTGGGATATACATGACAGAAAAGACAGAACAGTTCCTTCCTTTCATGGAATTCAAGTTCTAAGAGGGCAGGCAGAAAATAAATCATAAACAAACAAATGTAAAATAATTTCAGATAGCAATAAGTGCTGTCGGGGAAACAGAACAAGGTGATGTGATAGATTTGGATTGAGTGGCTAGTTTAGAGTAGGAAGTTAGAAAAAGCCTTTCTGAGAAGGCAACATTGAGCTAAGATTTAAATGATCAAACACCAGCTATGTAAAAATCTGCGAAAGTCAATCTGGAGGGAGGGAATGGTTGGAGTTTGGTGAGTTTGAGGACTGACAGGAGGACACTGTGGCTGGAGGGTGGTTGGCGGTGGGGAAGGCGGGGGAGGGAGGGAGAGAGACAGAAACAGAGAGATCTAAGAGGTGGACAGAGGCAGCCATGGAAGGAGTTTGGATTTCATCCCAAGGGCTCTGAGGAAACCCTTGGAAAGGGATGTTTGTGTTGGGGAGTGGTGTGTACTGGTGCAGGTTTTAGAAAGATCACTCTGGCTGCTGTGTGGACAAAACAGATTACACAGGGGGCAAGTGTGGGAGCAGGGAGGCCAGTTTGGAGGCTGTGGGGGCAACCAGGCGGATATGGGGGCAGCACTGGGGCAACATGTTTGATCACGTGGAATTCTGCTTCCACTGTATTAGATGTGTGGCTTTCAGGAAGTCACTGAACATTTATATGCCTCAATTTTACCCTCTGTAAGAGGGAATAATCCAGCACTTAATGCACAGGTTTGCTGGGAAGGCTCAATGGGTTAATAAGTATAAAACATAAACACCTATAGTGTGAGTTATTTTTATATTATTATTAGCAGCAGTAGTAGTTGTCATAATTGTAGAATAAAGAGAACGAAGGATTTAAGACAATTACAGGTTGAGTTGACATGATTTGATAATAAATTGGATTTTGAAGATGAGGGAAAGAGGAAAAGAAGATTCCTAGTTTTTTGGCAACAGGTTCATTAGGGGTGCTGGTTAACAAACTGGAAGAAGGCCAGTGGGGAAGCAGGTTTTGAATGTGGTGGGAGAGAGAGGTGTCAGGAGCTGTTTGAATGAGGTAGGTTGAGGTACCTATAAACTATCTTTGAGGAGATGTCTGGCAGGGATTGGATATAAGAGCGTGCAGTTCAGGGAAGAGCCCATGGCTAGAAACACACTTTTGGGAGTTGGGGCACTGTGATGAGTTTGCAGATGAAGACGTGAAGGGTGCCTGGGACAGGGGCTCCCTCACCCTAAGTGGAGCAGAGGAGCAGGGGCCAGCATGGGGCCTGAGAAGAGAGGCCTATGAGGTGCTGGGACTCAGGAGAAAGGGGCCTGCTGGCTCCCTTGCCAACAGGTCAGATGAGATAAGCAGAAGAGGCAAAGGAGATCATTCCGTATGGCAGCATGGAAGTCATCTGCTGAGTGAATGAATGGAATTCTACCTCATTGGTTGGTGCATCTCTTTAGAAATGAACTCAGTAGAGGCTGGGCACGGTGGCTCATGCCTGTAATCCCAGCACTTTGGGAGGCCGAGGCGGGCGGATCACGAGGTCAGGAGATCGAGACCATCCTGGCTAACACAGTGAAACCCTGTCTCTACTAAAAATACAAAAAAAATTAGCCAGGCGTGGTGGCGGGTGCCTGTTGTCCCAGCTACTCAGGAGGCTGAGGCAGGAGAATGGCGTGAATCCAGGAGGCGGAGCTTGCAGGAAGCTGCGATCGCGCCACTGCACTCCAGCCTAGGTGACAGAGCGAGACTCTGTCTCACAAAAAAAAAAAAAAAAAAAAAGAAAAAAAAAGAAATCAACTCAATAGAGAAGCCTGGCTGTATACGTTCCTTGACACCTATCAAGAGTGAGAGAACAGTGTGGGGAGGGGCCTGAAGACAACAGTGCAAATGGCCTTCTCAGAGCCACCTTCAGAAAGGATGGCAGAGCCCCTGTTGGGGTGGGTGCTACAAGTCAAAAGAAGCTCCATTTGTCTTGTTGTTCATGAGTGGAGGGGAGGTTCCTGCCTCTTCTGCAAAAAAAGTTTTAGAAATCACCATGAAACAGTGGCCAAACTGAGGTAGAAAAAGTGTTCCTGAAACTGGAACCAAAAATTTCCAAATGACAGCACAGTTTGGCATAGCTGTTCTGAGTCTAGGAGCATAGGAGCCCTCACGCCATTTCTGTGACCTCCCCAAGGCAAATCATGAAAATTGCAGATTTTCTTTATTACCAAGTGAGGCAGTGACAGACCTGCTCAATGGTCCTTAAATTTTCATGAGCAACAGAATCCCCAGGAAGGCTTGTGAAAATAGATTGCTGGGCCCAGCCTGCAGAGCTTCTAGTTCAGTAGGCTAAGGTGGGATCCAATGAATTGCATTTCCAACAAACTCCCTGGTGTTGCTGCTGCTGGTGATGGTGATCCCAGAACCACCCCTTGACAGCCTCTGTCTGGATTATACAGGCTCCCCCACAGCAGGGACAGTATCCCTCCTGCTCACCTGGCTCAGTAGGAGGCCCTCAATAATTCAGATTAAATGAGTGGATTAATAAGCCTTCGGTGGTGTATCCCTCAGGGTTCAGGAATGGGTGAACACCGTGGCTGTCACGGGGATACAGGAGTGAAGGCCAGGATGAGACAGACTGTCATGCTGGACATTTAGTGGTTTGTTTCTTGGGCCTCTTCACAATGACCCGACTTGCCTCTGCTGCCGCCCAGCAGCCCCGCTACTGAGTAGGACTCTACTCAGAGCTTCTGGTGGCCAAGTGGTCATCTTTGGACTCTCTTCATTCTTCTCCTTGAACGTTCCTAATGTGAAGGTTCCCCCCTCCACTCTGACTGTGAGAAATCTTCCAACAATTCAGTTCAGGCCTGCATCTTCATGAATGGAATTTAGGTGGAATTTTAGGCAGAGGGACACAGTGACACAAAGGTGACACAGTGACACAGAAGTGATTTAAGGGGCAGTGTCTTTCCAAGATTCCTTATAGACCCCTGGGTAAAGCAAGTCCTTCCTCTCCACCCTCCAGAGCCAGAGGAAACAGGGTGGGACCCTGGCATATGGCTATTGAGAGATGGAATTCGTTAAGTCCCAGTAAAAGCGAAATGAATGTCGGTGGCCACATCCCATGCAGCACACACATCTTTTGGTTAGAAGGACTGTACCCTTGCCCTGCACACAGAGCCTTCTTTCTTCCTCAAGGAAAAGTGACTCTTTCACGGCCTGCTGGGAGGCAAAGGAAATGGAAAAGTCTCACAGCGTCCTGAGCCCCTCTCTGTTTCCTTCGGGCTTTCACAAGTTCAGCGGCCTTTGCACACAAGCTGGGTCCTGTGGGGGAACAGAGGGTTCTTTAGCTGGAGGCTGTGGACAACACTGCCCATGTTTCCCTGGGAGAGGAGAAGCCCCGTGCACTGACCTCCTAGCCTCGTCCCTGTCTTGGCAGCGTGTGGAGCATGTGGAGCCCCTCCTGGCCCTCCCTGTCTGTGGCCCCAAAAGCAAAGCAGCTCAGGGGGGCTTTTTTGAGAAGCTGCTGAGCTCAGACCCTGCTGGCTCCACATTCCTGGATGATGAGGGAGGGATTCCAGTGTTTACTTTGAACAATGTTTTCCTGTGTCTGAATTGACTGGGTGTTAAATTCTTCCAGATTTCTGGCTCCACGTTGCAGCTCCAACGGGACAGAAACAGGTTTACGGCAGTTGGCAAGAGAATGAAAGCAGGGCCCATCTGGGCACCTTCTGCGTCTAGAATATCCACTCTGTGGTTGCAAAGGCTGTTTAGCGCCCGCTCTGTGGGCTCCATGCCCAGGCAGGGTTTGTTGTGGTCTCAATTCACAGAGCTCTGCACTTGTGCCTTTCACATTTCCCACCCTAGAGGGCAAAAGTTAGCTTTTCTCTTTTGAAAACGCATCCGGGAATGAGAACAAGCTGAGTTTTTGGAAGGTCAGGGCTTGCAGTGTTTTCTTGGTGAGTACAAACCCAGAAGTCGGGCTCATAAGGAATTCATTTGGTGGGACATTAGGAAACTTCAGTACATTCCATTTCCTGGGGACTGCTGTGCCAAGAGGTTTCAGAGACATGCAGGAGGTTCGAGCTGGAAGGGAGACAGGGTGCAGCAGACCTCAATCCTCATTTTTACCCAGGAGGAAACCGAGGTACAGAGGCAAAGTAGCGCGAGGGCTGAGATGTTGGACTGGAAGGGCTCGTCCCTAGTGCATCTGGTTCGATCTCTTGGTGCTGAGCAGTGCGTAATCCCATCTCTGACCACACAACCTTGCAGAGGTTTAGGAAACATTCTCCTCTTTATTAAATGTTGGTAAATCAATGGCTTTAACAATGCAGAGAGCTTCAGAAAACAAACAGGATCGATTCCAAATTAAAGGCACTCTTTGGGTCCACCATGCACAATAGTTTCTGCGTTCTTGTGTTCTGGATTGGTGAGCAATTCAGGGAAAACTCCCATAGGACCCCATGATGACCAGGGCTCCACAGAGTCTTTGGTGGGGCGCCAGTCTCTAGGCAGGCAGCTGTCAGCCTCTGAATCAGAACAGCCCAAATCCAAGTCAGGCATGTGACAGGTGATGGCCTTAAAACTTACTCCATTCTAGACCCCGTGCTGTTGGATTCTGGAAACCTACTCCTGAGCCGTGTGTGTGTGTGTGTGTGTGTGTGTGTGTGTGTAAAGGAAGATTAGCGGCAATCTTCCTGGCTTCAGTGCCTAGGTGGAGTCCAAACAGTGTTTATGTAGTAGGGTTGAATAAAATAGTCCTATGACAGAACCTGACACTTTGATCTGGCTACTTTCACAAAGTCATTTTGGTGCCAAGAACATTTTTACTTAGTTTTCAAAAGAAACCATGAAAATGTCAGATCTCTATACCTCTCCAGTAATGTGTAAGGCAAGTACCCTAACTCCATCTCTGAGCCTTCCCCCCGTATCTTGCCCTACATCCATACCCCACCTGCAACCCCTCTAGTCATATTAGTATATCCACTGTGTCAAAATGACCTTGTCAAAATCTGCTTTGTTGGAAGGGCAGCTTCATTTTTGTAGTATGTTATAGGCCTAAATTCTTTACTTACATAGGTTCCCTTACTTTAGTAGAAATGGTGTCCTCTGGAGATGGAATGGGGAAGAAGGAATTATGCAGTGAAATTTCTCCCACTGCTGCCAGAGTAGAAGTCCTTCTCTGTCTCAGTTTTGTGGGTGAGATTTTTCCTTGATAGGTCTGCTAGGGGCTTTTTATTGGTTATCCCTTGGTGGGTAACAAAGCACTCCAAAGGTTAGTTGCTTTAAACAAATATTTGTTATCTCAGTTTCTGTGGGCCAGGAACCTGGGTATGCCTTAGCTGTCTGCCTCTGTCTCAGAGTCTCTCCATGAGGCTACAGTCATGATTTTGGCCAAGGATGTGGTCTCATCTGAAGGCTCAACAGGAGGAGAATCCACTTCCAAATTCACTCACATGGATATTGGCAAGATTAAGCTCCTCACAGGCTGTTGAACTAAAAACCCTAGTTTCTTGCTGCCTCTTGGCTGGAAAACTCCCTTAGTTCCTTGCCACATGGGCCTCTCCATAGGGCAGTTTGTAACATGGCAGCTGGCTTCCCTTAAGATGAACGAGAAAGAGAGTGTAAGAGAGTGCTCAAGATGGAAGCCAACTTTTTTTGTGACCTAATCTCAGAAGTGACATTCCATCACTTAGACCATATTCTGTTTATTAGAAGTGAGTCATTAGATGCAGTTCATACTCAGGGGAGGGGATTTCACAAGGATGTGAATACCAAGAGGTGAGATTATTGGAAGCCATCTTGCAGCCTGCCTAGGATAGGCCTTATGGGCCCAATTGCCATTCATCCTATTGGCTCTGTCACCTTTGCAGTTCTGTTAAGATGTGAGTTGTGAGGGGCAGAGGAAAACGATTTCCATGTTTACCCTTACTCCTCTTGGGAGGTAGATAGCTTTGTTGGCATAGCATCTAGAGACTTCTCAGGGGCAAAAAATTCTGAGTTTCTAAGCTATTAATTGTTACATTTACCCTCCACTCTCCCATCCCATCCCAGCTCCACTCCAAGGAAAGCAGATGAGCCCAAGACAGCATCCACACTTGTTTTCCTTTTCTCTGTGGTCCCTGTCATTCTCTGAACAACGTGACACTTTTGTTCTCTCTAGAGTTCATCTAGTCCTCACGTTGCATGCCATTGTTATCTAGTTTTCTTGTTTCCAGAATGAACCCCCAGTCATAAATCATAGAATAGAATGTATACCAATAGTTCAGGGTTCTTGGTGTTTACCAGAAAAGCTAACGGTTACAAAGCTCCTTATGGATCATGGAATACTTTTACTTACATCAATTGGATCATCATAACATACTATGGGGCAGGATGTTTCCCACCTTGGGGATGAGGAAACTGAGCTTCAGAAAGACTAAGGAACTTGCTCAAGATGGGACATACCGAGGTGAAGGTGGGTTTCAACGTGAGTTCTCCTACCTCCAAATTCTGTGCTCTACCCTACAGCCCCTTGATGCTGTTGGCAGATCTAAGTCTCCAGATTACTTCCAGTAGGAATCTGGCGAGACTTCTTGGCTCAGTTTTGCTCCTTAAGTCATTCTACACCAGGGCTGCAATGATCTGAGAAGAGAAATAGAACTCAGCTGGGACAAGGGATGTCAAAGCTGGGGTGAGGGAGAGCGGACATGGCTGGTGACTTAGGGAGTTACACAGGAGTGTGCCTGTATGTGTATGCATGTGCCTGTGTGTGTACACATTCATGCAAGCATGTGTGTGTGGCTCGTAGACTCTTTCTCATGCCAGTGACTATACGGATGTTCTGCTCAGGGCTGTGTATATATGTGCACCTGTGTGTATTGCTGCCTGTTGGCTGGAAACATCCCTCGGTTAACATGTGTATGTATGTGGCTGCAGGTGGGCCTAGATGCCTGGGACCCACCTGGGCTGGGGGATGAGCTCTACAGAGTGCCTTTTGGTGAGCAGATGGTATAAACAGGACTCTTGGGATGTGAAAAGTAGTGTGGCTGGGGAGGGATGGGTGAGATGTAGGGACAGCACTGTGGCAGCAGTTGTGTTGAAGGGTCCCCTGAGCATGTCTTCTGACCTCCCATGACTTCAGTCCCTTCCCTGATCTTCAACGTAGTGACTCAGTTTTGGCAAGATGTGTCTTGGTACTAATTTCTCCAGCCTGAACATTGGACTGCATTGTTTTGGCATTGCAGCAGACATTGCCATCCTGCATATTAATGATGATAACAGTCCAGCCAATAGGCTCTTACCATGTGCCTGTGCCCTGTGCCCTCTGCCCAGTGCTGTATATGAATTATCTCATGAAATCCTCATGGCACTCCAAGGATAGTTTCTCTTACTGCCTCTGTTTTACAGATAAGAACACGGAGGCTTCTGAATTTTAACTGTCTTGTTCCTTGTTCCTGGTCACGCAGCTAAGTCACTGACCTGTCTTGAACTCGTGCTCTGAATTCCATGCTACACTTTCCCCAAAACAATTGTTTAATACGCAGTTTTACTGTTTTGGGAACTTTGGTGAATTCTCCTATCAATTGCCGTCTTCAGATACTGAAATCCATACACAATAATATTGCAGAACCTCACTAGAACAGTAAAGAGAGGGTGGTTTTTCTGCAATGCTGCACGAGGGTGGTTTTTAAAGGCCAGGCCTTTGTTGGGGAGAGGATGCCACAGAACACGCTCCATGAAGGGCCCGTTCCCGGATTTTAAAAGTATTTGACACATCCCTCCACCATGCCAAGAAGACACATTAAAACCCTTTTTGTTTAATTGGATTTCTGACTCAACAAAAACTTCTTTTGTCAGAACTTCAGGATTTCCTGGCATGTTACCCACACATATTTTCTATGTGGATAGTTATGTTTCATTGTATACTATTGGGGTATCTTTGTGCCTAGAAAGACTCATTTGAAATGAATAATTAAAGGTTTCTGCCCAATTTCAAGAGGCCTCTTTTGTGACGTCTGGGGAATGGACAATTGCTATTTAATTTTTAATTATAGGCAACAATTTTTTATGTATTTAAGTGTCAATTCTCCCTCCACTCCCAAATCATTCATCTTAGTTACATTATATTAAAATGTTGCCAGTTAACCTTCCTCATTCTGTGTTTCTCAGGAACCCAGTGAAATGAGCTGCACCAGGAACTTTAAGAGAGAGTTTTCAGCTGGGAGAAGAGGAAGGCAAGATATCAGAACAAGTTAAGCAAATCTGGCCTTGGGTTTTGACCACAGTCTATCCTTCCAGTGGGCCAAGAGTTGCTTGGAATGTAAGGATTTCACTTCTGAGCCTTAAAAACACAATTTAAGGAGAGAGAGGGAGAGAGAGAAAGAGAAAGAGAAAGAGAGAGAGACACATCCCAACTAAATAACACATAATGGGATAGACGGCCTTGATAGATAAGGTTCAGATAAGATACTTGGGAGCAGAGAGGAGGGCCTGTCTATTTCACCTAGAGGCCTGGGCCAGCCTCTCAAAAGAAGTATCACTGGAGCCGTCCTGGAAGGGAAGGAGATATGAAGGGTGTATAGAGGAGGGGCCATGTGTGTGAATTTATAATCATTATGAGGGAGGCAACTCCATGCATTTGAAAGAGCAGCTAACATCCGTTAACAACATACAGAAGATATCCCTGGAGCCATATTTGGCGGTGATGACACCTGGCCCTGGTAAAAGCACATATTGGACAAGGTGAGACTAGAAATGGAGTTTCGAAGGGAAAGCAGAGTAGAGCTTGAGTTAGAATTTGGTACATTTAGGTCCCATGGACTTTTTCATGTTAGACAAGGTTTCATTTCTTCTTTCAACAAAGTGTGAATCCTGGACTGTCACGGGTCCATGTGCTTGAATTCTTGCTCCTTAACAGGCAACTGCAATGCTGCACTCAATCTTCACAATAAACCTACTGGGACATGTATCATTCCCATTTTATGGATGGGGGAAAACTTTAAGGCTCAGAGAGAGATAGGGCAAGGGATTTGCCCACTTAAAAGCAGTAAAGAGCAGTGCTAGGATTTGAACCCAGGCCTTTCCCTTAATCCTATTTGTTTGTCATATTTTTCAGGATAACGTCCCACCTTTTGCCATTTTACCTTCTCTAGTAGTGGCTACTGCCAAGTGAGCCAGTCTGTGTTTTTCATTTGTGTCCCATACAAGTGTGCAGCTGCTGGATATTTGGATTTCCAGCGATCCCTGGGGATTCCAGGAGAAGTTGCTTATGGCAATTGCAGTAACGTCCATTTATCTGATGATTTTGACCCAAGAGCCTGGGGACAGAGCAATGAATGTGATGGATGAGATCATCGCTGTCATGTGGCTTATAGTCTAGTTGGTTAAGAGAAAATAAATGAGTAAATCATAAGAAATGTCAGGCAGGGATAGTGTTAGACAGAGTATTAAAATAGGAGATGTGATAGTGACTGGTGGTGATGTTACATAGTCAGGGAAGGCTGAGGAGTTGACATTTAGGCTGAATCCTGACTTCTAAGCAGGAACAACCCATGTGAAGATCAGGGACACATGCATCCCAGGCAGAGGCAGTAGCTGGGGAAGGACCCTGAGGTGGGAACAAGCTTGATGTTTTTAAAGAAGAGAGGCAAGGCCAGTGTGGCCGGGCACAGTGGGTGATGTGGGGAGCTGCTCTGGCCAAGGCTTGTGGGGAGGCAGGGGCCAGATCAAAGAGGATTTGCAGGCCAACATAAGGAACTGGCATTGGCTTCTAAATGGAGGGGGGAATGTTAGGCAGGGGGATGATTTAATCTGATCATGTTTAAAAATAATCACTCTGGGTCCTCTTTGGAGAAGGAGTTGTAGGGTGTGTTAGTCCATTTTCATACTGCTATGAAGAAATACCCGAGACTGGGTAATTTATAAAGGAAAGAGGTTTAATGGATTCACAGTTCCACATGGCTGGGGAGGTCTCCACATTCATGGCGGAAGGTGAAGGAGAAGCAAAGCACGTCTTACATGGCAGCAGGCAAGACAGCATGTGCAGGGGAACTGCCCTTTATAAAACCATCAGATCTTGTAAGACTTATTCACTATCATAAGAACAGCACGGGAAAAACCCACCCCCATGATTCAGTTACCTCCCACCAGGTCCCTCCCACAACACGTGGGGATTATGGGAGCTACGATTCAAGTTGAGATTTGGGTGGGGACATAGCCAAATCATATCATAGGGGAACAAGAGTGGAAGCAGGGAGACCAGTAGCAGGTGTTCAGTAGTTCAGTTAGTAGATGTTGATGTCTTAGAGGAGGCTGGTGGTGTAGAGAAGTTAAATCATGCTGGGTTTGGGGAGGATAATGGGCTGGAGATATTGAATGAAGAAGAAAGAGATGTTAGATGTTTGAACTGGGCAATTCGATGAATGATGATGCCTCTTTCTGAGATGGAAGAGACCAGAGAGGAACATTTTATGGAGTAAGGTCAAGAGTTTGTTTGAACCATGAAAAGTTTGAGAGGTTATTAGATATACAAATAAAGATGTAGTATATTGGCAGTTGGATATATGTATTTGGACTTTGGGAAAGAAGTCAGTCTAGTTAGATGTGGCAAATTGATGAGATGTAGAGCCACAAAACTGATTGCCATCACTTTGGGGATGTGTGGAAATAAAAAAAAAAAAAGAAGGGAACTAGAAATCCTCAATGGAGACAGAAGGAGCTTGCTGAGTGATGGTGGGATTCCACTCCTGTGGCATCATGGAAACCAGGTGGGAGAACATTTCAAGAATGTGAGAGTGAGTGCTCAACTCTATCCATGACCATTGCATTTTGGAAGGTGGAGGGTGAGAGGCCTGAGCTGCAAGTGGAGAGGTGTTCTTTGACAGGAATACAGATGCCTCATTCATAGTAGTGGGAAGGAAGGCATAGTGCAGGGGAGCTTATGGTGGAGAGTTGGTACGAGTGATGGTGGGAGATGAGGGAGTTCTTGATGGATTCTTGGATTTTTCTCAAAGCCGGGCAAGACAAAGACAACCTACAATGGAAGGAGAAGGAGGTGAAGAGGAGGTTTGAAATAGTTGCTTGGTGGGAATATAAAATATTTAACTTCTATTGAAAAAAGTATGAAAATTTCTTAAAGAACTAAACATAGAACTACCATTGGACACAACAGTTCCACTACTGGGAATCTACCTGAAGGAATATAAATCATTTTATCAAAAAGACACCTGCACTCATATGTTTATCCCAGCACTATTCATAATAGCAGTCATGGAATCAACCTAAGTGTCCACCAATGGTTGACTGGATAAGAAAAATGTGGCATATATATGCCATGGAATACTATGCAGCCATGAGAAAGAATGAAAGACTGTCCTTTGCAGCAATATAGATGGAGCTGGAAGCCATTATTCTAAGTAAACTAACCCAGAAGCAGAAAATAAAATATCACATGTTCTCACTTATGACTGGGAGGTAAACGATGTGTACACATGGACATAAAGGTGAAGATAACAGACACTGTGGACTCCAAAAGGGAGGAGGATGAGAGGAGGGTGAGGGTGGAACAATTACCTGTTGGGTACAAAGTTCAATATTTTGGGTGATGGGTTCACCAGGATCCCAAGCCCACCATGACACGATATACCCACGTAACAAACAGGCACACGGACCCTTGAATCTAAAATAAATATAATATTAAAAAAAGAAAGAGTTGCTTGGGGAGTGGAAAAGTGAAAAGAGTAGGAAGGGAGAAGTGTTGGTTGGACTACCTCTGTTGATTGACTTGGAGATAGAGGAGCAAGTGTGTGGAATTATAAAGAAAAGGATTCTGCAGCTAGACTGCCTGAGGGCAAATCCTGTTTTTTGTCACCTAATTGTTGTGTGACCTTGGACAGGCTGCTTAATGTCCCTACAGGCTCCAGTTTACTTGCCTGTGAAATGGGGTTAATACAATAGTACCTAATGCATATGGGTTTTGTTAGGATTTAATTAGTCACTATAGGTAATACACTTAGCGTGTGCCCTGGTCACACCACACGGCATAGAAATGTTAGCTGTTACTCCACGTGGGACCAATCGGCACAGTGGCGTTTTCCTCTCACCAAGTTTAGTTGCTGAGATGACAGCACCCAAAAGAGCCCCACAGGTGGATTGAACTGGTATTAAGGCTTTGCCATGCAAATATGTGTGAAATAAGAGTGAGATGCTTGCAGCTTAGATTTTGGATGTAGCATCGTTATTGGGGATGATAAGAACAGTGGCCTGATCACAGAGGCACGGGTGGTGGAGACTGAGAGGAAGACCTGGTGATTGGAAATGAGCAGGTCAAGGACTGCTGGGCTGGAGGTCTGCACAGATCATTCAGGAGACAATGAAGAAGCCACGGTGATGACAGGGAACAGCGCAAAGGAGGACAGTGTGCCTGGGGCTCAAGTTGTCAGGGACTGAGGGGCAGAGGACAGCGCTCAGGAGCTGGCAGCAACCGGGCAGGTGAGGTGGTGGTGTAGCCTGGGGGCACAAGCTTCAGAGGAGGAGGAAGGAAGGAAAATGGTTTGAGGATGGCAGTAGTGGGGAAGGAAAGTGACTGCCTCCAGGCTCCGGAACAACCTTTCCTTGAGAGGCCTGCAAAGGCCCAGGAGAGAGAGCGCGTCTCCTGATGATGACCTGACAAAGTTCTCTTGGCAGAAAGTCCCAGGGGTGTCTGCGGCAGAAGGGAGAGAGGGTGTGTGTCTCCACATTTCAGCTTCTTACCCTCAGCTTTTCAGATTTTGAATGCAAGGTCATCAGTTTACGTGAGGCCTGAAGTAAAGCCCTACACCTTTTGCTTTCTGGCAATTTCTCAATGTAATTGTGACACACACTATTTATAATACAGTCACTTTCACCTTCCTCTGAGAGCACATGAGTGATTCCCTTCCTGGAAGGGTTAGGAAAGTGTTTTCTGCATGGTCATGCTATGGGCTGGGATATTTGGAGGATGTGCAGTTCCTTAGAAGTGGAGACTGGGGCTTCTTCTAGGTAAAATCTCAAATGCAAGTCACCTTCTTCAAAACAACACTGGCCTGGATTCCTAGTGCTTTGAGCGTTTGAAAAGGGGTGGCTTGGCCCATTGATTGAGCGCAGTCCTGGGAAATGCCGGGCTGTTTCCCTGAAGTGTTCTCCAGGTTCACAATGTCCCTATTGTTTCAACGGAGCAGGACTTCCTTTTTCTGATTGATTAGATATTATGAGGCAACACATTTTAATAGTCACACTGCTCAGGAGCTGTCAGGCAGAGAGAGGGTCTCTGAGCACAAATTGCTTAAAGCCTTTCATGTTTGCTTTCCTGAATATGAGTTTGTAGGGCTATTTCTTGCTGCTTGTTTCTCCGTATCTTTCTTACTTGTCCAGTCTGCCAGTGTACAAGCCTACCCCAAAAATGTCCATGGAAGAAAAAGGTTGAAAAGCTCTCCTCTGATTATGCCTGCTTGGCTAGTTCTGGAAATTCTATTTTTAAATTTGGAACTTGATCTGTAGATAATAGATCAATAGATAATGACCACATGTGTTTTATGCTTAATGGGCCTTCCAATGTCATCTTAAAGTGGGAATTTAATATTTGTAATTGAATATTCCTTGGATAAATATAAAATTCAGATTCATGGTTGTACCTGATAAGTATACAGTGCCTAATGCTTCTTCCCGCAGTGAATTTATAAAGTGTTTCTTCAGCCAATTCAGCATTATAATTCACATGCAGAAAACACACTGTTTGGAAACTGCCTATATTATCTGCATGCTGGAAGAAGAACATGGATCCCGAGTGGGGAAGCACTTCACTCAGGATTTGGAAGCAATGAGGCTGGCATTTAAACCATGCCCACTGCCCATCATTTCCTTTGCCCTTTGAGATCCAGCATAACCATTTTCTCTTCTTGAACCTCCTTCTTGACACTCCTCCCCACCCAGGTTGAATTAGGAAACTGGTGGTCTGTCTTCCTCATGGGGCTGTGAGCTCCTTGAACCAAGACTCAGTGCCTGCCTGATGTATGAGATGCTTAGTCAGTACCTGACTGCAGAGTGGTTGATGGAACATGTATTGTCCTATGTACTGGGAGGCCTCTGCTTTTGTTTCTCGTAACACAGATAGCAATGATTAGTCTGGATTTATCAGCACGGGAAACCTGGATTGCGGACCCTTGACATTGAGAAGGGTAGATCCCAAAGTAAGAGGCAAATGTGGAAAATCCACAGTGGGTCCTGGGTGAGTGCAGGACCTGTCCCTCTTAGAAGAGTAATGTTTGGAGCTCAGGATAGGTTTTTTGAATGTGTGCATGTGTGCATGAATGAATATGTTGAATGGCCATAGGTACTTGAACTGCGTTTTCACCATTGGAAAATAAAATGCCCTCAACGTACACATATAATCGTTACAGAAAATAAAGTATAGAAGCATTATCAAGAAGCAACATATCCCCTCCTTCCCATCATAAGTGATGAATCAGTAATGCCAAGTCTGTGTTAGAAGATGAGCAATTCTGATCAGACTCCCACCTCCCCACCCTGATGTGGTTAGAGACAGCTGATCCACCAGAAAGAGGCACGGTCTGTATAAGAACATGCTAACACTACCAAATGGCCCACTGTATGCAACGTGACTTTTTAAAGATAGTGCGGTAATGGACTTGTTTCTCTCCTTTGTGTGTGTGTTCGTTTCTGGGGAGAGGCGCTAGAGAGGAAGACGTGTCCAGCAAATTATTGCATAGGGAGAGGGAGAGAGATGCCTTCTTTCCCGAAAGACCAATTCGCCCCTCCCCACTCCCATTGCCCTTTGCCTTAACATTTCTACGATTCCCAAGGGTCCCCAGTGTCTGTGTCACTAAAGGCACAAGAAATGGTCATCTTCTTGTGTGCACCCCGCAGAACCCATTTGTTAGAGGTGGGGCAATGGTGACAGTTTCCATGGGATAGGGGCGGGGTAAAGAAGTGGAGAGAGTCAGAAGGGGGCGCCACTGAGAATCCGTAGGTGTGCACTCGGTGCTTCCCAGCGTTTCTGTTTGAAGTTCAGGGAGTCAGCACATGTGCTGGTCCTGTGAGATGGGCAGTTTTGTGGGTCTCTTGTCGGCCCATTCGGGTGGAGATCAGCATGGAAACCGCAAGTTCTGCTAAGTGGATCCTTGCTCAGGAGCATCTTTCCAGATCTCAGAGATAAGCTTTTCAAGACACTTCTGGCTTTAGTGGTAGCTTCCTCTTTAGCCAAACATAAATGAGGAGTGGCTAGAGGGAAGGAAAAAAAGAAAAAAGCAGAGGGCAGGGAGGAGATGGAAGGTCAAAGAGGATAAAATGCAGAGGTGAAATGAGGGTTTGCATCAGGCTCCTGTTTGAGAAAATGTGATTCTCCTTCTGGGGCCAGGCAAGACACTTAGGGATGGCTCAGGAAGAAAAGTGGGAGGTGAGACAAACAAAAGAAGCCTTGCAGATTGGAGCAGAGAAGAGAAGAAAGAGGCTGAACAGAGTGAACACAGGTCTTGTTTCCAGTGGAGCTTTTTCTTCTGCATAGGGACAGTTTTGGGGACTCTGCAGCTGATTTCAGGGAAGGTGATTCATTGAAGACCCTGTTATACCCTGAGCAAGTTCATCATTCTATCCTCTTACTCCATAACATTCTCTGAGGCTTGCAATTCCAAAACAAGGGCAGGAGAAGAACATTTTTTCACTGGTTGCTAGTTCCATGAGATGACCCACGCATTAAATGAATGAATGAATGAGTGATTCCTTGGTCAAATGAGATTAGGGGATGCTGCATATTCAGTCTTCCTTTTGGAGAATTACAGAACAAGTTAACATATATCAGACTCTGAAAATCCTGCTCCAAAGGAATTTTTTTAACATGGCATTTTTTTTCTAACTTAGTTGACTGAGGACAGGCCTGAAATCTTGCAGATTTAGAAGATGTGGCGACTCCTGGGTTGAACAATCTGTATGGCTTTATAGGGCAGCTTTTGCCATGGGCCCCTTCTTTTTCTTTAAGTAATACCTATTAACATCTTGAGGAGAGATTCTTGCATTCTGTGGGACACAGTTTAGGAAACACTAGATTGAGATAATAATCCACTCATCATGACTATGTAAATGGAACTACTTTCACAGCCTTAGTAGGGCAAAAAGTCTGAGTGGGGTCGATTTGTGCCAGAGCACTAATCCATCAATCCTGCCTGGAACCCGTAAAATCCTTTTGCAAGATGGTTTCCTGAGATAAGGATGCAGCTTGCGGCCAGAGAGGGTGAGATCATTAGATTTGCATGAGAGTCCCATGGCGGCCACAGTTTCCTTAGCTCTGTACTTTAAAGCCACTGCTTCTTCTTTGATCTAAGTCAATTTTGGTATTGGCAGGTGGTGGTTGTGGAAATACTTCATGGCCCTTTTAAATGTTTAAAGGCCCTTGAGATGCAGTGCTGACTATAATCAGGGATTCTTGAGTGAAAGCATGTGTCTTAGGACTGGAAAGGGACTAAAAAGATCTTCTGGACCTCTCTCTCTCTCTCTCTCTCTCTCTCTCTCTGCGCTTGGCTAATTTTTATATTTTTAGTAGAGACGGGGTTTCGTCATGCTGGCCAGACTGGCCTCGAACTCCTGGCCTCAAGTGATCCACTCACCTTGGCCTCCTAAAGTGCTGGGATTACAGTGTGAGCCACCGCGCCCGGTTCTTTTTCTGTTTCTAAGTAGTTAATAATAATATTTTATAAATCTTCAATTTGTTTTTGTTTTAGATTCTAGAACAGCAGTTCCCAAATTTTGCTGCACAGAGAAATTGTCTGGGACACTTTTAATTCCAGTGCCTGTACTGCATCCCATTCCAATCAAATCACGATGTTGGGAGTGGGCACCTACATTTGTATTTTTCCAAGATCCCTAGTAATTCCAATGTGCTGCAAAGTTTGGGGACCACTGGGTTTAGAAGCATTTTAATTTCCAGACATTTTTTTTCCAAATCAATAGGTCTTTTATTGCATCTTTTAAATATCACAAGTAGGTCTTAGGAATCATCCGGCATCTTGTTTCTGTAGCTGGACATCTCTTAGATCTTATTCATCGGCCTGCTGAACAGTTCCTTTTTCAGAGACATATATACCATCCAAAAATTTCCTGATTGCCTTGTTTTTAACTGTTGTGGCTTGCTGAATCAAAGTCGCTGAATTTGAAACAAGCTCAATGTTGTTTCCTTCATCTTTCTGGGTTTGAGATACTGAACAGGCAACACTTGGTCTCATCCAAACCCTGTGGATGTATTTTTCACCCAAGAAATTTTGGATTTCGACAGGAGACCCATTCTCCTGGATAACAACATTGATGGGGAAGTGAGCATACACAGACCTCAACTTGTAGTGGAAGCCCAGTGTGACACCCTTGATCATGTTCTGTACATGAGTAAAATAGTCCAAACGGTAGCAGTTCCTTTCCGTTACCCCACCCTTTGTCAACCCGGAGCCTTTTTTGTTTTCTGTCCGAGAAGACTGGGTTCTACACTGATGTGATTGAAGTCCCTCTGGGGCCCTTCACGATAACTGTGTGTCCCTTCAGAGTAATGTTGACATTTTCTAGAATGTTAGCAGTCTGATTGCTGAGAACGGTCTTCATTCTCGCAGCAGACATGGCAAAGAAAGCAATTACCAGACATTTTTAAAACAACTGTGGGCTAGGTGTTATGATTCACACCTATAATCCCGGCACTTTGGGACGCAGAGGTGGGAGGATCGCTTGGGCCCAGGAACTTGAGATCAGGCAAAATAGCGAGACCCCTGTCTCTACTAAAAAAAAAAAAAAAAAAAATTATCCAGCTATGGTGGTGTGTGCCTGTAGTCCCAGCTACCCAGGAGGTGAAGGCAGGAGGATTGCTTGAGCCCAGGAGTTCAAGGCTGCGGTGAGCTACGATCGTGCCACTACACTCCAGCCTGAGTGACAGAGTGAGGCCCTGTCTCTAAAAAAAAAAAAAAGAAAGAAAAAAAGAAATTACAGAACTGTGTCTTCTGGGACAGGAGTTCATCCTCTTCCTCATTTTGTAAGTGACAACTGAGGTCCTAAGAAGTTAAGGAAGGTGATCAAGGTTGATTGTTTCACGTTCCAGGTAATTGAATGATTTAGGCCAAACCTAGTCTGTCAGACTAGATTCTGAAAATGGTGGGATGAGAGATTGAGCGGGGGAGTGGGGAGCTGGCTCTGAAAGCCCAGTAGTCTGAACTTGGGCTTTGTGTCTGTAGGAAAAACAAGAAAGCCGCTTCAACGCTCTGCCTCCTGCCCCTCCCGTCAATGCTGTTTCTGTCTGTAGACTGCTGGTTTGCATTTCATTTACAGGGACACAAAATGGAACCTTTGTGCTGGAATTGAAGGAAATTATAAAAGCCCACAGCTTCTCTTCAGACTTAATGTCAACTATTTGTCTCCTGTTATTTTCAAACAAACAAGTCCTCCCCATGAGTTTTGAGGCAGTCTCAAACACTCCCTCCCTTGGTTCTTTTTATCGTTTCCTAGTTCCTGCTTCAGCAGGTACGAGAAAAACCCACCATTCGTAGACTTGTCCTATCAGCCACACGGCACAGCTGTAGGGGTCAGGTGAGTCCTGGCCAGAGGCTCTGAGCAGGATGGTGGGTCACACAGATGCACACAAGTCTGGAAACAAATGTTTGTAAGACTGGGCTTTCCTGAGGCTTCAGGGTTCATCAACTAGAAACTTAGAAGCAATGATGAAAGGAATGACTCCCAATCCCTCCAAATACTGCCAGCTGAAACATATTTCCACCATCTGGCATCCTATTTACAGATGAGAAGATGAAGAAAAATTTCTTTCTTTCTTTTTTTTTTTTTTCTTGGAGACGGAGTCTCACTCCTTTGCCCAGGCTGGAGTGCAGTGGCACGATCCCGGTTCACTGCAACCTCCGCCTCCTGGGTTCAAGTGACTCTTCTGCCTCAGCCTCCTGAGCAGCTGGGATTACAGGCATGCATCACCACGCCCAGCTAATTTTGTATATTTAGTAGAGACAGGGTTTCACCATGTTAGCCAGGCTGATCTCGAACTCCCAACCTCAGGTGATCCGCCCGTCGTGGTCTCCCAAAGTGCTGGGATTACAGGCATGAGCTACCGCGCCCAGCCAAGAAATTTCTAACAATGCTAAAATATGGAAGAAGTAAAGAGTTCTATTTTCACTAGAGGTGGACAGGCCCAAGTTGGGTGGCCACTTGCGTGTCATGTGCTGTGTTATGGGGGACTTGGAATGGGTGACTTTAGATTCTGAAGCCTTATGGTAGGTCTTAGAAGGAGAACTAAGATGCTTTACCTTACAATTAAAAAAAAATGATGACATGAAACTTTCTCTACGTTAGATGACTATTTGAGCATTATTTCTTCCCTAGCCTCAGAATAATGACATTGTGAATTCTTCTAGAACTGCACTGCTGTGGAAGATTGGCACTGATACCCACAGCAGGGACTCTGTAAGATCTGTCTCTAAATAGGTTTGACAAAAAGAGCATTTTTTTGGGAGTATGAATGAATCTCCGGGATGCCATCCTTTGTTAGATGTGTTATAATAAAATGCTGGAATGTGTGAATAATTTACTCTATAAAAATAGTGGAATTTAAAGTTGACCCTGTCAATGACACACTCACTACCATTCCACAATAGTTCCTTGATTAGGGAAAAAGGGGGATGAAAAACCTGGGAACTGCTTATCTCGGAGGAGTGTTCCATGCAGAAATGAGTCAGCCCTCACGTACGTGGCAGCTGATAAAAAAGGCTTAACACCCACTACTCAGTCTAAACCAGGGCTACGCAGAGTATGAACCACAGGCCAGCAACATCAGTATCATTTAGGAGTTACTTAGAGATGCAGATTCTCAGGTCCTCAAAACAGACCTACTGAATCAGAATCTCTAAGGTGGGACCTGGGTGTCTGTGGTTGCACAAGGTCTCCAGGTGATTCTAGTACTTGGTAAAATTTGAGAAGCACTGCCTTCGACCCATGGTTCTCAAAGTGTGATCGCCAGACCAAAAGCACCAGCATCATCTGGGAGCTGTTCAGAATTATCTGAGACTCTTTCTCAATGGGCTTTTGCAGGTGATAGTAGAAATGCTTCATGGCACTTTTAAGTGCTTAAAGGCCAAAGAGATGGCAAAATCGAATATAGAAATGTAATGAACTCTTAGGCATACGCATGTGTCTTAGAGCTGGAAAGGAACCAAAAAGATCTCCTGGACTCATTTCTTGTCTCTAGGTAGTTAATAATATAACCTTACAAATCTCCAGTAGTTTTTTTTTCTTTCCCCCTTTTGGCTTAAAACAGCGGTTGCTAAATCAGCAGTTCTGGAGGTGGGCTCAGCAATCTGGGCTTTAACAAGCTCTCCAGGTGGATGCAGCCTCAAGTTTGAGAACCACTACACTATGGTTTCCATCAGATTTCCCCCCTGCATGGTTGCATAGAGCATTAGACTTCCATGTTTCAGCCTGGGCTTGGGGCCCTGGTAGCTGACTCCTGGCCACTGCCCATCTCTGCTACCTTCTGTCATTCCAGGCTGAGAAGTGCAGGTTGGATGTCGTGCTTGTAGTAATGTGACCACTCTTGGACTCTGGTAGAGGAGATAGAAAGGTTTTGAAACGGGGACTTTTTTTTTTCACTTCCCCTCTGTGGACCAGCCTCCACACAGCCCCCAGCCTACCCAGCCTCTCTCCTTTAAAGTTAGGAGACTGGAAAGCAGAACACCCAGAGACTATCATGACAGTCTACAGCTCTTGAGCAAGGCCATGCCTGCAGGCCTTTGCGGGGCTCACTTGGCCTGTCTCCAGCTCCACAAAAAACATGTCCTCTTCTCAGGGGGTGGAGTCATCTTAGCCTCATGCAGTGACCATATAGGACTTAGAACCACCCCCACCCAGGGTGGCTACTAATTGCTTTCCAGTTTGAGGAGGCTCTGGCTAACAAGTGTATTTTCCCATAGGAATCTGAACCTGTGATGTTAAGAAATCAGTAAATATTAAAAAGAAGATGGATGCAAGAAGGATGAAGAAAGAAGAAGGTAGGGTTGGGAGTGTTACCAGTGGAAGCTCCTGCACTGGGGCCGTCTAGGGTTGGAGGATTCGCAGTGGGAAGAGGCCACTGGGCGGCCACTCTTTTTTTTTTTTAATATATATTTTTATTATACTTAAAGTTCTAGGGTACATGTGCACAACGTGCAGGTTTGTTACATATGTATACATGTGACATGTTGGTGTGCTGCACCCATTAACTCATCATTTACATTAGGTATATCTCCTAATGCTATCCCTCCCCCCTCTCCCCACCACAAACAGGCCCCAGTGTGTGATGTTCCCCTTCCTGTGTCCAAGTGTTCTCATTGTTCAATTCCCACCTAGGAGTGAGAACATAACGGTGTTTGGTTTTTTGTCCTTGTGATAGTTTGCTGAGGATGATGGTTTCCAGCTTCATCCATGTCCCTACAAAGGACATGAACTCATCATTTTTTATGGCTGCATAGTATTCCATGGTGTGTATGTGCCACATTTTCTTAATCCAGTCTATCATTGTTGGACATTTGGGTTGGTTCCAAGTCTTTGCTATTGTGAATAGTGCGGGCAGCCACTCTTGTTATGGTGGCAGAGAACACAGCATGTTCAGGAGATGGAACGGGGTTGCTGCTCATTTTGCTCCAGGCGTTTGAATTTGGACTCTGCCAGATCCATGCAAATGCCCTATCCCACAAGATCTTACATTTGCTTGGAGGAGGCAAGGGTGAACAGTCTGTGCTTGGAGGCCTTGCTGGGAAGTTTCTAGTGAGAGGTAATGTCACACATGACTTTTACAGGGAGATGGAATCCTTCTACAGCACATTCTTTACTGACAGATCTGTCCCCAGACAAGCTCCAGCTCCTGGACAGCCACGAGGCAGCGTGGGAATAACTATACGACCTACACTTCACTTGATTATCCCCATTTACGGCATTTTTTTTTTTAACTGCATTCAATTTGGAGATGGCAAGATGACTCTTTTAACTCTCCTCCCTGCAAAACTCCAGTTGAAATGACCAAAGAAATATAGAATTAGGGAAAGAATGCACCACATAAGAACACAGAGGAAGGTAGCAGCTGCAGGAGAGAAATTGAATCATTTCTGCTAAATAGAGTGACGTTGCTAATGAAAGATGGGAAGGACTGACATGCCCATGATTTTGGATCTGTAAAGGAACAGGCTGCTTGATAAACTAATGCGTTGAATTTCTAGCAACACCCACCCCCCTCGGCAAACACCCCAAACTTCTGGCCAGCAACCATAGTGAAAAGCTTTGGTTTTTTTGAGCCTTGTTAAGCTTGAGTTCAAACCCACCACTTGTTAGTCGTGCAAGCTAGTCAGCCTCAGTTTCGTCCTCTATTAAATGGGAGAATACCTACCTTATAAGGTGTAACTAGAAGTAAATGAAAGAGTTTAGGCTGGGAGACATAGCCGAAGGTTTTAGTCACTGTGCTAAAAGCTTAACATAAGTTATCTTTAATCCACAAGAAAGTTCCATGAACTTTGTCTTATTCTAATCACCATTTTACAGATTAAGCACTTGAAGTTTAGCAAGGTTAAGAAACTTGTTCAAGGTTCACAGCTATGAAGAGGGTAGAGTAGGAATTTGGAGCAGACAAGTACAGAACCCATGCTTTCAAGCACTAAGTGTACTGTTCCAAGCCCTTGAAATATATTACTTTCTTTAGTTCTCAGGCCTTAGACTAACCATTTTTATTGGTGAAAAAATAGAAGTTCAGGGGTAAAACAATTTGAGGTTATGCAAATATTTAAAATCAATCAGATCTGTTTGACTCTGTCTCTTGCTCCTTACCATTCTTTCGTTGTTTAATTGATAGACTTTCTAGGATGTCGTTCTGTTCCCCCACTTTGAATTGGATTTTATTCCTACTGAATACAAGGGGTGCAAAATAGGGAGGACTTCAAAATCTGGTTCCAATGCCTTCCCATTTTTTGAAGAATCAAGCTATTGCATGTGACTGCCTCTAAATGGCCTGCATTTCTCTTTGTTGGTAGGACTCACAGAAAACACTGGACTTCCCCGGAAGCTACTTGAAAAACATGACCCCTGGCCGGCCTATGTCACCTATACCTCTCAGACAGTGAAAAGACTCATTGAGAAAAGCAAAACTAGAGAACTGGAATGCATGCGTGCCCTCGAGGAAAGACCCTGGGCATCAAGGCAGAATAAACCTTCCAGCGTCATTCAGCCGAAAAGGAGGAAGTCTTCCAAGTCTTCTGGCAAAGCTGTGTTCAGGGACACGCTGTCAGAATCCACGTTATCAATGTGGGGCGCTTATTCGGTATTGGCCATGGCTCCTACCATGATCCCAGAACCCACACACTTACATGCGGATTCCAGAGACTGTCCAACTGAAAACTATAACAAGATCATCTTTGCCCGCAAGCCTATGATGAGGATGCTCCCTACAGTTCGCTACTGACCAACAAGGAGAAACATGCAAATGTTTTAGCCAGGGGTCCCTGCAGCCATTCCCCAAGAACGTACAAAAGTTAAGCTCCATTTACCACTCACTTGACAGTGTCCTTTAAATCTGAACTTGCTCTTGCTCATGCGGAGCTTGGCTAAGAGAAACCAGATCAGAATGCAAGCTGTAGGTGGGTGGGTGAGTGTGTCCCCTCCCACACTGCTCTCTGGTGGGTTTGGGCAGTCCCTGGCTCTAGTCTCTGCTGCAGATTCTCAGGACCAAAATGTGGGTGATTTGTCTGGGTCCAGGCAGGAGACAGAAATCACACAAGCTCTTTTATTAGAGATAATATAAAGAATGATTAACCAGGTGACAGTAAAGGGCAGGAAGGGAATACAAAGGTATCCATGGAGGTAGCACCACAGGAAGCAGGCATCACACTTGAGGCTTGGGAACAAGGGGAAGATGCTGGACTCATTGAAAGGTGGTTGCTTGGAGAAGGGACATGGGGCTGAATCTCAGACTTCTGAGGTGGGGGAGTGGGGATGCCACTCAATGCAGCTGGTATCTCTGAGCTCTGAGGAGAGTCCTGTGGGGATGGTGCCCCCTCCTCTGAATAGGGGAGATGTTTTGTTGGTGTCTCTGAGGGGACCCCCATGAGGCTGCTTTTGTGAGTGTTGGAAAAACCAAAAACTGCATTGAAATGTTTCTGGGAGGAGTTGCCACTGCCTGGGTGAAGAAAAAGCACTGCTAGGGTTAGCAACCTGTCTGGCAAGGGACAGGAAGCTGATAGAAAGTGAACAGGAAGCAAACAGGAAGTGAGCAAGGGGCCACTTCCTACTTCCTCCTTTAGCCTAGCAGATTCCTTCTAGCTCCCCCTGGGGGCTGAGCCTATCAGGGCACAAAGCCAGAATGTGGTTTGTAGAATCCCAGCCCCAGCATCTCCAAGCATAGGATGGATTTTGAAGCCAAGAGGGAATTAGCTCTCGGCCGGGTTCTGAGTGATCCCATCCAGCTGCTCCTGGACCTGGTATTGAGAGGTTTTTCCCTTGGAGGGCAAACAAAGTGGCAGTGGGGACCAGGGTGTCCCCTGCTGAGAAATGGAGAGCTCTTTTCCCCTGTACTTCTCTGGGGTTTGCCTTGTGGAACCAAGTGCTTGGGGGAGGAGCTCCTGGCAGGACTCCAGCTGTTATTTGTCAGAGGACAGCTAGGATTGGTTCACCCTTGCTCTGAGTTGGCCCCAAAGCGAGCTATGCTGAACTCTTCTCCATCTCCAAGCAGACAACCTTTGTCTTTACATGCAAGAGGGATCCAATTATGACAGGCTGACCCAGCTGGTTTCATGTTTGGGGTTTATCTACTGAGTAAGGCTGACCTTACCTGAGTTTCTGTATGTGTATTTGCAAGACAGTTAATACTAATCCATCATCCCTCACAGAGATGTAGAGGATGAGATGTAGTAACTTATAGCAGTGTCATTTGGAAAAGTTGAATTTGCCCTACAAGGCATGTTCTCCATTCAAGGGTCTTGTGTAAACGTTTGCAGACACAGGTGCAGCTTTGGAGAACTCACCTCTGGCTCTTGTGCTTTTATGTTGGGACAGCTGCCTAAATTAGGAGCTCTAGACCTGTTATTGGTTCCCAACTGTTGGCCAGAATGAATTCTTCGAAAAATATAGGTGGTTTCCAGGGAATTTGAATGATTGTATTTTGTGTCCATGGAACGTTTATAGACATGGAGGCAGGCAATAAATTCCTCCAATAATTTTTTTATCTCTTTTGTTCTTTTATGGGTGTTTCTTTCTAGGTTATATTTGGGAAAGTATGGATTACAGAGACTCATTGAGTGCTAGAGATTATTGGAATTTGGGGTTATTTCTTTTAATACCTTCAAGGGCAGAGTGGTATGGTAACTTACTGAAGGTTGCACAGTTGGTTTTTTAAAATTTCTAAGCATTTAATAGTTTTTAGAAAAGTATGCACTCTATAAATTAAAATAATTTTTCTGTGTGTGGGTTTTTTTTTTTTTTTTTTTTTTTGAGACACAGTCTTGCTCTGTCACCCAGGCAGGAGGGCAATGGCACAACCTCTGCTCATTGCAACCTCCACTGCCAAGGTTCAAGAATTCTTCTGCCTCAGCCTCCTGAGTAGCTGGGATTACAGGCACCCGCCACCAGGCCTGGCTAATTTTTGTGTTTTTAGTAGAGATGGGGTTTCCCCATGTTGGTCAGGCTGGTCTTGAACTCCTGACCTCAGGTGATCTGCCCGCCTTGGCCTCTCAAAGTGTTGGGGTTTACAGGCATGAGCCACCGCACCTGGCAAAATAATTTTTCTATAGATATCATTGTTTAAATTAATTTAATTCTCAGCCTATTATAACAACACAAGCATGAGCCTAGGATATCATTAACATCTGATGTTGTGGTAGAAATTGTCTGTGTTCCGTGACTGTGGTCCAGAAGCATTACCTCCTAAGGCAATTTAACAAAGAAAAAGAGTCTAATTCCTTTGAATGGGGAACTCTGCTTAAGCCCGAGCTGGGACTCGCAGGTCTGGCTAACACCGAGACTTAACCAGCCATGACTATATGAATTCCGCCAGAGAAGAAGCAGCTGGATCCAGTAATGAAGCCTTGGTCACTGGGGGAGGAGGCTGATCCTGGGGGAGGAGGATGACCTGCCATGTCTGATGCTCAGATTTGTCCCTTGGTTCAGCTCTTCCTGAGTGCCATGTGCGTGGCGATCAATGATTCAAACTCTCAAACAGCTCTTTCACTAAAAATCCTGGAAGGCCCTGGGGTACACATAAAAAGTGGGGCGAGATCTTGACTTCACAATGCATCAACAAGAAGGTCCCACCGCTCTGGGTATGGACAAGAAACAGCCAGGTCTGGTAGACCCAATGGGTGGTTGGCAGGACCAGCTTTGCTCATGAGGAACCAAGAGACATCCTTGGCACTCCCAGAAATAGACATGGAGCCCTTGCTAAGGCCTGAAGTTCATCACGAGCAGCCAGGGCATGGAGTGGAATGCAGGTTATTCCTAATGTAACCTCATCGGTCTGTCCAAGCTGGAGAGGCCCGGGGTATCTCAGGTTACACTAAACATATTTAACTTACATCTCTCAGAGGGACCTGGCTTTCTCTAATGTTCCACAGCCCGCAGCCTCTTTTTATTTATCTCCTCTGCATATGGAATTGTCTGCTTGGCAGGAGAGCTGTTTCAATTAGTCTCCCTGACGTAGTAGGTTCATGAAACATCAGAATATGTATTTTGTTAGTCCGTCTGTGTTGCTCTGTAACTAAGGCCCCGTCTGACACACATTGAGCAGCTGCTTTGAGCAGATTCTTTGGCTCCTTGTACAGAGTATGGTATTTACCCATTTGCAAATTCCACGGTTGGCGTTTAAACAGTTGAAGTTTAACCTCGGCAACATGACTGAGCCTGCTGGTCATTTTCATGTTGGCAGGGGCTATTAGGACATCAAATAGTTCCACATTCTGCAGCCTTTTTAGCAGTGGCCTGGGAGCATGTCTTAAAGGAGATTAGTCTGCATGACAGATAAGAGGCTGCAGGAGGCTGGGCACGGTGGCTCACACCTGTAATCCCAGCATTTTGGGAGGCTGAGATGGATGAATCACCTGAGGTGAGGAGTTTGACACCAGCCTGGCCAACATGGTGAAACACCGTCTCTACTAAAATACAGAAAAAATTAGCCAGGCATGGTGTTGGGTGCCTGTAATCCCAGCTACTCAGCAGGCTGAGGCAGGAGAATCACTTGAACCCGGGAGGTGGAGGTTGCAGTGAGCCAAGATCGCGCCATTGCACTCTAGAGCCTGGGCAACAAGACCGAAACTGTGTCAAAAAAAAAAAAAAAAAAAAAAAAAGCTGCAGGAAAGTGTTCAAGGAGGTAACTGCATAAACAAAGGCGCAGTGCAGATGTGGGCAAGCCAGATATTTGGGGGTGGCCCAGGAGCCCTCTAACTGGAATAGAGGTCGGGTGAGACCTAAACAAGGAGCAGTTATCGAGTTTATCAACAGCAAGTGTAAGAGCCACTTTGGAATGAGACCAGAGCAGTATGACCAGTCCCTTAGTCTTTTTTTTTTTTTTTTTTTTTAGGACAGGGAAAACAAGACGGGCACCCTGAGGTAGGGATTTTGATCCTTGGGTCCTAAAGGGGGTCTTCAGAGGCAGTGGAGGAGTCACATGGAGCAGCGCAGCTCTCGGTGGTGGAATCCCAACCAGGGACTGACGATGCATCCAGGAAGATGAGAATCTAGGAGTAGGAATGCCGGCCCTGCAGCCTCACTCCATGTGGACAGCGGTTGTGAAAAGATGGTTAAAGTGCTTTGCGAGCTGGGTCCAAGCAGATGTACACATCTGGACAATGTGGCTCTTTTCAGCCTTGATTGAGTCATTCATTCTTGGAGGCTTTTTGGAATCCCCACACTTTTAGACCAAAGGGCACATTTTCAGAGCCCACACATTATCAGTGCCAGATAAGAGTAGACAGATTGAGAAACCAGGGGAGGTAGAGCCAGGGAAGGGGAGTAAACACAACCTGAGGTTTATTGTGATCTGATGTTGTCAGAGCCTGGGCTGAAGCTAAGGGCTGGGCTTATGTTTGTCAAGCAATCAGGAAAACCTCTGTCTTCTTCTTTCACTACACATCCCCACATCACCTTCCCTCTGTCTCTCACCAGGAACCCAAGGCTTCAGCCAGCTACTGTGGTGCTTGCAAACCCCACAACAGTGTCCTAGATCTGTAAGGCATGGCTAGGCTGGGCCTGTCCCCAGCTCTGAGCATGTGTGTGGGAACATGGGGGCATGCTGGGCAGGGCCAGATGGAGATGAAGGAATACCTCATGTTAGGTGGGGCTTGAAGCCACCCCATATTCTCTGCCTTGAGCCTGACAATTATCTGATTTCTTTATGGGGCAGGCCAGAATATACAGGTGCCCACTCTTGTTAGCACACTGCTCAGGGCAGCAGATGGCATGGAAAAGACCTTGGACTTGGTGCTGAGACCTTGTCTTTTCTCCCAGGCCCTATATTCCAGGGCCAATGGAAATTCCAACCCCATCTATGGCCTTTCTAGGAAGCTTCTATTGCTGGGGGCCCAGCAAAGCTCATGGTATCAATTCACTTCCTTTCTAGATTCAATTGGTCAGCCACCTGGAGCATTCCATTATTTTTGGTAGACAAAGGGATGTGAGAGGCCACAGGATTTCAGGCAAGTTAAAAACCTGACCCTTGGGGTTGTTTCTGTGTGTCTGCCAATGGGGAGGGTTTTTATGGAGAGCAAAGTTAGTTCCAGAAGTTCTAACTTGTGGAAGGAAGAAAGGTGGCCTTCAATGTGCCAAGGTCTCTTGCTCACATTTTTGCATTTTGGAGCTTGTTTAAGCTCCCATAGGCTTAGGCCTATGCTCCCTAGTTGATTAGATAATTATGGAAGGAGGAGAGCCCTTTCGAGATTGGAACTTGGGCCTCTCAATTCCAAGTGCAGGCAGCTTCCCCTAAATTCAGATCTCCTCTTCATTGGTGTTACCCATGACAACCCTGCTGGTGTTCTCAAGTAGAGCAGATGTGTTTGTCCAGTAGCTGCTGACCCCAGTTTCAGCCATGGCTCCTCTACTGTGAAGCAGCCCCGTTGGAGACCCCTCTTCATGTGGCCAGTTTACCGTGTGTCCCTGGACCAGCAGAGGTAGGATGGTGAGGCTGGAGGTCCCATGAGACCTGGGTGAGGTCAGCTGTGTTTGCCGTTATATTTCCAGAGCCCTGCAACGGCCTGGCACAGAGTCGGTGCTCAAGTATTTATTGAGCAAGTGATTTGTGAGAACAAGGCTTAGCACCCAATCTAAAGTGCACTGGGAAGAGGTGGTTTCTTTCATCATATCCACAGGCTGGAAAAACCACTTGGCTTTTTGTAAAGTTTGAAGCACTGAGTAGGCAGCTCTGCTATGAAGGTTATGAAGGTTCCGTCTAGACCCAAGAGTATGATTTGAGTGAACTCTTCAGTAAGTTCCTTTCATGTACCCTTCCTTACGGGATATTAGAGAGAGAGAAGGGACGGGAGGCACAAGTTCAAAAAACTTAACATATAGTGATTCTATTCTTTTAAATGACCAATCCATACCTATCTGATGGAATTCCAAGTAGATTTCCTTTTCTTTAGCCTTCATCAGAAGGGACGTAATTTCCCAGACCCAGCTTGCTCCTTGTTCCCATGTTTGCAGCATGCCAACAGGCATCCAACAAATATGCACCCAGTGCTGCCTGTGCCAGGGCCCCAGCCGTGGACACAGGAGACGCAATCAAGCTTACGTTCTGGCAGTGGAGCATTAGACAAGCGCATGATCGCATTGCAGTGGTGATGCGAGTTACGAAGTGCAGGGCTCTGTGAGTGTATTTGCTTTAGGCTCATGACGTGTTGTTCTCTCAGTCTCATGAAAGAGGGATTATGGAAAGAGGCAGGATTAGTATCAGGACAGCTGCTCATAAAAAGGAGTGAGGTCATGGCGAATTTTTGGCCAAGTTGAATGTGAGTGGCTGCGTAGGTTTTTAAAACTTTGCAAAGCTGCTTTCGGGTTATATTCAGCCCCTACATCCAGGTCTGTTTCTGTAGCGCCATGGAGCGACCCCTGGTTCAGTCAGGCTTTAGGTTAGGGCATCTCTGTCTGTAGCCCTGTATAGTGACAGCACAGAGGAAGTGTCAAACATGTGTACACTGTTTGTTCCAGGACTCTTATTCCCTGACTGCCTCTCTATCCTAGAGGGCTGAGCTGGGCAGCTACAAAGGAGACCTCAAGCCTTCCTCAATGTCCTCTCCAGACCTGGGGCAGGTGCCAGGTCTAAGCCTTCAGCATCTGGCTCCTGGCCTGCTGGACCCCACCTCACATTTCTAGTTCTCCAGAGCAAAAGGACTAGCTCTGCCTCTCATTTCTTGACTGTGGCAGACAGCCCCTGCTCCCTACTGGCGTGGCCAGATTTCCGGGGGCCTCTCTGTAGACTGCGGTGTGGGGTGCATTTCAACCGTGACCTTGCCCTCGTTCTATCTCCTTCCAACCTCTTTGGTTATAGCCATAGTACTCCTCACTCTGTCTTTTACTCTTCTTTCCTTCCTTTCCTTTCTTCAACTTTCTTTCTTCCCATTGCCTCCCTCCCTCCTTTCCCTTCTTCTCTACCTTTTGAGCTTCATTGATTATCCTTTAAATTAATCAAATTTAAATTAATCAAAATTAAATGATGCTTGTTGCAAGTAACTTAGGTTTTCTTGAAGTGTAATTGACAAGTGACGCTGACCCTGTCAAACTTAGGGGGAGCATATGTTCTTTAATACTCAGGTATTAGGAGTAGGAGCTCCAGCCTGAGGACAAAGGGGAGTTTCCGCCTACTTTCTGGGAAGCTCTAAGAAATGCTTGCGTATTCCACAAAACCACCCTAATGGCCACTGGTCCCCTCCGGCCACCCATCTCCTCCCTGAAGCAGCTGCTGCAGGATCCCAGGCCACTGCTGTTCTGCCCTTCCCCACCATAGCTATTCGGTCCCCCTGCAGCTTCCCAAAGCACAGCTCTGCTAGGTTCGCCACAGCCAACCATGTCTGCTGTGACGGATTGGGGATATCAGAAGCTAAACAGAGTAAATTACAATTGCTACCATAAGTGGCTACTCTGGATGGGGTGGTGGATGGCGGGCGGAGGGTGGTGGCCTAAATCACAACCTAAATGTGATTTCTGTTCCCTGGTGAGGGCCGGCTCACCCTTCAACATGGATCTCAGTGTATCTGCATAACTCAAAATCCAGGTCTAGTTTTTCCTTAATCCTGGAGGTACTGGGGCGTCCTGCACCTTACTTTGCCCTGTCCATAGGTTCCCTCTTTTCTTGATCATAGACAAAATTACCCCTGAGAACAACAACAGCCTCATCCATGAGATGTAGTTTAGTTTTCCTGGTGTGGAAAAGAAAACTGCAACATCCAACAGTACACTTTCTGTTGCACGACTTGTTCAGTCAGGAAATACAGTGCATTTGGAGCGTCAGAATGATTTAGCAGAGCAGGGGGCTTTTGTCTGGTCCTCTTTAGAGTCCCACTGCCAGAACATGGGGGAAGTTAAGACTTATAATCACCCATAGCTTTCAAACAGAACACACATAGCATCTCCACCACCACCAAATGACCACCTTCATCATCTTCATCTGCAACCCCATCACTACCGCCATGACCATCACCACCATACCACTACCACCACCATCACCACCACCATCACTGTGACCATCACCTCCACCTCCACCTTCATTACCACCATCACCACCACCACCACCTCCATCTCCACCTGCAACCCCAGCACTACCACCATGACCACCACCACCATCACTGCCATCACCATCATTACCATCACCTCCACCTCTACCTTCAACATCACCATCACAATGACCACCACCATCACCACCAGAAACACTGAATAAAATAATGAAAGTGCAGCCTTAGGCTGGGCACGGTGGCTCACACCTGTAATCCCAGCACTTTGGGAGGCTGAGGCGGGCAGATCACTTGAGGTCAGGAGTTCGAGACCAGCCTGGCCAACATGGTGAAACCCCGTCTCTACTAATGTGAAATACTAAATGTAAAAATACAAAAATTAGCTGGGTGTGGTGGTGGGCACTTGTAATCCCAGCTACTTGGGAGGCTGAAGCAGGAGAATCACTTGAACCCCGGGAGATGGAGGTTGCAGTGAGCAGAGATTGTGCCATTGCACTCCAGCCTGGGCGACAGAGTGAGACTCCATCTCAAAATAAATAAATAAATAAAAATTAAAAAAAAATAAAAAAGAAAGTGCAGCCTTTATTTCTTTATTTATTGAAAAATCTTTCTGTAAATTAGCAAAGGCCCAGTCTCAATAAAAGACCGATTTCATATCACCCAATAGAATGTTTTACATCCACATCAAAGGCAGCAGCTTTTGGGTTACTTCACTAACTCTGGACACCCCCAAAACATAAATCCGCACAAATAAACTCCAAAGTGAGCCCTCTCAGAAGAAAAGCAAGATTTGACCAAGAAATGAATGCTGACTTTCTAGAATGCAGAAATCCTCAGAGTTCTTAACCTGGCTCCCGCGGACTTTCAAGACATCCACAAATAGAATCCAGGAGTCCTTGCACTTGGATGGGAAAAAAAATTATAGCTTTGTTTTTATTAAACCTCTCACTGGATATGAGCATTTCCTTCAGTGAAGTATTACCAATACCTGTGACTTTGTTGGCACTGGGAATCACAGAAATTTTCATACCACGTGACAGTTGCAGATATCTTGAAATATTGTGTCTGCTCATTTCTTCTTTGAAATGATGGTAGTCGTTGGACTTGCTGCTACATCTTGCTATTTAATGCATTAGTAAAGAAAACCCAAAGTATACTTAGCACACATCTGTGTTTAAAAAAGCTTTGATTATTTAGTTTCAACAAAATGGGTTTGTTTTTATTCTTATGTATTTTATTAAAAAAAATTTCAGAACCCCTGACATAAGGTCAGTTCCTCTGACTTCAACACCTATCAAATCTTGCTTCTGTTGCGTATCTGAAGTAAATGGTGGAAACTTCTCTCCCTTGACATCTACCCCAAGGAGTAACCACTGTCTACAGCTTGGCATATATCCTTTCAGACTCGTCTTTTTCAGTACAAATACACATATATATTTAATGTATGTATACACATAATACACACAGTTATTTTTAATGAGATCACTATACATATCTTGCAACTTGCTTTTTCCGCTTAACATCTCTCCCTGTTAATGTAAAATTGCCTCGATTTTTTGGATTGCAGAGAAATGCCAGAGCTCATGTATCCATTTCTCTTTCTGATGGGTATTCAGGCTGGTTCCACTTTTTCTCCACTCCAACCATTGCTGAAATGAGCTTCCTGAGGCAGCTCATCCCCTCGTCTTCCCATGCTGCTTCCTTGAGTGTCTCAGTGGCTTTCTGGGGCTCATTCCTGAGGAAATTGAAGCAGTGGGATGTATGGGCACCTCATATTTGAGCTTCTTTTCCTGTAGGTTCTTTAGAAACCTATGTGCATGGTGGTGGGGGAGTCCTGGCTTCTAGAATGCACAAACAGGACGATCAGAGATCCTGGTGCTTGAGTGATCTCAAAATATAAATCATGTTTCAAATTATGAAGCAAAGCAGGGGTAATGACTGCCTCACTCTTTTTTTCCCACATCCTCCAGGTCTCTGCATGTCTTATTACAGGATTCCTTGTACAGTTGCACATGCTGAGCACTGCACAATTTCAGAATGATGGGAGTGGAGACACAATTTCACATGGACCATAATGAAAATGGAGTTCTTTGGAATAGTGTGACATGACAACCCTGGCTTTATAGTAGAAATGGTTAAGTAAATGTTCTCTTTTTTAAAAAAATACTGTTTTTACAAAGATGAGATCTTACAAAGTACCTTTCTTTTGATTCTCTCATATAACAATACATCATGGATATCCTCAAAGTCAACGGATAGAGCTCTAACTCACTCTTTCCAATAGCTGAGTAATGCCCCATAGTAATCAATGCTTCCTCATTTGATTTGATCATTTGATTTTGGCAAGTTCAAGTCCCAGATCTCTAGTGTTACTTTCTGCCTCCCCACCCTCAGACTTGGCACAGTTCTGGAGTCTGGGAAGTCCAAGATCAAAATGCCAGCAGATTTGGTATCTGGAGAGAGCCTGCTTTCTGGTTCATAGATGGAAGCTTCTTGCTGTGTCCTCACATGGCAGAAGGGGCAAAAGGGCTCCTGGGGCATATTTTATAAGGGCACTAATGTCTTTCATAAGGGCGCCACCCTCATGACCTAATCACCTCCCAAAGGCCCCACCTCCTAGTACCATGACCTTGGGGATTAGGATTTTAGCACATGAATTTTGGGGGTATGCAAATATGCAGACCCTAGCAACGCCCTCAATTTGTATGGATTGTGTTTATTCTCAGTGTGTTCACCTTCTTTACTTGATGCCCCAACCACTGTCAGATCAGGAAGACTTATGTTAAGAGAACACCCTAAGTTCACACAACCAGAGAGGCTAATCTGTCCCTCAGGCCTCAGCTTTTTTTTAACCAGACAGCATGGCCTCCCCATGCAGGCGTCATCATCATCACCCCTGCCTGTCCCACAATACTTGCTTTTGATCATCTGCAGGCTGAGAGCTCCCAGCTTCTTTCACGAGGGCATGGTGCCGCCTCTGTGCTCCGGGACACATGCACCTGGCAAATAGCCATAGAATTCTGCCCTGTTAGAACCAAGATGGGCTGTGGGGTTCCTGATATGGGGCTTCAACTGTCTTCAGGCTGGTGAAGATTCCCTGTTAGTTGGAGTTGGGACAGATCTGAGGATGTGAGGCCTCTTACATACTACCATTACAACAGTAGACCGTTCTGAATGTACATGAGGTTTATATTGTCAGTCACCTGCTGAAAACGGTCTTAATAAACACACAAATCTGCAGTGGCTGCCAGGTGAATAGCACTATCTGGAGCTGTACGATTGCACTTCCTGTGCCACCACACAGGGTAGCTCTGGAAGAAAGTGGTGCTTAATTTCATACCTGAAGGGCAAGTAAGATTTAGCCTAGCAAGCCTGTGTGTGTGTGTGTGTGTGTCTGTGTCTGTGTGTGTGTGTGTTGGGGGTAGGGGGACATTACACTTAGGAAAAACAGCATTGGAGAAGGTGTGGAGGTGGTGTAGTATTTTTTTTTTTTTTTTTTTTTTTGAGATGGAGTCTTGCTCTGTCACCCAGGCTGGAGTGCAGTGGCGCGATCTTGGTTCACTGCAAGCTCCGCTTCCTGGGTTCACGCCATTCTCCTGCCTCAGCCTCCTGAGTAGCTGGGACTACAGGCGCCTGCCACCACGCCCGGCTAATTTTTGTATTTTTAGTAGAGACGGGGTTTCACCGTGTTAGCCAGGATGGTCTCGATCTCCTGACCTCGTGATCCGCCTGCCTCAGCCTCCCAAAGGGCTGGGATTACAGGCTGGAGCCACCGTGCTCAGCCGGTGTGTAGTATTTCTAACATTTTGTCCATAGATTATTTGATACCCCTCCCTTCCAGAGGTGGAGCTTAATTCCCTTCTTCTGGAGTGCGGGCTGAACTTCGTGATTCACTTCTGATGAACTGAATGTGGCAGAAGCGAGGGGATGTCACATCCAAGATTAGGTTATAAAGAGACCTTGGCTTTAATAGTGGGCACCCACTCTTTCTGCCTCAGATCACTTGCTCTGGGGGAAACAAGCTGACATTTCACTCTAGCAGTCCTGTGGAGAGGCCCATGCTGGAGGAACAACTGAAGCCTCCTGGCAGCAGCTGTAGGTGTGAGCTTGAATACAGATTCTGTGACCCCTTCAAAGGGCTGAAGCCCTGGCCAAAATCTCTGCAATCTCATGAGAGATCCTGAGGCAGAACCACCAGCCAAGCTGCTCCTGAATTCCTAACCTAACTATGACATAACAAATGTTTGTCGTTTTAAGAGGCTAAATTTTGGAGTAATTTTTCATGCAGCAATAGATAACTAATTCAGGGAGGAGGGAGTTCAGCTCATTCAAGACATTAAAAGGAGGTCAAAATGGCCTAGCGGAAGCAGTGACTTCAGCATTCTTATGAATTGCCTTATGCACATGCTAGAAGTGCAGATTCCTGGGGCTCACTTTCAGAGTCTGATTGGTAGATCTGACTGGGGCCCAGATATTTGCATTTTAAACAAGCATCTTGGGTAATTCACAAGCAGCTCACCTGAAGAGGACACTCTGAGAGGACCCTGTGTGGGAGGACTTGTGGGCTGGGTGACCCACGTTGTGGCTGGAAGATAAGCAGAGGTCTAATGTGCATCACATTAAAAAGCAAAACAAAACAAAAAGACAAACCTTTTTCCTGAGAATAATGAACAGCCATGTAGGGTTTTGGGCAGGACAGCAGCTAAAGCTATAAGCAGAGGATAAAGCCTGCTTGGTTTTCTTCTCTTGTTGACCTGGCAATGTGAATACTGGCTTATCAACAGCTTGACACAGAACCTTAAATATGGAGAGGTGAAGACAAGTAGGATTTAAGGCCTGCCTTTGAAGGACTCACAGATAATTCTTAAAAGTATACATAAGAACTTGCATCCCCAAGTGAGAGCTCTCTCCTTCAAAGTTACCGGCGTGAAAGGTTGTTCTCATTCTAACAAAGCGGGGCTGCCCAGAGCTTTTTTTGAACCCCACTTCTGGTAATCATTTTCTGAGTCAGTTCATGGTCGACTCCCAAAACCAGTTGCTTTAAAACCATAGAAAGATCAAGTGACTAGAAGGATTGATTGTCTGAGATCATTTTACAGAGATCCTTTAATCTCACCAATCATTTTGAAGATGATGAGACATGGTCAGAGAGCCCCAGTGATTTTGTTGAATATTTGGATTCAATACACCCACATTTTTCAGGCTCACTGCTGATGCCTGGTGGCCTGTGTGCTAAGCATCTCCTGGTAGCCTGGAGGGAGGCAGGTGGATTTCTTCTGGGATGGCTTCCTGAAAGAGACAGGCATTTTAGTGCTGGGCTTGAAGAAGTGGAGTGACATGAATGGGTGTGCAAGGGAGGGTGAGGCATCCTGGCTCAATCCAAAAGTGCATTGCTATCTACAATTTCTTCTCTTAAAAAAATAGTGAACCATAAATTTTCCTAAAGGCATGTTTTCAAAGCTTTTTCTCCCCACACCAGAGCAGAATGGACAGATAGTGTTTACATGCATGGCCCCGTTCCAGGGCCTTCTTGGTTGGGCTACAGGAGAGGTACAAGAGACTGCTGGTTTATGCAACTCCCCAAGTGCAGCTCTAAGCCCACCCCATTTTCTTCTTATTGTTCCATCTTCGTGTGACATGAATTAAAGAGCAGGGTCTATTTTTTTTTTTTTTTTTTTGAGACAGTCTCACTCTGTCACCCAGGCTGGAGTGCAGTGGCGTGATTTCAGCTCACTGCAACCTCCACCCTGCAGGTTCAAGAAATTCTTGTGCCTCAGCCTCCCGAGTAGCTGGAACTACAGGCACATGCCACCATGCCTGGCGAATTTTTTTGTATTTTTAGTAGAGGCAGGGTTTCACCATGTTGCCCAGGCTGGTCTTGAACTCCTGAGCTCAGGCAATCCGCCTGCCTTGGCCTCCCAAAGTGCTAGGATTACAGGCATGAGCCACCACGCCCGGTCAAAGCAGGGCCTATTTTGGACAGTAGGGTGAAAAGAACTTGAGGTGAAACCATCGTACGTATTTTTAAAAAGGCAAAGCACACCCTGCAGCAGAGAGCCCACGTGCCCTCCATTTCAGCACCTGCCCATGGCGTCCTGGTCCAGGCACCCAACATATTCCACCTGGGAGCTTTGCCCTGATCCCCTGGATGGGAAATGGAGCTAAGTTCCCACAGAGCTTCTCTCGTAACAGCAAATATGAGTTGGTGGATAAACAGCCCAGCTTCCTTATCCTTAACTTGAGCAAATAACTCTGAGGTGTACTCCACACAGTCTCCCAGAGTTCCCAGCAGGAAAGTGCCTCAGTTACCCAAATAGTAATCTGCTCAAGAATGCACCCCGTATTGCCCTTTTTGCCTTCTCTGTCTCACTTCCTCACTCCTCTACCAGTGTCTCCTGGGTTCACCTCGGAAATAGACTCCTCACCTGGGATGTCCTCCAACCCTCTTCTCAGGCTCTGCCTTTGGGGAACCCAATCTAAGTCATCATCCTAACCAGCCCTAGATTATTAAGCTATCCAGGAATAAAAAGATCCTTTTGCAGGGGAAGTTCTTTATTTTGCACTGCACATAGCACGCTCTTTTAAAAAACGAGAAAGCATTATAAAACAAGAAAACAAGGAGGGAACTATGCACTCAGGTTGGGGAAGAGGAGAACCAAATGAAACAGCCCACTGAATAGAATGCAAAGGAATTCCCCCACACCTCCCGCCTGCCTGCCACCATCCATCTAGATGCCCAGAGGCATCCACTGTCACGGGTTGGTATGCATCTCTTTGGAAGTCTTCTCTGCATATTTTAAAAACTTTAAGTCAGATCATGTCACATGGCATTCGAGGTGGAAGTCAGAGTCTGTCAAGCCCCTACAAGGACCTCTGCCTTCCTCTTCTGTGGGCCTTTTCTCCCATCCTCTCCTTCTTACTCACCCGCCCCAGCTCCCCGGCACCCTCACTTCAATCGTAGCAGTTCCCTTCCTTCTGGCTGGAACTCTCTTCCCCATCTGAGCGCATAGTGCCCTCTCTCCCTTCCTACAAGTCTTGGCTCAAATACCCGCTTTCCGGTGAAGCTTTTTTCAAAGAAACTTTTTTGCTGCTGGATTCCTTCACATACTCCCATCTTTATTTTTCCTCATATGACTCTGCACCACGCGGCACATCACAGAGTCCACTTACTGCTTATTGTTGCTCTTCTTCATTAGAAAATAAGCTCCATAGGCTGGACGTGGTGGCTCACGCCTGTAATCCAAGCACTTTGGGAGGCGCAGGAGGGTGGATCACGAGGTCGGAAGATCGAGACCATCCTGGCTAACATGGTGAAACCCCATCTCTACTAAAAATCCAAAAAATTAGCCGGGCATGGTGGCGGGCGCCTGTAGTCCTAACTACTCCAGAGGCTGAGGCAGGAGAACGGCGTGAACCCGGGAGGCGGAGCTTGCAGGGAGCCGAGATCATGCCACTGCAACTCCAGCCTGGGCAACAGAGCCAGACTCCGTCTCAAAAAAAGAAAAAAAAAAAAGAATAAGCTCCACGAGGGCAGAGGAGTTTGTCTTTTTCTTTCTTCTCGTTTTCTTCTTTTTTTTTTTGTTTATTTTTTTTTTGAGTTTTGCTCTTGTTGCCCAGGCTGGAGAGCAACGGTGCAATCTTGGCTCACTGCAACCTCCGCCTCCTGGGTTCAAGTGATTCTCCTGCCTCAGCCTCCCGAGTAGCTGGGATTACCGGCACCCGCCACCACAGCCAGCTAATTCTTTTTGTATTTTTTTAGTAGAGACGGGGTTTCACCGTGTTGGTCAGGCTGGTTTCGAACTCCTCACCTCAGGTTCTCCACCCACCTCAGCCTCCCAAAGTGCTGGGATAACAGGCGTGAGCCAGCTGGTTTGTCTGTTTTGTTCACTGCTGCATCCCTTGTGCTTAGAACAATACCTGGCATGTAGCGGTTGCTCAGTAAAGCTTAGCTGAATGAATACACAGGTATGACCCCACCACCAAACACACACACGCACACACATTATATAGTACACATATTGTTCTGTCCCCCACTTTTTCCACTTAGCAATCTTGGAGATTGTTTCTCTTAGAACATATGGAATCATCTTATTCTTCTAAACACTTTGGAGTATACGGTTGTGTGAATGTATTTAACCAGTTTCTTCTTGAGGAACTTTGAGATTGTTTCTAGTCTGTAGCCCTTGCAAACAGTGTTGCAGAGAATCCTAGACCTTTGCGAATTCACTCATCTTGCAGATGGACTCATATGACAGATGCTATCAAGTTGCTCTCTAAAAACATCACACCCGTTTACACTCTCCCCAATAGCTGGTCAGAATGCCTGTTTTCATATATCTTAGTCAACACTGTGCATTATCAAACTTTTTTTTAAATTTTACTTTAAGTTCCGGGATACATATGCTGAACTTGCAGGTTTGTTACATAGGTATGTATACATGTACCATGGTGGTTTGCTGCACCTATCAACCACCATCTAGGTTTTAAGCCCTGCATGCATTAGTTATTTGTTACAATAGCAAAGACTTGGAACCAACCCAAATGCCCATCAATGATAGACTGCATAAAGAAAATGTGGCACATATACACCATGGAACACTATGCAGCCATAAAAAAAGAATGAGTTCATGTCCTTTGAAGGGACATGGATGAAGCTGGAAACCATCATCCTCAACAAACTAATACAGGAACAGAAAACCAAACACTGCATGTTCTCACTCGTAAGTGGGAGTTGAACAACGAGAACACCTGGACACAGGGAGGGGAACATCCCACACTGTTGACAAATGGGATCTAATTAAACTAAAGAGCTTCTGCTCAGCAAAAGAAACTATCTCATGCCTGTAATCCCAGCACTTTGGGAGGCCGAGGGGGGTGGATCACAAGGTCAGGAGATAGAGACCAACCTGGCTAACACGGTGAAACCCTGTCTCTACTAAAAATACAAAAAAAATTAGCCAGGCATGGTGGGCGCCTGTAGTCCCAGCTACTTGGGAGGCTGAGGCAGGAGAATGGCGTGAACCTGGGAGGCGGAGCTCGCAGTGAAATGAGATCACGCCACTGCATTCCGACCTGCATTCCGTCTCAAAAAACAAAACAAAACAAAACAAGAAACTATCATCAGAGTGAACAGGCAACCTACAGAATGGGAGAAAATTTTTGCAATCTATCCATCTGACAAAGGTCTAATACCCAGAATCTACAAGGAACTTAAACAAATTTACAAGAGAAAACAAGCAACCCCATTAAAAAGTGGGTGAAGGATGTGAACAGACACTTCTCAAAAGAAGACATTTATGCAGCCAACAAACTTTTTAATCTTTGTTAACGTATTCGGTAAAACATTTTTACCAATTTTAATTTGCTGCTTCTTTTCATTTCTTTCACTTGTTCTCTCTATGTGAATTGCCTGTTTATGTGTTTTACTCATTAAAAAAATGAGTCCTTGGCCTTTTACTTGTGGATCACAGTCCTGTTTTCATATTAAACCCTTTATATATTAGTCCTTTGTTCATAATTTGTCTTTCAAATATTTCCCCCACCTTTTCATTTGTATTTTGATATCACTTTAGTATTTTTGGTATATGTGAAATTATAAATATTTATATAGTCAACCTTATCAATATTTTTATGTATGGCTTTTGAGTTTTGTCTTGATTAGAAGGACTTTCTACTCTCTCAGGATTATGTGAAAAGATTACCTTATGTTTATTTCTGATGCATTGAAACTTAAAAAAAATTAAATATTTTTTTTACCTGTAATTTATTTTAGTGTAAAGACATGAAGGAGGATTTAGTGTGACTTTTTTTTTCCTCTATGATTGGCCAGGTTTTCCAACAATATTTATTGAATCATCCATCTTTCCTGCAATGAGGTGAAATTTGCTTTATGCATTATTTTATATTTTCCAGTCTCTTTTGGGGCTTTCTGCTTTGGCTCATTGATGCATCTGTCTATTTATGCACCAGAATCAAATATTTTCATTAATGTAGCTTTGAAATCTCTTTTAATTTCTGGTAAGAGTAAGCACACAAGGCCTTTCTGAAGTGGTTTTTTTTTTTTTCTGATTGCTACTGAGCCTTTTGGTAAGAATGAAAGCAGTTTTAGGGGGTACAGTTGCCCTCTTTTCTTTTAGGTGCCCAGCATAGTGCATGGAATATATGCTTCTTGATCCTATTATTAACAAGCCCCATTTCCCTGCTGAAAAGTCAAACTTCATAACAAGGAGATAGTAAAATAAAAGCTAGTCATCTTTGTTCCTTCGATTCCCCTGAAGTTAGAACCCTTCCTGCAATCTGACACGTTGAAGTTGGGCTATGGCTTGGATTGTCGGTAGCAGACGCGATGGGACGGGTCAAAACTTGAATTTACCAGTGAATGTAGCAGTCTGAAGATATAAGTTTTCCACTTAAAGAGAAAGCAAAATAGAAAAAAAATGCAAAACACAAAAATGTCTGGCCCTTGGCATCATTGGCCTGCAGCTGGTGCACGTGATTCCATCAAACGTTTAAGAAAATGCAAAGCTCGTGAAGCCTGGGGCTGAGGCCGTGGGGCTGACATGATGCCAGAGCTGGTGTAGACGCGGCTTCCTCTGCTCCTTCCTGGGCTTCCTGAAGTCCCTGGACACTGATGCAGTGGGAGCTTGGTATGAAGTTAATGTTTTGAGTGGGTGAGGTGTAGGAAGCAAAAACAGATATTTAGACATTTTTTTCTTCTCTGCTTCTTTCTCATGGAATATTCCTGGCTTCCACGGGAACAGGCCCCCATTGTGTACCCCTGCCCTGGGCAGTTTGGCAAGGATGCCGTCTGTGGCCTCAGGAGAGACCATCTTTGAGAGTGTGTGAAGAGCTTGGGGAGCAGAACCCAGCTCCTCAGAGAAGCAGCTACAAGACAGCCTGAAATGTACCCACCCTGACCTGGGTGAGCCACAGGAGTTGTCTGTTGGATGCCTCTGCTATCCTCCCCTGAGCGTCTATTGCTGCAGAATCACTCAAACTTCAGGGTAGAAAGGTGCCCACAGCTTGGTACTTATAAGCCAAGATGAGCACCTCCATCCTCACACACATACCAGCGAACACAGCTGGGCATCTTCTCCTTCCTTTCTCAGAGACCACGCTAATGTGTGCCTGCAATGGAGAAGGGCAGGTGAGGGGAACTGGAAGGTTCTGTTTTGAGTGAATGAGTTATGTGTACTGTCCAGGTGGAAAGGAAGTCACCTGCTTTCAGCTCAGTGCACCCTTAGCATCCTCCCTGCAGTTCAGTGTCAACCACAGCTCACAGGTGGTTTTGCAGGACCTGCTGTAGGGGTGGGGCAGGTGGGGCAGACACCCCTGTAGGAGGCCTCGCCTGTGGGATGTCCTAATGGGCGCTGCTGCTAAACCACACCTGCCTCCTGTTTTGCTGCCCCAGGGCTCTAGCTCTGGCCATTTGAGGTCACTCCTGCCTTGCCCTCTGTGTCTCTCTTTTTAAATGCTCTCCTCTGTCACAAAAGGTCCCCTTTGTTGCTTCTGTCTTCCCAGAGCACTCCACTTTGTCATCCTCAGGGAGGACTGGGAAATTGGGGGGCAGGGTCAAAAGATGAATTGTGACGTGGCCCTCCCTAGGAGGCCAGAAGACCACGCACAATGTTCCAAGCTCTAGCCACACACATGCTTACCAAGGAGGGGCTCTTGTCGGCTGTGGGAGGGGCATCTGCTTCCCATGGCTGATGAGAAGATTCAATGCAGGCAGTAATAATGGCAATTCTGGTTGTTTCTGTTTATTGAATGCTCACTATCTGCCAGGCACTGCTCTCAACCAGTTAGTGTGTATGACTTCAATCAATCGTCACAAAACCTGTAAGCACCTATTTTTATTTTCCCTATTGTTATAGATAAATCATAGTGAAGTGCTAGGATTCAATGAGCCTGAAAGGGTGCCTATCTCGTAGTAAAATCTCAGTAAAGGTGGTGGCTGTGGCAGCCACTTGTCTTGGCTCATGGAGCCAACTAGGTAAGTCTCTTTCCAACTCTGTGTGTGTACGGTGACATTGCATTGGTAGCTTAAAATTGGCCATGGTGGGAGAATTTACACTACAGGAACTGGCAAGAGCTACAAGCTTCTTTTCTTTTTTTCTGAAGAGACCACTTCACCACCATGACTACTAATATTATACTTCTACTGACGTAGGAATAATCTTGGAATTGGTTCCTATTAAAATCAATACACTAAAAGAGAAGATCCTTCCCAAATTTCTTTTTTTTTGAGATGGGGTCTCGCTCCGTCGCCCAGGCCAGACTGTAGTGGCGCTATCTCGGCTCACTGCAAGCTCCGCCTCCCAGGTTCACGCCATTCTTCTGCATCAGCCTCCCAAGTAGCTGGGACTACGGGTGCCCGCCACTACGCCCGGCTAATTTTTTTGTATTTTTAGTAGAGACGGGGTTTCACCGTGTTAGCCAGGATGGTCTCGATCTCCTGACCTCGTGATCCGCCCGCCTCGGCCTCCCAAAGTGCTGGGATTACAGGCGTGAGCCACCGCTCCCAGACCCCAAATTTCTTTAATGGTGGAAACATGGTTCTTTGCACCCTTCTGTCACTATATTACTAATAAAATCCAATGAGAGTCTGGGCGCAGTGGCTCACGCCTGTAATCCCAGCAGTTTGGGAGGCCGAGGTGGGTGGATGACTTGAGATCAGGAGTTTGAGACCAGCCTGGCCTGCATGATGAAACTCCGTCTCTACTAAAAATACAAAAATTAGCCAGGCATGGTGACGTGCACCTCTAATCCCAGACACTTGGGAGGCTGAGGCACGAGAATCACTTGAACCCAGGAGGTGGAGGTTACAGTGAGCCAAAGCTGTGCCACTGCACTCCAGCCTGGGCAACAGAGCAAGACTCCGTCTCAAAAAAAAAAAAAATGCAATCAGGGAAGAGTTTTACTGTAATGGACTTCAACTGTGGGAGTCTTAGAGGGGGCCTATAATTAGGTGCAAATAACCCTGAAAACCCCCAGGTACAGCTTGGAACGCCACATATAATTTGTCATCACTAGGTAAGTTGGGTGTCACTGTGGCTGCCATAGCATTTTTCCTGAAAGCAAAGATGCTGTCCAATAATCCGATCATTTGAGGCAGACTGTGGAAAGAGTTCATTCCAACTCCAGGAGAGGCTGGGGAGGGAGAGGCAGCTGGACAGAAGAGATTTAGTGTGGGATAACGTGGAGCTCCTTGGATCCTGGTTCCAGTCCCATGTTGACCTGCCTGCGGGGACTCAGGAAAGTCACTTGTGATCTCTGCTTTTTTCCACAAATCAAGGGATTTGATGTAGAAAGAGCTGCAGAAGGCATCTCATCCATCATTGGCATACACAAGTGATTTGGTCACAGAATGCCCTGAAGACTATAAAGCATTGAACAGAAGCAGTCACCGTGATTTTCATGGTAAGATTTTTTTCTTATTTTTGCGTCAAGCCAAGATGCCTGTTGTAAGGAAAGAACGGTGGCTTGGTGTCTGTGTGGAATGGATAACAAGCAGAGGTGGGAGAAATGGATCTTGTGTATGTCTTGCTTGTCCAGCAACCTAATGCTTCCTGAGGACCTGTACTTACTGCGTCGGACTTCTGGGCTGCCTCCATATCCTGCACATACTCCTCCTGCTTCTTTGTAATTGTTCATTATTGTTTCTCTGTGCCCCTATATATAAGATTTGGGGGAGCAGGGCTCAAATTGTGTATTCATTTCTTCATTCGACAAACATTCATTGAAACCTACATGTCCTTCAAAGAATATCAGAGGTGGATGAAACAAAATTCTTCTTTATTAGGGGCTTGCTGGAGGGAGGACGGCAGAGAGGAAACCAGTGGAAAATAGCACAAAGCAGCATGTAATGGAGAACTTGCTAACAAGGTGTGGACTGCAAGTGTCTTAGAAGTTGTGAAAAAGAGGGATCCGTAGGGGACAAGGGAGTTGAACGACAAAGTCAGGGAATGTTGGGGTTGAAGGTGGAACTGACATGGATAATATGACTTTACTGGGAAAAGCTCACTAGAGACACAGCCCCTATGCTCATGGGAACCGTCACTTCTGATGCACCTGGAATAGTAAAAGGGGACCTGCAGGCCATGAGAGAAATAGAAGGATGTGAGTGAGATTAGAAATCCCCAAAACAAGGTGAGCAGCACGTGGAAACAGAGCACAATGCACTTAGAGGCTGAGCTGAGCTGAGGGATGCGGTGCCCACAGCCCCTGCCTAGGCTTAGGTTACCATAGGCCAGGGCTGAATAAGGGAGCAGACTATTGAGGGCACTGTGTGCTTTGCTCTGACCCTTTGGAATGGGCTGGCTGCCTTGGGAGGCACATGCCGTGCCCTGAGGAGCAGCGTGTGTTCAGAGTGACTGCCAGCAGCTGACTGCTCAGTTACGCCACTTGAGATGCAACCTGAGGCCCTGGAATCCCCGTGCTTGGAGCCCTGTGCCTGCTGGCTGAGCCAGACACACAGAGCGTCATTCCTCAGCCTTCACACTCCCCAAAGCTGGCAGCAAGCTCTAAAAGCCAGACGCCTCTCAATGGGCGCCCAGGTAGTCCAAGCACCTCCCCACATGGTAGTGAGTATCCTGTCCTAAAAGCAACTCAAAAAAGCCATTTGGTGGGTGTGTCCTAGAGGGGCTTCCAGCATCAGATCCGTGAAGGGTTTAACGGCTAGGAAGGTTGCTTCTAATGCTGAAATTCAATCCTTCTGCGAAAGTGCATTTGTGATGGCTAGAGGTATTTATAGACCAATAATCCATAGAGTCCTGTGAGGCAGTGGAGGTGAATTTGCTCCAGAGGCCGCCTCTAGCTTCTGCACTGGACTCTACCTCACCTTGGTGCTCCTTGGTGCTACAGTGCACTTTTAGGATAGCACTTTCCACGTGACGTTCAGTCATCTGTTCATGAGACTCTCTCCTGCAAATACACCAAAGCCCCTTAAGGGCAAAGACGGTTTTTTTTTTTTTTTCCCTCTCACTTTTGTACTCCCAGCTCTTACCACCGTTCTTTGAATATAGGAGTTCTCCACTAATGATTCGGGAACAGAATCAAACCAGGCCAGGGGCCAAGCAGCCACCAAAGACTGTCCTTCTGGCCACTCTGCTCACTGCCCCCATGTCAAAATATAAGAATTTTAATCCCCCAGGAGGGGAGCGTCAGGAAAATAACCCCGTGATCTGCTTTCTTGGGAAGCATAGCCTTGAAGCAGGAACACGGAGCTTTCGGGAAGATGCACGGCCCTGCTAGCTCAGATCTTCCTTCTCCAAGAGGTGGTTTCCCACAGAGACAGCCAGATCTGTGGGACATTTAGACCCTCATGGCCTCTTTCAGGAAGGAGCTGGTTCTCTTACTTGGCTTCATTTTGAAATGCTAATTTGGTACACACAGGACTCTGCCAGAGCATCCAAGCCAGAGTTCGATCTGCTTCAGAGCACTTCTTGTTTTCAATGGCTGGAACATCCTCTCTGGAGATGACACCCCTCTTAGGTTAAAGTGTGTTCCTTATTGTGTTGAAGATGATCTTTCTCATTAGGAATGAACTATAGACACACATGTCCACCTTCAAGCAGCAGTTACGACCTTGAAATCACGGGTATGTTGAGTATCTGTACTGTATAGTTGAGTACCTGTGTAAATGAGTTTTCCATGTATATAATCTTATAAAAATATATGCATGGAAAACTAATTAGCTAAACCAGTGGAATTAATGTATATATTCTTGTATGCATGCATGCATTTATTTTTTGTAATCATGGAGATCTTTTACCAAATAAAATCCTGTGTGGGAGCTTGTTGTACCAAACAAGTGATAGATGACGTCTCTGCTCCAAGCCAGGGTGAGCTGGAGAGGAAAGAGCGGGGTGCTTCTGGCATCTGCTCCAATCCTTTCTCCTTTTTCCCTGGAGTTGGCCACAGGAGCCTGTGCGGGAAATCCAAGCATGCCCTGGGGCCTCTGAATGAAAACCACTAGTTTTAAGAAGCCCTACAATTATGAATCCTTTAAGACATGATTTAAAATGTTTTTCAAATGTAAATTGCTATTCTCATGAACCACATTCCCCTCAGTATTTCACTCCAGTAACTTGGGTTTTAATGCAAATCTTTTGCTGCACCTAAATGGCTAGAAGACATGGGAGCTCCTTCATCCGGATCAAAGCAGCATGTCCTTCCATGATAATGCAGTCCCTCCTCTCAACTTTCCTCAGGCCGAACCTCTCTGTGCCCCTTTGTCCAGCTGTCCATCTCCGCCCCACCCTTCAGCTAAGTGACTCTGCATGGCCTGAATGTACCTTTCATTCCTCAGTCTCTCCAGCTACAGACCGTTCCCTCAGAATCTGTAGCAGAGAACCCACGCTTTAAGGAGCAGATGTGTCCCCATGAGGGTTGGAGGAGTCCCCTAAGAAAATGAGTCCACGGCCCAATTCTGTCCAAGGGCAGGACGGGGCAGGAGCAGGAAGCTGTCTGCAGGACCATACACAGCGTCCTGGCCCACTTGTGGCCCTCCAGGGAAGCAGATTTAAAGCAACATCAGCTTCAAGGAAGGGGTTTGAACCCACCCATGAGTCTCTGCTCCCTCCTCAATCCCTACTGAATTCAGCAGAGAAACAGAAGCCTAGGACAAAACTCTGTGCTGGCTGAAAACAGGGAAGGGTGAAATCACCAAGCCTGAGTTCTGGGGAATTTCTGCAAATTCCTCAGATGAGGGCAGAATGGCCTGGACAGCTGCAAAGTGAGCACGTGTGAAAGAAAAGGGAGGGGCCCCCAGAGTGACCGCCAGTCACTCTGGGGCTGGCACCAAGGGTGTGCGCCGGCCATGGGGCTGTCAGTGCGCATGGTGGTGGAATTGTGTCTCCTCCACCCCAGATTGGCACGTGGAAGTCCGAACCCCCAGTACCTCAGAAGGTGACTTCATTTGGAGATAGGGTCTCTATAAATGTGATCAAGTTAAAGTGAGGTCATTGGGGTGGGCCTTAATCCAGTGTGACTGGTTTCAAACAAAGGGGAAATTTGGACACAGAGACAGACATACAGGGAGAAGGCCATGCCGTGATGAAGATGGATCCATACGCCCGGACAGGGGCCCGGAACAGCTCCTTCCCACAGTCCTTAGAAAGGACCTGCCCTGCCAGCATCTTGATCTTGGACTTCCAGCCTCCAGAATTGTGACACAGCCAATTTCTGTTGTTAAAGCCAGCCAGCTTGTGTCAGTTTTACAGCAGCCTTAGGAAACTAATCCAGATGGGTACCCTGGACCGGCACCCAGGATGCCAGTGACGTGGAAATACTGTTGCTGGGGCTCACGATGAGATGGTGGAGTCCCTGGAAAGGGGCTGCAGAAAACCAGTGAAGAACGACATTGCTCTTGAGGGCTGGGCCTCTGGTTTTTGTCTCCGGGGATGGATTAGTTGAGATGAGATTTTCAGCTGAAGCAAGAAGGCCCAGATTTAGTAGAATCACACTGGATTAGGGCCCATCCCAATGGCCCATCTGACTGCCCTTCACTGCTCAGCAAAGACAGGGTGGGGCTGTCTCCTGATCTTGCCAGATGAGGTGGAGTCCTAGGGAGTTCTCAGCTGACTGGATTTCCAATTTTGCAAAACAAAATTTCAGATCCAACTAAATTTGGGCCTTCTTGCTTCAGCTGTAAGTCTCATCTCAGCTAATCCATCCCCAGAGGTACAAACCAGAGCCCCAACCCTCAAGAGCAATGCCTGTCTTCACTGAAGGTTTTCTGGAGGAGGAGGCAAAGTGCGTGCTCTGCTACAGTTTCTTTTGATGAATGAGGTCTCCACTTCTTCCACTTCCCTTCTCTCCTCCTGCTCCAAAGGCCACAAGACAGAGCAATTGCTCAATGCCTTCTCTCTCTCTCTCTCTCCTCTCTACTTCTTTTCCCCCCTAAAATCCCAGCTGCACCTCTTCTGCCCTACTTTCCCTCCCCTTCTCTGTTCCAGCTCTGTCCACTTCCTTCCCCATTTTGTGTATTTCCCCCGTTTTTGCTAGCGTTATGCTCTTCCGTATGCAGATCAATTTAGCTTCTCTTTGCTTTTTCTAGTCTCTTCTGCAGCCTTTGTTTCAGTAAGAACAACAAAGGCAGCGCCAGGAATCAGCTGGACCAGACTAGAGAAGATTCCTTCCTCATTTTAAGGAGGAGGTTGCAAAGGCATCATTTTAAAAATATAAAATTATATTTATGTATGTATGTTTTTTAGTCCCGGTCACATAGGAAAAATATAAACTTTACCTTTTCTCTTTGTTTAGGCCTAAAATGTTCCTGTACAGAAGGCTTTAGTCTCAGAAAAAACTTTGAGTTCCCCAACCAGAAACATATAAACCTCTTTATTTTTATTTATTTATATTATTTTAGACAATATTTCGCTCTGTCACCCAGGCTGGAGTGCAGTGGCGTGATCACGGCTCACAGCAGCCTCGACCTCCCAAGCTCAAGTGATCTTCCCACCCTAGCCTCCCGAGTAGCTGTGACTACAGGCATGCACCACCATGTGCAGCTATTTTTTTTTTTTTTTTGGTCGAGACGGGGTCTTGATGTGTTGACCAGGGTGGTCTCGAACTCAAGTGATCCTCCTGCCTCAGCCTCCCAAAAGTGCTAGGATTACAGGCATGAGCCACTCCACCCAGCCGTAAACCTCTTTAAATGGCTACCAAACTTAACTACCATCTTCTCTCAATGCCACTGTTTCCTTTACAACATTTTCCGTTTTTGATTTAACATATAATATGTGTTTCCTTTAGAAAAAATGCACAGAGAAGCTAAAAGAAAAGAAAATTAATTCCACTACTTAGAGATCATCACTGCTAACACCTTGGTATATATCCTTTTAGATTTTGTTTTATTGAAATATACACATGAATATATATTAATCTGCCCAAGAATATATATTTATAAAAGTGGGATTAAACACATACTATTTACATATTTATGAAAATGGAATGAAATACATACTCCTTCATAAGCCCTGCCGTCTTTCCACATCAACACATTTATTTAAAGCATCATTTTCAGTGGCTGCCCAAGTCATGGTGGAGGATCAGAGGCAAATCCTCTTCTTGATGAGGATGAGGAGTGAGGATAGGAGAAGGAATTAGAATCCGTGGCATTGCCAAGCCTGGATGCGCAGGTGCTCATGAAATAATTGTTGATGGATTAAGCAAAACATTAAAGGAAGATTTCTCAAAGAGGACAGCTAATTTATTCGGGATGAATTATAACTTTTTTAATAGAAGGATTTTAGATCGTGGGAGAGTTGGCCTGAACTGCCTTGAAGCATAATATTTCCCAGCAACTCTGCTCACTCAGGCATGCAGACTCATTTTAAATTTGAGTTTAAAAGTCCTACATCTAACGGCCAGCTGCCAGAACTCACTAATGAGGGTGTCCGTGAATCTGGAGGGCCTCTTCACGGAGATGGCATTTGGGTGAAACTCTCAGGCTTGTTCTACGGATTCAAGATATTCACTAAATCTGGACATACTTGAGGAACCACCCACACTTTAGGGAACTTTTTAAACCAAACTTTCTGGGATTTATGCATCACCACACAAAAATTTCCCATGACTTACATGACCAAGAGGGAAAACAATGCTGGTTTTCATAAACACTCAAATCTCTTGGCTCAGGACACAGTGGCTGAGGAGACACCATGAACTGAGCAGAATCATACGGGCAGCCACACGTTCTCAGCTGCGGTCGGGTGCAGAGGCACCGGCGCTGCCGTCTGGCACAGGTCTGCGGGATGGCCGTGGCGGTGCATCAGAGCAGGGTGGTAGAGGTGCTGTGTGTCTTAGTAAATGGCCTGGGGCTGGAAATTATTGCTGAGATAGCTGGCGTTTTTAATGCGTATTCCAGGCAGTCTGGGGGCTTCCGGCCAACCTATGTGAACTTAAGGGAAACAAAATCATTCTCTTTTGAAATGCCTCCATTACCAAAAACGGACTCTTGTTATCTTGAACTCAGTCATGATCAGATGACGGAAAAATCTCAGCCTGGCAGTTCCCTTCTCCTAACTACTGTCTCAGAGATTCTCAATGGAAGCATCATGAAGTTATCTCCTTTCGGTGGCCAACTGCTTGGAGTGCAGATAGGTTCCCTGCCCTGCCCTACGCAGGGGGTTCTTCATGCCCTTCCCATGAATTAGGAAAACTGGGGCTATTTCAATGGTACAACAGGGTTGGTCTATAAAAACCCCTTTCGTTTGCCAAAACAAACAAACAAACAAACAAACAAAAAAAACCTTTGTATCTCTGGTGATACGGTATAGAAGAATATGTCCCCAAAAGCCCACCGCATCTCGCACCCTAAGTAGATTCGATTTGCTGACCCTGGGATCTGTCCTTGCCTTCTCCATCCCCTTTCAGCCCTAGGCATTCATGCCTCCTTCTAGCGCTTTCACTTCCCTAACCCCTACATTTACCAACAATTTTGATCAAAGCTAACTTTGTAATCACAGGTTAATTTCACCTTTGGGTGGCACAAGAGCTCCACCTGGGTACTCAGTGTGCTGGGGATGACTGGGGTGCAGCACAGGCACCAGGCACCAACCTGGCCCCCACCTTCCCCGGCACCCAGCACCTCACCAAGGACCACTCTCTGCTCCTGCTTCCCTTACAGGTTATTTACCCAGGTGCTGGAAGTCTGGTTCCTTCTAATGGGCTCCATAGCTTTTTGGTTCACCTCCTTGAACAGGGTGAACTGTAAAAGAGAGGCACCGATCTTTAGGTCAAAAGGCTCTGACTTTTTTTTAATTTTTAGATTTAAAAAATTGTGGTAAAATACACATGACATAAAATTTACCATTTTAAACATTTTTATTTTTTTAGAGATGAGGTCTTGCTATGTTGCCCTGGGCGGAATGCAGTGGTATTTACAGATGCATCCCCAGTACTGATCAGCATGGGAGACTTGACCTGCTCCGTTTCCGACTTGGGCGGGTTCACCCCTCCTTAGGCAACCTGGTAGTCCCCTGCTCCCAAGAGGTCACCATATTGATGTGGAATTTAGTGCGGACACCCAATTGGCATAGCCCAGAACTATAGCCTAGATATCCTGGGCTCAAGCGATCCTCCCACCTCAGCCTCCTGAATAGCTGGGACCACAGCTAGGTGTGTGCCACCTTACCTGGCCATCTTAATTATTAAGTACATTCATATTGTTGTGCAACCGTCACTGCCACCCAGCCATAGAACTCTTTTTATCCTCCCAAACTGAAACACCAGAGCTCCTAAACAATTCTCCACTCCCCTCTCCCCCAGGCCCTGGCAACCACCATCCTACTTTCTCTACGAGTTTGGCTACTCAGTATGTGTCATATGAGTGGGATCATATAGCATTTGTCCTTTTGGGTCTGGGTTATTTCACTTAACATAGTGTCCTCAAGGTTCATCCAGGTTGTAGTGGATGTCAGAATTTCCTTCCTTTTTTTTTTCTTTTGAGACAGAGTCTCATTCTGTTTCCCAGGCTGGAGTGCAGTGTGGGATCTCGGCTCACTGCAAACTCCACCTCCTGAGTTCAAGCAATTTTCCTGTCTCAGCCTCCTGAGTAGCTGGAATTCAGGCTTGCACCACCATGCCCGGCTAATTTTTGTATTTTTAGTAGAGACGGGGTTTCACCATGTTGGCCAGGCTGGTCTCAAACTCTTGACCTCAGGTGATCCGCCTGCCTCGGCCTCCCAAAGTGCTGGGATTACAGGTGTGAGCCGCCATGCCCGGCAGAATTTCCTTCCTTTTTAAGGCTGAATAAGATTCCATTGCATGAATATGCCACATTTTGTTTATCCACTCATTGTTGATGAACACTTAGGGTATTCCACCTTTTGGCTATTGCGAATAATGGTGGTATGAATATGGGTGTTCAAATATGGACCTAAACTATGAGATCATTGTAGATTCACATGCAGTTATAGGAAATAATATAGGGGAGTGTGTGTGTGTACATGTATTTAGTTCTGTGCAATTTTATACTTGTGTAGGGTCATATGGCCATCACCAAAATCAAGATACAGAGCAAGGATCCTTTGTGTTGACAAGGCCCCCAAATTCAGCCCTAAATTTTAGCTTCCATTTCTAAAGGGCGAGAAGCAATAAACAGCTCAGCCCCTCCTTTGGAGCATCGTGTTCTAGGTTTTCTGGGGCATACCACAGTGGTAGCAGTGGAGAGACCTGGGCCTAGGCTGATGGCTTCTCGTTCCATGGTTTAAACTGGGGCAATGAATTCAGCTGCACATTCAGGGCAGTGAATGGAGCAGGGGATGGGGGTGTGGCCTCTCATGTCCAACAGCATCCCCAGCCAGTCCTCCCACTTCACATCCCATGTCCTGGATAGTGACCACCAGGCTCATGCCATCCGTCCCCACACTGCTAGCCAAATCTCAGCCAATGCCATCAGAATTGCACCCCAAAATGAAATGCTTCCACTAGAACAGTGCGGTCTGATGAGAATAAAACGTGAACCACATAGGTAATTTTAAAATAGTTTCCTTAAAATTAAAAATAGGTAAAAGTAATTTTAATAATCCGTTGTGTTTAATCCAATACATAAAAAATATCATTTCGACCTATAATCAACAGAAATATTTTCAGTGAGGAATTTTAAATTTTTATATCCTTTTTCCCCCTCCATACTATGTCTGATATCTGGTGCATATTTTGCACTTACACCAACCATGTCTCCGTTTGGTCGAGTCACACACTTCAGGGACTCAATAGCCCACATGGGTTGGTCAGCATAGTTGCAGATTCAAGCTCTGCACAATCAAACTGGGACCACCTGTTGTCCCAGGAACTTCTTAACTCCTCTGATGGCAGCATCTGCCTTGATCAGCACTCAGGTAAGCCGCGCCATGGACCAGCTGGTGGTGGGGAAAAGGCCAACTTTGCTTTTAGGGGTTTGTTATTGTGGGAACCCGCTGCTTATCAGCAGCTCTAGGTGGTCCACCTGCTTTGTGGCGCCAACATGGGAACTTGTTTGGAGGGTCAGAGAAGAAGCACTTGGCCCTCAAAGCGTGTTGACACCTTTGAGGAGGGCGGACGCCAAGTCAGCAGGCAGCAGCTTGTAGGAGAATTAAAATAGAATTCTGAACTTTTGGATAGAAGTGGATTTCTGGCACTTGGCATAGTTCCAGAATGAACTCCGGAGGTTGGAGTAGTTTCCTGGATCCAGGGGGCTTGGGAATTCCATATGAGTCATCTGGGCTGACCTCATAAGTGCCCCAGGGTGAGGGGCAGTCTTCTGTCCCCCCAGGCACTTCTGTTCAAGTATTCTGCCCAGGAGTTGGCATGGCCACCCACGTCCAGCCACCTCAAGAGATAGATAGAATACCAGCAGCCCACAGGCGTCCCTTGTCAGCAAAAAGCACCCTGGAAATGGGTGGCTGGATAAAAGGTCCTCTGTCTGTTGTTGGCTGGGACAGCGTCTACCACAGCCTACACTTTGATTATGGGAATATTTCCCTATATGCTTAATGCTCCTGAGAGAAGTGCACATTTTCTGCTAAATGTGTGGCTTCATGGGCTTGCAATTGATGGCTTTCCTTGGAGAGGCCTTCATGCTTCTATTTGGAGTCTGACTCCTACCTTTCCACCCTCAGCCTGGCTAGGCCTGAGCAGGTACAGAAAGTGATCCGACCTAGTGAATGGGAAGGTGTACACAGACAGAATCTGTATATTTTGCATATACTGCATTCAACAGAATACAGTCATGCATCGTGACATTTTCATTAATGATGGACCACATAACAACGGTGGTCCGGTAAGATGATAAGGGATCTATACCATCTAAGTTTGTGTGCGTACACTCTACGGTGTTTGCACAACAATGAAATCATCTAATGACGTATTTTTTAGAACATGTCCCTGGTGTGTCTGTAAATTAAGGCCAATTTCATCTGTTTCTTTTTATCTTTTTAATGTGGCTCCTTGAAGGCTTAAAACTGCACACATGGCTTGTGTTGTATTTGTGTTAGGCAACACTTTTCCAGTGGACGTGAAATGTTATGATACACTGGGCTGGGAGTCACTGCATCCGAGTTCCAGTGTCATCTGTCGCACTAACAAACCTGGAAAACTTTGAGTAAATCTCTTCTCTGGGCCTCCGTTTCCTCATCTGCAGAACAGGAGAGTTGAACTAGATAATATCCAACCTACCGGCAACTTTCGACTTTTCTGCTACCCAGATAATGGGTAAGTTAGAAAGAAATGACAGTTGGCACAGCCAGTCTCCATTCCTGCAGAAAGACAGGGCACGTGCTCACACTGTCTGATCAAAGGTTAAACAGCATGGCACTGCTAAATGGAGGAGCACAGAGGGCAGTCTTTGATTTATTCATTAGCCACTGCCCACTGAATTCCCTAAAGACTACTCTCTCTTTGGCAACCTGGGCTCCTGAGTCTCCTTACATACCCATGCCCAGGAGGTGCGATGGGCCGAGGGGCTGGGCTGAGAAATCCTCCGTCCCCGCGGCCAGCTCGTAAATGCAGGGCCCTGTTTCTCAGAAATCAATTTCGGGGCAAGCGGGGCAAGGCATTAACTGTCTCTTCCAGGAACACTTCACAGAAAGTCTTTTAAGAGCTGGAGAGGAGCGGCTGCGTCTGGGCTCTCGCATTGCTTATGCATGCAAACATTGAAATTAATATTTCAGATGAGCAAATAGAAGAACGCAAATCACTCACTGGCCTCTCCTCTGCATCACAGAAGCCTGCAACTGTTTCTCCTTCCTCAATCCCAATCTCGTTTCTGGCGGCTTTGTCGGGATTCCCTTCCCATCTTGCCACTTCCTTGCTTTACAAACATCTGATGGTTTCTCTTTCCCTGGGAACAGAATCTAGTCTGGTGTTCCAGTTTCCCCTCTGCCATCTCACCCCCATTTTCCTGCCCAGGCCTCCCTCCCCTGGCCCCAGCTCCCCCAGGTGACTTGCTTTTCCTGGACCTTGCCCAGCCCAACCACGAGCCCTGGCTCATGGGGTCCCCTCTGCTGGACAGGACCTTTCTTCCACCAGCAGCCCTGCAGTCTCCTCTGTCTCCGGGTTCCCAGTTTAGGTGACACAGGTTTCCTCTGTAAATAGCTGGCCTTACGGTGCCTCACTCTCTGATCCTTGCTGTCCCTGCTTCATTTTATTAATCCTTCCAACCACCATGCCAGGTGGGGACTCTCACGAGGGAAATAGCAGATCAGGGAGGTTGGAACCCAGCCAGTCCACTCTGGAGCCCACACAAGTAACCCCTGTGCTGACTCGCTTCTCCTGGGGATTTCTGTCTCTTTCTTTGCGTTCCTGCAGCATTTTCTGTGTCTCTGTTGTAGCGCTTGTGTTAGTTTGCCAGAGCTGCCATCCAAAATACCATAGATGGGCGGCTAGAGTATTTTATAAAACAGAAATTTATTTTCTCACAGTGCTGGACACTAGAAGTCCAAGAGTGAGGTGTCAGCAGGTTTTTGAACCATTTTCTGGAAGCCTCTCTCCTTGGCTTGTAGATGGCATCTTCTCCCCGTGTCCTTACATGCTCTGCCCTCTGTGTGTGTCTGTGTCCTAATCTCCTCTTCCTATAGGGACACCAGTCATATTGGATCGGGGCCCACCCATAAGATCTCATCTTAACTTAATTGCCATTTAAAGACCCTGTCTTCAAATACAGTCACATTCTGAGGTATTGGAAGTTAGAGCTTCAACATGAGAATTTGGAGTAGGTGACACACTTCAGCCCATAACAGTACCAATGACAGTTAACTTTAAACTGCAGTGAGTTGGGTGAGTGCCTGTTCCCCTTCTGGCTGATAGAGACTGCATCTGAGTCAGCCCTGTGTTCTTCCCTGGGTTAAGTTCAGCTCAGCACTATTAAGGGGACACCCCCTTTTCTGAGAGTCTGGACCTTATGGGCCAAGATAACCAGGTGGTTATATTTGTATGGTGGGAGGATGGGTTGTGTCTTTTTGCTTACCTGTCTCTGTGTGATTGAACATAGGAATGCAGGAGAGGAGGTTCAGGCTGACACAGCATTCGCTGCTCGGCTTTTAGCTAGAAGAGACATTTCAGGAGGCCTGGGGATCTGGTAGGCTTTGAGCATAGGCCTGAGAATAGGGAGAGGGTGGCTGGGGGCTGAGCTCCAGGCAGAGGTGTGCACCCATGACTCAGGAGTGAAGAGAGGCCCTGGTGGGTTTGTAGGCTGCTACGGTGCCTGAGATATGTGTGTGTGTTGGTACAGGGCAGTGAGGGGCCAGAGAGTAACACCTGAAATCATCAAGTATAGCTGTGGCTAGGTTTGAGATGCTATGGGAGTCAGCCAAAGGCGCTGGGTTTTCTTGAGTACTTATTGTACACAAAGTCCAATTATAGAGACAGTTTGAGGAGCAGGGCAGTGCACTGGCAGTGAGCAGTGCTGAGAAAGGACTGGTGAATTCAAGGTGCTGCTGGCCCCTTCCTCAAGTTTGTGGAGTGCAGTTTCCTGGAAGAGGCATCTTCAGTTCTCACGGTCGCCTTTTTTTAAGTAAAGAAGATAGAGCGAGTCCTGCAGAATTGCTCCTGGGGTTCCCTGTCTTGGTAAATGTCACCACACAGATGCCCAAACCAGAAACAGGACCACCATCCAGCCACCTCCCTAAACCTCATCCCCCTTAGTGAATCCATCACCAAATCCCACTGATTCTCCCCCTCTGAAGATCTGAGAGTCCAGCTCCACTGTATTCCCATGTGCAGGCCACCGTCTTCTCTCCCTGGGACCACTGCTGAGGTCTCGTCTTCCTGCCACGACCTGGACCCCTCTCCCTGCAATTCATTTTGCACTCAGCTATCAGAGACATTTTCCAAAATTTAAATTATGTCCCTATATAGGACTGCCTGGTGGCTCTCCGTTGTTCTCTGGGCTAGGTTCACACTCTTTGTTGACCCTTAAGCCTGTGCGAGCTGCAGCTCCCTCATCTCCCATCATTCCACCACAACCCTCCAGTGGGCCACATGGAACAATGCTGGAATTCTAGGTTCAGCTCCGGCCTCTTGCTGCCTCCTCTGCTTGCCTAAGTCTCACTCATCATTCACAACAGATGCCACCTTTCTTTGGAGTCAGCCTTGATCCCTAGACTGGGATCACATGAGAGGGGCCTTCAAAAAGTTCATGGAAAGTGGGTATGGTGAAAAAACTATGTACGAATTCAAAATTTTTTGGCATCAAAAGAAACTTGCACTAACTTGTTATGATGTGCGTGAACACGATCTAGTTTGAGGCAGTAAGAAGAGTAAGACATCAGTTTGAAAGGAGCCTCCACCAGAGCAACATGAATTCTATTAAAATTGAAACAAAAAAACAAAAAAACAGACAAAAAGAACCCCATTAAATGTATGGTAATGTTTGGGTGGAAAAATGATTAAATCATTGATTTTTTTAATGAAGAGTTTATGGGAACAATGCCCCAAAGCAATCACCAGTTTACAAATGGATAAATTGTTCTAAGAAGGGATGAGATGATGTTGAAGAAGAAGCCCACGGTAGCAGACAATCCACATCAGTTTTCAAAGGAAAAATTAATACCGTTTGCGTCCTAATTGAAGAGGACTGATGAATAACAGCAGAGACGATAGCCAAAGCCAACACCATAGATATCTCAAAGGTTCAGCTTATACAATTATGACTCAAAAATTAAAGTTGAGCAAATTTCCATTTGATGGGTGCCAAAATTGTTGTGCCCAGATCAGCTGAAAACAAGGGCAGAGCTTTCAATGGAAATTTTAAACAGGTGGGATCAAGATCCTGAAGCATTTCTTCAAATACTTATAACAGCAGATAAAACACAGCTTTACTAGAATGATCCTGAAGACAAATTATAATCAGAGCAGTGGCTACCAAGAGGTGGAAGGGGGCCAGTCAAAGCAAAAGCGGACCAGTCAAAGGCAAAGGTCATGGTAACAATATTTTTTGGATGCTGAAGGCATTTTGCTTGTTGACTTTCTGGAGGGCCAAAGAACAATAACATCTGCTAACTATGAGAGTGTTTTGAGAAAGCCAAAGCTTTAGCAGAAATACGCCTGGGAAAGCTTCACCAGAGAGTCCTTTCTACCATGACAATGCTCCTGCTCATTCCTCTCACCAAACAGGGAAATTTCGTGAGGGTTTCGATGGGAAATCATTAGGCATCTACCTTACAGTCCTGATTTGGCTCCTTCTGTCTTTGTTTTTTCATTCCCTAATTAAAAAAAATGTAAAGGGCACCCATTTTTCTTCAGTTAATAATGTAAAAAGACTGCATTGGGGCCGGGTGTGATGGCTTATGCCTGTAATCCCAGCACTTTGGGAGGCCGAGGCAGGTGGATCACCTGAGGTCAAGAGTTTGAGACCAGCCTGGCCAACATGGTGACCCCATCTCTACTAAGAATACAAAAAATTAGCTGGGCATTGTGACGGGCGCCTGTAATCCCAGCTACTTGGGAGGCTGAGGCAGGAGAATGGCTTGAACCCAGGAGGCGGAGGTTGCAGTGAGCCAAGATCATGCCATTGCACTCTAGCCTGGGTGACAGAGTGAGACTCTGTCTCAAAAAAAAAAAAAAAAAAAAAAAAAAGACTACACTAACATGGTTAAATTCTCAAGACCCTCATCTCTTTCTTTCTTTTTTTTTTTTTTTTGAGACGGAGTCTCACTCTGTCACCCAGGCTGGAGTGCAGTGGCGCAATCTCGGCTCACTGCAAGCTCCACCTCCTGGGTTCATGCCATTCTCCTGCCTCAGCCTTCCGAGTAGCTGGGACTACAGGCGCCCGCCACCACGACTGGCTAATTTTTTGTATTTATTTTTTTAGTAGAGATGGGGTTTCACCGTGTTAGCCAGGATGGTCTCGATCTCCTGACCTTGTGATCCGCCCACCTCGGCCTCGCAAAGTGCTGGGATTACAGGCTTGAACCACTGCGCCCGGCCAAGACCCTCATTTCTTTAAGGATGGACTAAATGGCTGGTATCATTGCTTACAAAAGTGTGTTGAACTTGATGGAGGTTATGTTGAGAAATAAAGATTACATTTTTAACATTTATGTTTTAATTCCATTTTTTCCACGAACAGTTTGAAGTCTCCTGGTACTTGTCTCTAGCACCCTGGCATAACACTTGCCACACAGAGGATACCCATTTACCTGGTTGCATCTTCTATAGCTTCTAATCTCCTGTAGTACAGGGCCAAGGCTACTTGCTTTTCTTGAACCCCCAGCATCTAACCACAGAGTTTGCATAGAGAAGGGACTCAATGCATACTTAAGAAATGAGCAAATTGATCATGCACTCCAATGTGAGACCACAGTCACCCTGTTCCTGCTTTCTTGGGTCCGAATTTTGGGATGCTGCCCTCCCTCTAATGGATCTGATTAAATCTGGGGTCTCAGTTCAGGTTATTTATTTATTTATTTATTTATTTATTTATTTATTAGTAGTAGTAGTAGTATTGAGAACAAGTCTCACTCTGTTGCCCAGGCTAGAGTGAGTGCAGTGGCAGGATCTTGGCTCACTGCAACCTTCACCTCCCGGGTTCAAGCAATTCTCATGCCTCAGCCTCCTGAGTAGCTGGGATTACAGGTGCATACCGCTACGCTTGGCTAATTTTTGTGTCTTAGTAGAGATGAGGTTCTACCATGTTGCCCAGGCTGGTGTCGAACTCCTGGGCTCAACTGATCCACCCGTCTCAGCCTCCCAAAGTGCTGGGATTACAGGCATGAGCCAGGAAGTCTGGCCAGTTCTGGTTATTTGAATCAAGGCCCAAACTCTCCACCAATCAAGGCCCATAACTCCAACAATATAGGTAGAAGGAAGGAATAACCCGCCAACCTGGGTCAGTTCTTCCTTGCCTGTCTCTGGGGCACCTGGCGGATTAGAGCACAGTGTATACCGGATGTGTGCATGGGGAAGGGCAGGAGCTCAGAACAGAGCTGGACCTCGGCAGTTCTCCCTAATGTTCAGAAATAGATCCGATACCAGGGTGTCATCAGTCAGTGTAGGCCCAGGGGTATGAAGCTCTTCTTACTGAGTGTCTTAACCCCAAGCATCTTCTGTTTTCTCTGGGGGAAATAAGAACATCAGGCTGAGGGCTGCGTTTGTCTGATTGACACCGTACCTCCATATCCCAACACAGACCCAATGGGAAACGTGTGACACGACAGAGGACGTAGCTCAATGAATGTACTTCATAACTTGCCAAGTGGGAAAGAGTGAAGGGACACCAGTTTCTCTCCCCAGGGCTTTGGCCAGCCCTGGCAGACAGAACAAGACACTGGAGGAAGCTCAGTGACTCACGTGGCCCTGGAATGGCTCACAGTCAACAGAGGCTGCTGAGACATCCGTTAAAAGCCATCTCTGTGTGTGTCTAGAGAGCTGCACTCTGTAGTGGCAGGCACAGTGACCAGGAGTCTATTATACAGCCGGGGAGGGGAGGTACATTCAGGGGAGAGAGAACATGGCAGCAAAGAGCAGACGGTCACTTGGGATTCCCAGTTAAAGAGGCAGCTTGGCCACATGTTTGTGGAACTCTATCAACATTACAGAGAGGGGTTAAGGAACAAAAAGGCAGAAAGCTGCGAGGATACAGAAAAGGAGGGTGGAGTCAGTTGCAGCAGCTTTTTGGAAGGTATAAAGCACATGGACAAATAGCAACTGATTTAGCAGATGTAGAAAGCTCCTTGCTAACCATGAGTGAAGAAAGACAAAAAGCAGGTCCAATTTAGACCACAGAACCCTCTAATGGCCCAGGAATGGCAGCACCATGTGCCCTTAGAAGCAGAGGTCAAAAAAAGGGAACATGCCTTGAAAAACTGTTTAAGAAAATGTTAGAGACCCCCCCCCACCATTTCCTCCTCCATCTGCACAGCCAGGACACTGCCTGTACCCCGTGCTGATAGGAAACCAGACATTATTTTTCCTTCTGGAGATGGTGAAACTGAAGGTCTCTGGGCTGAGCGACACCGGGCACAATGAACCAATTCTCAAATGGCTGTTTTGGAACATTTCCCAGTGGCGGTGAGCTGAGTCCTGCAGGAGATGGTGGCCCTGAATTGATGAAGAGGGAGGAGGTTTTATAATGGGGGAAGTGACTCATGACAAAGCACAGATGCCAGAAAAGACCAGTTGTCTGCGGTGGTTGTTAATGAGATGGGCTTGGCTGGTGCTAATGGAGACAGTGAGAGGTGACAGGAATGAGAGATGAAGGTGAACTGGGATCTGAGGACAGTGATGAGGCTCAGACGGGGGATTGAAGATCTCTGCTGGGTTCCGAAGCAAGAAAGCAAAAGACTGAAGCAGCCTTTGATGAAGACGTTTCTGCACCTGAATGTGTAGATTGGGGTCTGGAGAAGCTGGTAGCAGGGACCCCAGGAAAAAGCCTTTGACTATAACCAAGGGATATGGCAACGAAGGGCTAGGACAGGGGTGGGGTGGTGGTGAGAGCAAGCACACTGGCAAACCCTTCGCCTGGCCATGGCAAGTGCTTGCCCATTCCCGTGACTCTGCTCATTTGCTCTCCAAGGACACTGCTGCTCTTCATAAATGCAAATATTTTTGGCAGGTCAGAACACTAGATTTATGAAAGCAAAATCTCAGTTCTTTGAATTATTGAAGGAATCCTTGCCAAAAAATGAACTTGAATTTAAACAGAAAATACATACGGTCTTAAGAGACTTCTTGATCTGTTATCAGTCTTCAACCAACCACAGAGAACTGAATGTGCTGTTCCCTCACATTCAGAGGGGCAGAGCCTGTCCAGAAAGGCAGGGCGTCACCCTTCCCCCACCCCAGTTATTAGGTCTGCAGCCTCCCCTAGATCCTCTCTGCCCTATCCTCTCCCACCCTTCCTTCAGGCCCGACTGTCTCCTCTCTAACGCTGACCCTGAGTCCCTCAGCCCGAGTCAGCACAAGGCTTACCAGAGCACCTTTTGGCAGGTATTAAGTGCATAAGAAACCCAGTTTTTTTCTTTTTTCTTTCTTTCTTTTTGTTTTCTTTTTCTTTTTTCTTTTTTCTTTTTTTTTTTTTTTTGAGACAGGGTCTCACTGTGTTGTCCAGGCTGGAATGCAGTGGTGCAATCTCAGCTAACTGCAACCTCCATCTCCCGGGTTCAAGCAATTCTCCTGCCTCAGTCTCCTGACCAAGCTGGGATTACAGGCGCCCGCCACCATGCCTGGGTAATTTTTGTATTTTTAGTGGAGTCGGGGTTTCAACATGTTGCCAGGCTGGTCTAGAACTCCTGACTTCACGTGATCCATCCACCTCGGTCTCCCAGAGTGCTGGGATTACAGGAGTGAGCCACTGCGTCTGGCCCCAGTTGTTGTTTTTCATTATCATGGCAAAATCCGTGATGGAACAACCTTTGACTTACCAGGGAAGCTGGACTCAGAGTGGCCTGCATCACAGAGCTAATTGCGTGAGCTCAGTAGGTGGGCAGAGAATGCTATTGACCAATTTTTTTCATCCTTCTTTATTCCAGTTCCAGGACATGGTGTCCAGTCTTGTACCAAAGTTGCTTCTTTTTGCCTAGAGTCTAAAGGATGAAACCAGATAGCCTTCCCTCTTATAACATTGGAAATCACACTGGGCCAGTTTGATCTAGGTGTGAATTTGTCACTTTTCTTCTCCTGACTTTTTTTTTTTAATTGTGGTAAAACACCCACAACATACAATTTATTATAAAATTTACCTAGTCATTTTTTCTTTTTTTTCTTTCTTTCTTTTTTTTTTTTTTTTTTTTTGAGACGGAGTCTTGCTCTGTCACCCAGGCTGGAGTGCAGTGGCGCGATCTTGGCTCACTGCAAGCTCCGCCTCCCGGGTTCACGCCATTCTCCTGCCTTAGCCTCCCAAGTAGCTGGGACTATAGGCGCCTGCCACCACACCTGGCTAATTTTTTTTTGTATTTTTAGTAGAGATGGGGTTTCACTGTGTTAGCCAGGATGCCCTCGATCTCCTGACCTTGTGATCCACCCTCCTCGGCCTCCCAAAGTGCTGGGATAACAGGTGTGAGCCACCATGCCCGGCCTACCCAGTCATTTTTAAGGGTACATTTCAAAAGGCTCTAAGTACCTTCACATTGTCATTCCATTTTCCATTGACTTTTTAAGTCCGTGTTCTCATCCACATTCTTCATGAGCAACCTGCTCTCCTCTTGGCTGAAGAACCTTTGCTTTGGTTACGGTCCTGGAGTCAGTAGGGAGATAGACACCAACCTTGTGAAATGCAACCCTCTCCATGGCCTCCTGACATCTGGTCAGGAGGCTTCTGCTCAAACCCGCCCTTGATGTTCAGCCCTTAGTGAAGGGATCATTTCCCTCCTGGGCCACTCTCATGCTGCTGAACCCTAGCGGCCTCTCTGTATGGGTTGCTCTGCATGGCCTTGCTGTATGGGTCGATGGTCATTGCCCATCCACCCCAGCATGTTCCAAAAGGCTCGTCAAGTATCCAAACGGCCATGCAGTAGCAAAAACCCCACTGGATCTGCTTGGATAATGATAATTTGAGCTCAGATAAGACAGATCCAAGTTTAAATTAAAATATAGATTTATAGCCTGGCTAACATGGTGAAACCCCATCTCTACTAAAAATACAAAATTAGTCGGGTGTGGTGGTGTGTGCCTGTAATCCCAGCTACTCCAGAGGCTGAGGCAGGAGAATCACTTGAACCCGGGAGGCAGAGGTTGCAGTAAACTGAGATCTCACCATTGCACCCCAGCCTGGGCAAAAAGAGAGAAACTCGGTCTCAAAATAAATAAATAAATAAATCTAGATTTAGGTAGCAGAGGTCAAACCGGTTGTTCTGTTCTCTGTGTGTCAGTTTTCTCATCTGTAAAATGGAGCTCATAGCCTCAAGTTGTTGTGGGGCTAAGATGTAACGTCCAAGAAGCAACTAACATCTCTCATGAAACAAGACTCTGGAAACCATTTTTGAAGACAGAACAGGTTTCTGTGCCTGCACACCATCGGTTATCCTTACCTTCCACTTGTATGACAAGGTTTCTGTTGACTTACCTATAATACATCCCCTCACTGTCATCATCTGTACATTCAACTGAGATTCCACGGTTATCTACCCGCATTTCAAAAACTGGTCCGCATTAAGCCTGACTAAATGGTCCGGAGAACTGGCAAATTGGAGACAATAATTATCCATCCATCAAATGTTTATCGTTTATCACACCCTGTATGCACAGCACCAGAGGCTTTGGGTACTGTTTATATAACAGTCTATGATTATTTATGCTACAGCTTATGATTATGTAACCACTTACAAGCCCAAGATGGAATCCAGACATGTCCATGAAAGAGGAATGGGGTGAACCTTGACAAGAGTATTTTCATGAGAGCCTGAAGTGGATCCTGGGAGGGAGCCCATCCTAAGGCATGAGGACCCAGGTGTGCTAAAGCTTTTTCCAATTTTTGGAAGGGAGGGGTAAGTCTGTGTGGGTGTCACTCAAATTCATCCACTGTGCAACATGTGAACATGTATCTGGATTCAAGAAAAACAGAGGATCTGAAACTAAAATGGATCCATGCTCTTAAGGATGCTCATCTACAGTGGATCAGAATGAGAAGGTTTGCCAACAGCTAGGGAACTGTGGACCACCGTGGTAAATATTGTCCCCTCTCTAGCCACTGGTGGTGAGGACAGGAGGCATTCAAATGAATCAGCACAGAATCCTGCCCTGCAGTTGACCATAGGTCAGCAGGGGACATAATAAAAGAACATAGGTGGTCATAAGAGGGTAAGAAGTGTCATGTGCTAGGAGGAAAGATGAGAGAGACTACTCTAGGAGTTCAGGAGATGGAAAGAAGGCTTGTGGAGGAGGTGGTGCAGAAACAAAATTGGGCAGGATAGGTAGCGCTGAACAAGGGTGCAGCAGACATGAAGAGCTGTTCTCTCTGTCTACAATGATAGAGCACCTAATTTTTAACTGGGAATATAGTCACCTGGAATCGAGTCATTTCCTAGCCTTTGTAGTAGCTAGATATGATCACATGATTAAGTTCCAAAAGACGTAAGCTGAAATGTTAGAACTGTCAGTTTCCAGGAACTTTCCCCAAAAGACAGCTGGTACACACCTTTTCCTCTTTTTCTTTATCTTTTTTTTTTTTTTTTTTTGCACCCAGATTCATGAAATAACAGATGTAGTGAATGGAACTCTAGGCTCCATCCTGGACTTTTTTTTGAGAGATGGAGTCTTGCTCTGTCACTCAGGCTGGAGTGCAGTGGTGTGATCTCGGCTCACTGCAACCTCTGCCTCTGGGGTTCAAGCGATTCTCCTGCCTTAGCCTCCTGAGTAGCTGGGATTACAGGTGCACACCACCATGCATGGCTAATTTTTGTATTTTTAGTAGAGATGGGGTTTCACCATATTGGTCAGGCTGCTCTCGAACTCCTGACCTCGTGATCCACCCACCTCAGCCTCTCAAATTGCTGGGATTACAGGCGTGAGCCACCACACCTGGCCCATCCTGGACCATTCTAAGGATGATGGGGCAATGGACTAGAAGGAGCCTGAGTCTCCAAATGTCTATATGAGGGGAAACAAACTCTGATCATGGTTAAACCTGTTATTTCTAGTCTCTATTGTTCCTAATGAATCCTAACTCATACACATGGGTAAGACTTAGATAAACGGAAGTGAGGGTTGGGGAAAAAATATTCCAAGCAGATTGAGCATGAAGCCAGGAAATGGAAGGCTGTGTAAGTAAGAACTGGAAAAACACAGAGGGATGTGCTGGCCGGAGGGAAGGCCAATGAAGGCGAAAGAGAAGGAGATGAAACTAAAAAGAACCACTGAGTTCAGGTTGTGCAAGACTCTGCACAATGAATGAAGGAGTCTAGAATCTATTCCATATGCAGTGAGGAGCCACTGACTGTATCTAGGTAAGGAAGTGTCCTGATGAGAACAGAGCTGAGTCGGATAGCAACGAAGGCAGTGAAACCGGTTGCAGGGCTGTTTTAATATCTGGGTGTGGAAAGGGGCGGGAATGAATAAAGCCAGGGGCAGAGGGAATGGAGAGGAGAGAAAAGAGCCTCAGATATTGCCCCCAAGGCATTTTTCAGATAATTCTTCTGAGAGACATTTTATTAGGAAAGGAAGAATAAGAAAACGTATTGGAGACTGGAGCACAGAAAGAAGAGAAAAGAGGGATCACTCAGAAGAATGAGGGGTAGAGAATGGGGCATTGGGGGCATCTGAAGATTAATCAGCTACTGGATAAAGAATGGGATTCTATGATCTGCCTCCTTATATATGGTCAGTGTTCATGGTTGGTGGTGCATGAGGCATACTCACTCACTACTTTTCTGAGACAACACTAACCAAAATCACCTAACATCCACTAGATGAGAGAAGCTATCTGCTGCTTGTTGTCATTGAGAGGTAGTAGAGTGAGAAGATCTCATTGGCTCCTCCAGGCAGAGCCTGTGGGGTCACCCTTGCAGAAGGATGGATACAAGGATCATCTCACTCTGGGAAAAGTAATTCACATTTAGCAAACTCGTAAGGGCCTGATATGCCAATGAATATGAGGCTATAGTAGGATATCTATCTCTATGGCTTCATATCACTTTCCAAGGAACTTGTGTTCTACGATCAAGACACCTTGGGATCTAGTAGTCAAGAGTGTTTTGTGAACAAATACTCAGAGCAATGAAAAAATTAGGCTTAGAGGTTGTCTTGCATTCACTGGGAGACATATTACTCCACTATGGGCCACACCAGTGTTGGGTTTGGTTGAAGTTGTCAGATGCATCCCCTCCCTGTCTCCTTCCACAATGGAGAGCTGAATAAACACAAACACACTTTCTAGATGATGTTTGGACCACACATCTTTGGCTACACCAGCATTACTTGGCCAGGGCACAGTTCTTAGCTCATAGAATGAGTCACATCTCTTCTCTGCTGTAGCTTCCTCCTCTATAAAATAAAGGCCTCAGCCACATCACGATGAAGTCAACTCCAGCCCTAACCCTCTAGGATGTTATGAACACATCTTACTACCTTGTGGTCACAGGGCAAAAAGCATCACGCCCAGTCTTGAATCCAAGGGAGTGCCCACGGGCAAGCCTAAAGGACTGAGTCAGGAGCCAGACTTAAAGAGTTAACCCACGCCTTCTCACTGGAGCTTGAGGACACAGCAGCTGGGAGATGTCCTTGGCAGTTGCCTCGACAGTTTTCTGGGATTGACAACAGTGTTTTAGCTGCAGCAGCCAGAACACCGTATTCAGCTTGGCTCTGGATAATCTGTCCAGTTTGCCAAATCCAGAGGGGTCCGTGGTTCCTGGTCAGGGTCCTTCATGGTTAGACTTCAACTGGAACTTCCCATAAATGAATGAATAGAAGAGGCAGAAGGAGTCTAAGACTTTTCATACCTGGACCCCTTGCTGTATCTCCATCAAGCAAGGTGTGAATGCCTAACTTACTTGCTTTCATATGAAAATGTATTCTTCTTATTTTCTGCCTAAGAGGGATTCAACTTGTGTGTTAAACTGTTACCGTGTTACTATAATAAATGTCCGAGGCTGGGTAATTTATAAAGAAAAAAAGTTTAATTGGCTCTCAGTTCTTTAAGCTGTAGAGGAAGTGCAGTGCCAACATCTGATCAGCTTCTGGTGGGGCCTCAGGAAGCTTATGATCATAGCGGAAGGCATGAGGGAGCTGATATATCACATGACAAGAGTGGGAGCAAGGGGGTGTGTGTCCCACCCTCTTTTAAACAACCAGATTTTGCATGAACCGACTGGATGAGAACTCACTTATAACTAAGGGGATGGTGCCAAGCCATTCATGAGGGATCTGCTGCAATGATCCAATCACCTTTCACCAGGCCCCACCTGCAACATGAAAATCATATTTCAACATGAGATCTGGAAGGGACAAACATCCAAACCATGTCAACTTACCCACAAATTCTCTTCTTCCCCAGGTAGTACAAATAGGAAGTCCTTCTCACTGCCAGGATGGAACTGTGCTGGCTGGAGCATGGGTCTGGCCCAGGCAACTCTCTTAGTTGTCCAAGCCCCAAGGCCCGTGGTCATCTGTGTGGCACGTCTTTGTGCCCAACACACCCCTGGACTCTGTTCGACAATGGTATGCCAGTTCCGGATGCTGCCAGAGCCCTGTAGAGTGATATGTTTCTCATCCCTCTTGTCATGCACTGGAGTTCAGGCCAGCTGGGGCCTCCCCTGGGATTCACAGGTGCTGACCACTGTGCGTTTGACCATCTGTCAGTAAAGAAGCAAGTGCCAACTCCCCTGTTTCTTGGGTGCTCACATCATGGAGACAGCACATCGTCCACCATGTGTTATCATCTGGAAATGAAAGGCTCTCAAAATTAGAGATTAGGATTATCTGGGCAAAAGTCAGGTCTTAGGAAGGCGGAGATAGGTATGGGTTAGCCTGAAGTCAGGAGAGGGAGGGGGAGGGCTGGGCAGCATACAATGAAGGGCTGGCATCTCCCCTTGCTCAGCCTCTGCTGAGAGCTGCCTGTGCCACGTAGATGTCTCCCTCTATCTGTAACCTCTTCTTCTTTCAGGTAGGATAATATGAAAACAAAAGAGAAAAAATGGGGTGTTTTCTATCTTGCATTTATCAATAAGGCACCCTCTCACACAGTCAAACTAGCCCCCACATTCAGTGGGCACTGAGTCCTGTTGTTTCCAAGGCCTCAATATCTCTTAGATCCATCCTTCTCCAATGCTGACCCGTCCACCACCTCTCACCGAGAGCGTCATGGGTGCTACCTGCTACTGGCCTCACTTCTGTGTATCCTCTATGTTCTTGCCAGAAAGATTGCTCTAAAGTGGGACATAATGGTGAGGACTTCAGTTCTCCACTGCACAAATCCTTTCCATGTCTCTCTACTGCCTACAGGTGCAAGTGCAAACTGGGACATAATGCTCCCTGGACCCTGCTTGGCCTGGCCTTTGTCCATCAATCCAGCTGCACCTCTGACCATCCCTCTTCTTGCCACAATCTGCCTCATTCAGCATGAGCTCAGACCGTATAGGGTATTTCTCGTTCGACTCACATTTGCACAAAATCGTTGTCCTTCCCCTTTTATCCTGGTGAAATCCTGTTTGTCCTCTAAGAGTCTGCCCGATTTCCATTGTCTCCACAAAGCCTCTCCCAACTGTCTGGGAAAAGCTTAGGGGGTCCTTCCTCAAGGCCACCACTGTGTGTGGCACTGAGCGCCAGGATAGCTACCGTCCAAGTTGTATTTTGTTTGTTTGCATCTAGTGGAGAAACCCAACTTGGAATGATATTTTTTGTCTTCATATTCCAAGCACCTTGTACAATGTGAAGCATTAATTGGGTGCCTCCAACATAATTTTATTTAATGAATTCATTTACAGAAAAAAGGAGAGTAGTAAATAAAGAGGTGGAAATGTTGAATGTGCAGCTGATAGAAGAGGAGATAGAAGGTTCAATACCAGGGTAGAAATCTGAGAGGGAGAAAACTATACCAAAATAGTGTTTGGATATTTTAAATAAATGTTGACTTGGATATGCAAGGAATAATGGGGGAATGGAGACTTTTTTTTCTCTCCATTTCTAGAGTTTTGGTTGGGGACCAAGAGGTCAGAAATGTAATGCTGCACTTTGCCTAAACAAAGCCTTGGCTTTGTCATCTGTGAGTGAGGGGGAAGGTCCTGGATGGGTGGGAGGGGAGCCAACAATGGCTTTTTTACACCCTTCTTTCTGGGCCCCGCTAGTTGAGTTTGCCAGCAAGGAAAACCCTGGGGCCGGTCTTCATGAATCGTCTATAGAGGAGCAAGAGTTACCCCAGGGGTGAAGGTTATAGGACATTCCAACTCCAGACAGCTTTTGAATTTTATCTTGGACCTTCTCTCCTTCAAATATTCAAACATATTCAAAAGGTACCTGCTGTGTGCAAGGCAGGAAGGTACCAGGCACCTGCAGATGACTAATATATGGTCCCCTCTGTTACCAAAGCCATAGACTAGTAGAGAAATGTAAATATGTGTAAAGAGATAATCCAGCAGAACCCAATGAGCCATCAAAGTGCTATGGGAAGAAAGAGAGAAGGCTCACTAATTTAAGATTAGGATTAGATGTATGCAACAGAAACCCAAGAAATAACAGTGACTTACACAAGATAGAAGTTTATTTCTCTCGCACACACATTGTCCAGAAGTGGGTGATTCAGGCTGGAGGGCTCATGGGCATCAGGATGCCAAGCTCTTATCTTCTGCTGCACCATCTTCAGCACGTGGCTCCCTCATTATTTAGTCCTAGATGGCTAACAGAACTTCAGCCAAGACCTCCACATTCCAGGTGACAGAAAGGAGGAAAGACAAGCCCCTCTCATATCGGGCAGCTCTTTTAAGCAGCCTTCCTTCTGTAAGCCCAACACAGCACTCCCACTCATGTCTCAGTGGCCAGAACTTGGTCTCATGGCCATAGGCCATACTTAACTGCAGGGAAGACTGGAAGTAGTCTATTTTTTTAAAGTTAACAATGTACACATTTGGAGTTCTGTTACCAAGGAGGGAAGGGTTAATGTAGTCAACTAGCAGCTTTTGCCACACTAACCCCATTTGAGAAGCTCTGAGGAGTCCACTTGGATCATAAAATTAACCTTACTTAAGATTCTGCGTCTCTCTCCCAAAAGGGAAGTAGCGCCCGAGCTGCAGGCAAGGCTTGGGCTTTTGCGGGAGGTGGGGCATGGCAGAGCCATGGAGATTTGCAGCTAGGGATTTGCAAACTGGCTTTTAATGCTTGAATTCTGATACACACCCCTTCTCCCTGCCAAGACAGAGTGAGAAACACATAAGAACCTACCAAATCCTCCTCACTCCCAAGGCAGAGCTCCCCAGTAAAACTGAACAGTTGAATGTAGCTTTGATCCAGGAGACCTCATTGATTCCTGCTCCTCGGATCTAGGATGGTCTGTCCAGAGTAGATGGGACTGGACATAATCACCCAGGCTTGGAGGCAGAGGACTGGAAAGAGAGCCCATGTGTGGATATCCTTCACATTTCGTTCAGTGACTACCCATCCTCTTGTCAAATTTCACCCGATGAATTTCTCAGACTCAGACAGATCAATTAGATGATCAGCCCCTCCTCTCTTGGGAATCATCTCACGAAGGTTTCAATAATTCCCTGACCTTCCTGGCTCAAGTAAGGGGAAAGAAGGAAAAGGATTCTCCCCTGTTCCATGAGGTGTGCTAGAAAGGGCACTGGACCAGGATGCTTCAGCCCTGGACTTGTATCTTACCTGGATCATTCAATTGCTCTGAGCTCGAGTTTCCTTCTCCATGACAGATGACAGTAGCTTCTGTTCTCCTTGCCTTGAGTCTGTTGGGATGATATTATTATTATTTCCAGTTCTTTTGATACAAACTCCTAAGAGGATCTGATAGGAAGATATAGAAACATGAAGGAAATCCATGCAGTAACAGTTCAGCAAGTCAAGAAGCACACACCGCTGTAAGGAACCTAATCCTCAAGAGCTGGGGCAAGAGATACTGGAAAGAATTGAATAGTGCCGGGTATGTTGGTGAAATGGAAAACTTTAAGGCAAGCTGTGCTGTTGTTATTGTTGTTCATTTAACAGCTTTATGGAGGTATATGTGATACATAATAAACAATTTGTTGTTTCTTCATATACTATACATGCATATATATCTGTGACAAAATCAAGATAATGGACATATTTATTACACTCCAAAATTTCCTTGCCCCATTTTGTCATCCCTCCCTCCCACTCTTTCCTGCTCTAACCCTTTCCCCAGGGAGTTATTGATCTGTTTTTTGGCACTATAGATTAGTTTTCATTATCTAGGATTTTACACGAAGAGAATCACACATTACAGTATGTATTCTCTTTTACTAAAGCATAATGATTTTAAGATTCATCTGTGTGGTTGTGTGTAGCAATAGTTTCTTCTTTTTTTTATGGCTGAGTAGGATTCCATTGTATGGGTATGCGACAATTTGTTTATCTACTCACCTATTGAGAAACATTTGGATTGTTTTAAATTTTTAGCTGTTAGAAATAACACTGTTATAAACTTTTTGGCACTGGTTTTGGTAGACATAGGCTTTCCTTGATCTGGGATTGTCATGTAGACATAAACTTTCATCGCTCTGGGATAATTACCTAGAAATGAAATGGCTTGTCCATATGGTAAGAGTACGTTTAATATTTTTATGTTAAACTTTTAATTTTTTGAAAATTATAGATTTACATGCAACTGTAAAAAACAATATCTTTCTCATTTTCCCCCAATGGTGTCATTTTACAAAGTTATAGTAGAATGTTACAACCAAGATATTGATATTGATATAATCCACTGATCTTGTTTGGATCTCCCTAGCTCGTTTGTACTCATTTTTGTAGATTTGTACTTAGTTCTATGCAATTTTATCACATGTGTATGTTTATGTATCCACCTCCTCAGCGAAGATACAAAATAGTTCCAGTCCCACAAGGATCATGTGTGCGCCCATGACATCCACACTCACCTCCCTTCCCCGCGACCCAGCCCTGCCCTTGGCCCTGGAACCCACTAACTTGTTCCCATCTCTCAATTTTTGTTACTCCAAGAATGTTATGTAATTGGAATCATACAGTATGTGACCTTTTGGGATTGACTTTTCTTCATTCAGAATAATTCCCTTAAGATTCGTCTAAGTTGCACATTCATCTCAGTCTGCACATGCGAGTTGTGCCTTTTAATCATTCACTAGTTGAGGGACAGTTGGTTGTTAGTTTTTGTCTGTTATGAATTAAGCTCTTATGAACATTTGTGTACAGATTTTTGTGAAAATAAGTTTTCATCTCTCTGGGCTAAATATTCAAGAGTGCAGCTGCTGGGTTCTCTGGTAGTCGTATGTTTAATTTTATTAAAAAAACTGCCAGCCGGGTGTGGTGGCTCACGCCTGTAATCCAAGCACTTTGGGAGGCCCAGGAGGGCGGATCAAGAGGTCAAGAGATCGAGACCATCCTGGCCAACATGGTGAAACCCCGTCTCTACTAAAAATACAAAAATTAGCTGGGCGTGGTGTAGTCCCAGCTACTTGGGAGGCTGAGGCAGGAGAATCGCTTGAACCCTGGAGGCAGAGGTTGCAATGAGCCGAGATTGCACCACTGCACTCCAGCCTGGCGACAGAGCAAGACTCCATGTCAAAAAAACAAAAAAACAAAAAACAAAACAAAAACAACCAAAAACTGCCTAATTGTTTCCCATAACAGCTGTACCATTTTAGATCCCCACCAGCAATGTGTGACTAAACCAGTTTCTCCACATGCTTGCCAGCTTTTGGTGTTGTCATTATTTTTTATTTTAGCTATTCTGATAGGCGTGTGGTGAGATCTTATTTTGGTTTTAATTTGCATTTCCCTCCTGGCTCATGGTTTTGAACATCTTTTCATGTGCTTATGTGTCTTCTGTCCATCCTCTTCAGTGAAATATCTGTTCATGTTTTTTACCCACTTTCTAATCAAATTGTTTGTTTTGTTAATTTGGGGAGTTCTTTATATATTTTAGATGGTAGTCTTGCCAGATATATGGTTTGAAAACACTTTCTCCCAGTCTCTAATTTATCTTTTTATACTCTTAACATATATTTCAATTCTGAGAAACTGACAAACTGTTTTGCAAAGCGGTTGCACCATTTGACATTCTATTAGCAAAGTTTGAGAGTTCCAGTTTCTCTACATCCTTGCCAACACTTGGTATACCAGTCTATTTAACCATAGATATTCTAGTGGATGTGTAGTGATAGCTCATTATAGTTTTAATTTGCTTTTCCATAATGGTTTAATGGTGCTGAGCATCTTTTCATATGTTTATTTGCTATCTGCATATCTTCTTTGGTCAAGTGTTTGTCCAACTAGTTTGTCAATTTTTATTGAGTTTTCTTCTTATTAAGTTATAAGAGTACTTTATATAAGGACATACAAATCATTTATGGGATGTATGTATTGCAAATATTTTCTCCTAGTCTGTGGCAAGGCAAGCTATGCTTTAAGTAAACATCTTTTCCTTATGAGAACTGGGTTTTATTTTATTTATTGGGAGAAAAACAAACTATTCTATTCATTTGACTGGAATTAAGACAAGAGAGATTAAATTGTTTAACCAGTAAAGCAAATACTGGCAAGCATTTCCTTCTGTTACTGGAACAACACGACAAAGAAGCAAGAGAAGCCAAAGATTGACAGGTATTTTCTAAACGTTTGCTAATTTTATTTAAAATGAGTTATCATTTTTTTTGCTCTTTCATCATTTAGTAATTGCTATTATTCTTATTTGAATTTAATTATGAGTGAGACTCTGCTTCTTATAAGGCCATTTGTGTTTCTTTTTTTCTGAAATGGCTGCTTATCTCCATTTGCCATTTTTCATAGAATTATCTTTCAAAAATTTATGTATGACCTCCTTATGAATTAATATCTGCATATATATCTGAATACGAATTGCAAACATTTTTCCAGTTTGTGGTTTTGTTGGTGGTTTTTTCTTTTAAAATTTTTATATTATTATTATTATTTTGTAGAGATGAGACCTCCCTATGTTGCGCAGGCTGGTCTCAACCCCCTGGGCACAAGTGATCCTCCTGCCTTGACCTCCCAGAGGGCTGGGAATATTGTTGTTTTTTTCTTTTTCTTTTTCTTTTTCTTTTTTTTTTTTCAACAGAGGAGTTTTAAATTGTATGAGAAGGATTGTGAAGGGTGAGAGATAGAGATAAAAATCCCAGATACCTGACAGGGACCTCGCCTTTCCTTCTCGTACTGGGACTGCCAAGATGAGAAGAGGGCTGGTTATTAGTGGAAAGGGTCAAGAGCCATCTGAGCTTGTTCAGAAAAGAATATAAGGAAGGAGAACAGATCTGAAGCTTAAGAAGCCCCAGATTCTAATCACTCTGCTGCTGTCACTCAGCACCTGACAGGGTGCCAGGCAGCCATTCCCTCTGGGCTTCTGTACTGACATTTTAAAAATGAAGGGTTTTGTGCAGATGATTTCTAGAGTCTGATTCAGTTTCGATATCATTTGCCACGGGACTGTAGAGCCATCGCCTTGGCATCTATCAGCTGCTGGGATTCCTCAGGCAGACAGAATCAGGATATCCATGACATTCAAGTTAGCCTGGAAGCTTGTAAAGTATCACCCCATTTCGACTTTCTCTTCCGTCAGCTCTTCCCCTTGTTTCCCCTTACTGACTTTGCTCAAAATATGCAGCTTGTGGGGGAAGGGACAGGAAATTGCACAAAAACCCTTGGATACTCTTGGTTCCAGGGGGTTGGCAGGGAGGCAGAAGGGCGAGAGCACTGCTTTTGGAGCTGGATGGCTTTAATCCCAGCTCTGTCCTCACCAGCTGCGCGACCTTGGATGTGCTACTGAAACTCACAGCATATCTGTTTCCTCTTCCGTAGAATTTTCTTAGCTGCCTTTCTCTTGGATTATTGGAGGACCACTAAACAAATGTATAATTTTTCACCTATTACAATAATAAAAAAATCAGCACATATAAATGAACTATGGTTCATTTATAGGTGCTTAAGTTTCTTGTTGATTAAAGGAACACATAATAAAGAAAAGGGAAATTAACACTCATTTATCATTAGTGGGAGTTTTAAATGATAGATTATTTTTGGAGGCCAATCTGTCATTATTTATCAATAACTTAAAAAACTCAGCAAGCCTTTTAATCCAGCAATTCCCCTCCTAGGGACACTGTTTTAAGAAAATAACCAAAGAGTATATAAGGGTATCTGATGTCACAGGTATAATAGTGGAAAAACTGGCAACATTATAAATGCGCAATAATGGGGTATTGGCCAAATAAATACTGGTTCAGTCACAGTGGATACAATGGATACAAGATGTAGCCACTGCAAAGGTTATGCTAGAAGTCTACCATTTGGTTTAGGGAACAGGCTTTGGTGCCTGGGATGAAGCCTGGGTCTGCTGCTTGCTAGCTCTGTGGACTTTGGCAAATTTACTTACTCTCTCAAAACATTAATTTTCCCATTTTTAAAGTGGTTGTAATGATGCCAACCTCACTGGGTCAGGAAAATCTGACAAGTGCTTGAGAGAGCTGCGGGCAGGCTGCTGGAGCCCCAAGATGGCAGGAGTGATCAATTCACGGGAAAAGATGGAATACATAAAATGAAATAACATATATTCCAATTATATACCTGATATAATTCCTAAGGAAATCGGTAAAGGAGTTTTGCACCGTTTGGTATAGTTTGATGATTTTTCCATAAAGACATATGATCTGGGCCTGAGGTGCAGTTTTACTTAGTCTGATAAAAGTTTATCCACCAAGAGTGAGCTACATCCCTTTTGGCTGAGTCTGCAATATGTTCCCATCAAGGGACTTTGGATGCTAACTGCTTGGGTGGGGCCAGAAATGCAGCATTAGTGACTCTCAGTGCACCCTGGAAAGCTAATAATGGCAATAATAAAAACTGACATTTTTATTGGGCACTTACTGTCTGCCATGCACTATGCTAAGACTTTCCACAACACTATCGTAGTCACAGCAACCCTGCAATAGGGAACTATTTATCACCTCTATTAAGTGAAGTGGAGGTATAGAAGGGTTAAAGAAAAGTGCCCAAGGTCCCATGGCTATCAAGTGGTATAACAAGGAGCTACTATATTCAAATGTATTGGCTCCCAGCCAGGGGGTTCTGACCAAAAAACACCTTGACAATATCCAAGGACATGTATTAGCAATTAGCTTTGTTAATCAATGTGATCTTGTGCATGTTTCTTCAATAAAATGGCAATCTTAATCATGCCCATTGTGAGGAAGCAATGAGCGGACGCATAAAAAGCATCAGGTGGAGCATCACAGCATAAAAAGCACCACAGCACCCAGGTGGAGTCATAATTTACCAATTTATGTTTTGGCACTGTGTCCCACAGATCTCGGTTGCAGAACCCTTCCCAACAGGGCTCCAGAGATCACCACCAATGAACGCGAGCTGATATGGTGAACTGATGTATTTGCTATCCCTGTGCTACTATTTCCTAGGTGATCTGATGCTGTAATTTCAAATGAAGATGCAAGCTGTGAATGTATGTGGCTATCTTTTCCCATTCCTGGGCTGAAAGCAACTTCCCTTATAAGCCTTGTGCCATCTCCTGCAAACTGTCTTGCTCTCGTCCTTCTTTGGTCACCTCAATCATCCTTGGAAAGAGGGACAGGGCCAGCTCTAATGTTAATAAGGGATGGTGGGAAAAATAAAGTTCATTATTATTATTATTTTTCCAAACACCAACTCTAAGCAGAAATCTTCTTTCTTTTGATACCTTCAAGAATCTTGTTTACTAGATGAAAGTAAACTTAAAGTGAATATTATTAATTCTTAGTAATAAATCCTTGAAATTACTGTTAATGATGTTATTTGTACGTTTTCTTATCTCTTGATTCTCAGCTACTCTCTAGCCATACACATCAGTTTGCAAATTCAATCTTATGAAAAGGAGTTTATTTATTCTCTAAGAAAATGGAATTGTGATGTGGATGAGGTGTCATCTGATGGTGGTTCTTCTGCTACATGGTCCAGACTATAAGGCAGGTGCATTCTTGAAGACTTCTCTGGGGATTAAACAGCTATGTATGACACAGTGAATCATATCTTTGAGCTCTGGGCCAAAAAGGTATGGCCACACATTGTGTAAACATCAGCCTCGTTCCCATTTCCTACTCTTCCAGTGAGCAGAGTATCAAGCTTCATAAAAAGCAAATGATATATGGAAGTTCAGTGGAAATAAGTTATTACAGAAGTGAATGGGGAAATAGTCTCAGAAACTTCTAGAAACTCACAAGTACGCATATTTATTATCCAACTGAATATTCTAATGCTTTATTTGATTTTTTTCTTTGTTAGATGGAAAATGGGGGAATTGCTTCTGCTTTTTCAAGTATGGAAACGCAGAATGGGGTCTTCTCAGTTTGGGGTTTTCTTTCTCTATCTCCCTCAAGAAAGGCAGGGCAGGGGAGGGAGGTGAAGAAAACCAGCTGATATTTATGGGCATTTATTCCATGCTAGGCACAGTTCTGAGAACTTTATATATTTTAACTCTTTTAGTCCTCATGCCAATCCTATGTAGTGAGTACTTTTATTGTCCAGTTTCATAGGAAATAAAGCCAATACATGAAGAAGAATTTGGCCACTTAGTATGTGGTCAAGCCAGGATTCGAGCACAGGTAGTCTCCCTCTAAAACTCTTGCTCTCAACGTGTGTATTATTCTGTTTCCTTATTCAAGACCATAGCTTTCAAACTACAATCAATCCTCATTATTTGCGGATTCTGTATTTGTGAGTTGGTCTGGTCACTAAAATGTATTTGTCACCTCAAGATTCAGGCAGGGCACGGTGGCTCATGCCTGTAATCCCGGCACTTTGGGAGGCCGAGGCAGGCAGATCACGAGATCAGGAGATCGAGACCATCCTGGTAAACGTGGTGAAACCCCATCTCTACTAAAAATACAAAAAAAAAAAAAAAAATTAGCCAGGCGTGGTGGCGCATGCTTGTAGTCCCAGCTACTCGGGAGGCTGAGGCAGGAGAATGGCGTGAACCTGGGAGACAGAGCTTGCAGTGAGCTGAGATCGCACCACTGCACTCCAGGCTGGGAGACAGAACGAGACTCAGTCTCAAAAAAAAAAAAAGATTCATACTCATGCCCTTTGTTCGGCTTCACAGACACACATATGCAACAAAGTGGCAAAAAAATGTCAGTGTCTGAGATGTAAACAAAGTCTTTGCTTTCCTGTTTTGGCTCTCAATACTGTAAATGAGTGTCCTTTGTGAAGTATTTTAGGTATTTTAGTACAATATTTTAACTTTTTTTGTGCTTATCGTTGGTGATTTATTGTTTTTAATGGCCTCCAAGCGTAGTGCTGAAATGCCGTCTAGTGTTCCTAAGTGCAAGAAGGGTGCGATGTGCCTTATGGAGAAAATGCTTGTGTTAGATAAGCTTTGTCTGGGCATGAGTGATAGTGCAGTTAGACATGAAGTCAGTGTTAATGAATCCACAACATGTATAAACTAGGTGTCTTTAAAAGAAAACATATATGAAACAAGGCTTTGTACTTATTGCTTGGCAAAAATGTCAAGATGACAAGAACTAACTGTATTTATTATTGATTATCAATATATTAATATTTGTAAAAATAACTGAACTTCAACAGTATCAAAATGTTTCATTACGATGAAAACTCTAAAACAGAATGGGAGAGTTACTCCTCAGTTGGAACTACCTTTAAACCTTCTCCTGGCCCAGCGTGGTGGCTCACACCTGTAATCCCAGCACTTTGGGAGGCCAAGGCGGGTGGATCACCTGGGGTCAGGAGTTTGAGACCAGCCTGGCCAACATGATGAAACCCAGTCTCTACTACAAAAATACAAAAAATTAGCTGGGTGTGGTGATGCGTGCCTGTAATCCCAGCTACTCAGCAGGCTGAGGCAGGAGAATTGCTTGAATCCAGGAGGTGGAGTTTGCAGTGAGCCGAGGTTGCGCCATTGCACTCCAGCCTGGGCAACAAGAGTGAAACTGTGTCTCAAAACAAAACAAAACAAAAACAAAAACAAAAACTTCTCCTTTGCAGAATTACATAAGGATATTTTAGGCACCTGAGACACAGTGACCAACAGATGACGTCTACTATGATGGTGACAACGACAACATTCTGAGTAATTCAGGTGGATTGGGATGGAACAGAGAGGTGATTCCTAATGTAAGCATTAAACCCACGCCCTGCTCCTACCCTTCTACTAACAAAAAGTTCATGCTTCATAAAAATTAAATGATGTGCCCAAGTCACTGGAAATGAATCATTAAAGGTGAAAATCTTTTTTTTTTTTTTTTTTGAGATGGAGTCTCCCTCTGTCACCCAGGCTGGAGTGCAGTGGCATGATCTCAGCTCACTGCAAGCTCTGCCTCCCGGGTTCACGCCATTCTCCTGCCTCAACCTCCTGAGTAGCTGGGACTACAGGCGCCCGCCACCACACCCGGCTAATTTTTTTTTTTTTGTATTTTTAGTAGAGACGGGGTTTCACTGTGTTAGCCAGGATGGTCTTGATGTTCTGACGTTGTGATCCGCCCGCCTTGGCCTTCCAAAGTGCTGGGATTACAGGCGTGAGCCACTGTGCCCGGCCAGAGGTGAAATTCTTAAAAAAAAATTCTGTACTAGGCAAGAAAGTGAATTCACCACCTAAGAACTCAGCTGTGTCTTACTGTAATCTGTTATTATTTTGCAAAAGTTTGTTCTTGCTGTTTCTGGTCTGACATCTTAAAGTTTTTTCAATTCAATTTGAGATGCCATTCATCATTCAAAGATTGAATTTTCTAAGTTGTATGGTGGTTGGTTGGAGACTGGCCTTGAGACAAATGAGGTTCATTTTTTTGCAAAGAAACTGAACTGCAGAATTACGTATTTCTAGATTTGTAAGAAAATTCCAATGTGAATTCATTTCCCTTCCCCATCTATACAAATGAAGAAATTAAGACCCCCATTTAGTGACTGAGATGGCCTCAGGCCTAGATCCTACGACTTTTGCTCACGGTGCTTCCTAGCACACTCTCTCCCTAGAGTCTATGAAACAAATCTTATCTTCTTAGAAGAAAGGAAAGCAAGACCAGGGTGTTCTCTGTCCATATTCGCCACTCTGCCTAGCGGTGGTCAGCACTTAAGATGGTATCTGAGCTCAGTTAATGCCTGAGTAGCATTCATCTGACCAGCCACCTTCTGATTGTATGTAACTAATCTAAAGTGACTCAAAATGAATGCATCACTGCAAATGCTTCCAAGCCGGAAAAGTCTTTCAAAGCTCATCCTACTGATCCTGGGTAGGCTTTTCCTCTGTGGCCCTTGACACAATTGAAGTAGGTCCATTTGCTGTTCAGCAAGTACTAGGTACTGTTTGTTCTACGCCACATCTTACATCATTAAATGCTTCCAGAGTTCTATGCTCCAATGATGATGGAGGCATGACCATCATGTCTATCATAAAGCTGGGAAAGGCAAAGTACAGAGATGTACTTATCTCATAGCTTTTGGGCAAATGCGGCAAGATTCGGACCTGGGCAGTCCCACCACTAAGCTAGTATTTCCTTTTAGCAATGAGGCTCCTGTGTGGTAGATCTGGAATGCAGGTAGTGCAGGTAGACAGATCCGGGTTAGAATTGCAGCTCTGCCAGCTGACCTTCATCCAGGTACTTAAACTCTTGGATCTTTCATTTTTCCCAGTTCTAAAATAGGAATAATAATACCTACCTAGTGAACAAGTTTTACAAGTGTATCTGTAATTCCAAAGATGTAACACAGTTTTAAGATTATTTAGCTGAATTCACATGTCTGTGTGTGTATGAGAGAACTAAGGATAGGCGTGAGGGTGAGATAAAGGGGGGAAGTGCTTTTCTTTGGCTGTATCTATACACCACTAATAAAAACTCACCCAATTTTCTAGATACCAAGTTCTTAGTAAGCAATAAATCCTCAACCATAAAAATCAACTTTTTTTGCAAGTGGCACCTTTTTTTGAGGAGGTATTTGCTTTCCTCCTCCTTCAATAGACCACGGTCCATGAATTCCTGGAATAGTTTCACTGTAAAAGCCAAAATCCAGGACATCTACAATCGACTGTCTGGACTGTGTCTGTGTTCACTCCCACTGGCTGGAATTTTTTTATGGGAGTTCGGACAAAGGCCATTTTGTGGCTACTCCCTCTGCCCCCTGCTCAGAACTGGCTCTCCTGGAATGCAGTATTTGCAGCTGAACAAAAGGATGCCTTATGTCTCTCTGTACTCCATGGCTGTGCATTGATTCTTTATGGCACTGGTATCAAAACTGCCAGTGTTTCCTCTCACGGCGCCAGAACACGTTGGTCTCCTTGGAGTCCCAGGAAAGTGCTTGAGAAGCTGCAGTATGCAAGAAATGACAGGCTTCATTTATCCAGCAGCTCATGGAGAAAAGCACCTTCCACGCGTTATAAGGATCCTTTTTGTCTGTTTGGGCCCTTGTAGTTGTGAATGACTCAAGTGTGGAGAACTATTCAGCACTATTCATAAGTATGAGTTCTACCAGCTTGCTGTGGAGCTCAGAAGCAACCTGGCCTGACTCAGAGAGCTTTCAAGAAGTCATTATGAAGACTAACGAAGGGCACCACAAGGGGGTGGACTGAACACCCAGATAAAAATGACTTGAAATATTAAGTTCGTGACAGCACCAAGAAATAAGATGAGTACCATATTAGTCAGTTCTCCAAGGTGGGGGCAAACCAGAAGAGCAGAAGATGTAAACCAGAGGGCATCCCAGAAAAAGGCTGCTATGCAGATGTGGTGGGGCAAGGAAGCCCCAGACCCAGAGTCTAGGTAGAAACAAGGGCACAGGCGGGGTCCTGGGGCTTTCTTCAGGGCAATTAGTTGGAAGGCCAGGCAGGCAAGGCAGCCCCTTCCCTCAATCTCAACTTCTGCTATGCAGCAAGAAGCCATGACTGCAGATAGTGTGGTGGGCAACTGGGGCTCAGAAAGAAGGAGGTACCCTGGAGCCTACTACTGCAGCTAAAGAGGGATAGAGACCTGTCCACACACATTAAACGCCTCCGCACATTCACCAAGAACAAGAGACACAGACGATAAACTGTGTCCACAGACAGGCAAGGAGGAAATTCTCAATACAAAGAGAAGAGCAAAAATCATCAGACACTCCAGAAAAACAAACACATGAAACAAAACCACTAAGCTGGCTCGGCGCGGTGGCTCACACCTGTAATACCAGCACTTTGGGAGGCCGAGGTGGGCACATCACCTGAGGTCAGCCGTTCGAGACCAGGCTGACCAACATGGAGAAACCCCGTCTCTACTAAAAATACAAAATTAGCTGGGCATGGTGATGCATGCCTGTAATCCCAGCTACTCAGGAGGCTGAGGAAGGAGAATCACTTGAATCCAGGAGGCGGAGGTTGCGGTGAGCCGAGATCGCACCATTGAACTCCAGCCTGGGCAACAAGAGCGAAACTCCATCTCGAAAAACAAAAACAAACAAAAAAAAAACACAAAACACTAAGCTTAATAAGGCAGAGAAGGAAATTATCTTCTAAGGAAATAGTGAAAATGACCAAATACTTTAAAGATTATTAACATCTTATGATAGGTTACTTGGGGGGAATCGCCACAAAATAAGAATAGTTGGTATAAAACAAGAATCAAGTAGAAACTTTACAAATTTAAAATAAGTGACTTTTAAAAAACTTCAGCATAGTGAGCAAATAACCAAATGTGAAAACTAAATCAGTGGGCTAAACGTCCAAGCCAAGAAAGTCTTCCTAATTTTTTCTTAAATTTAAAATTAAACAAGTTTAATTTGTTGTAAAATACATTACCATCTTAATTATTTTTAAGTGTACAGTTCAGGGGCATTAAGTACATTCATATTGTTGTGTGACCATCACCACCATCCATCCAGAGAACTCTTCCTATCTTGCAAATCCCAGACTCTGTACCCGTTAAAAAACCTCCCACCGCAACTCAACCCAGCCTCTGGCAACCACCATTCTACTTTCTATCTCTATGAATTTAACTATTCTAGGTCTCTTATGTAAGTGGAATCATTCAGCATTTGTCCTTTTGTGGCTGGCTTATTTCACTCTGCATTATGCTCTCAAGGTTCAGCCATATTGTAGCATGTGTCAGAATTTCCTTTCTTTCTAAGGCTGAATAATATTGCCTTGTCTGAAATACCACACCTTGTTTATCCATTCGTCTGTCAGTGGATACTTGGGTTGTTTCTACCTTGTGACTATTGATGCCATTCCCTGATTTTTATGCTATAGAACAAACCATTGAAAGAATAAAATAAAAAGTAAGATATGTATAGATTCAGGAGCTCCAAATACCAAAATTTGAGATGGTCTGGGGAGAGGTAGAAAACTTAAATAAAACAATAACCACAGAAAAATTGAAAAGGCAGTCAAAAATCTAACCCTTAAAAAGATAGAAGGCCTGGATCCTTTTCTGGACACATTCTACCAGAGACTATGTGATATTAACTCTCCCAGAGCATAGAAAAAATGCAAACGTTCTCAATTCATACCACAGGCATAACTTTGAAACTGGACAAGAGCAGAAGGAAAAGAAAACACCTGTTAAAACATGGCAGATCAAATATCTATGTGTATCATTTTTTCTTTTCCCCACTCTCCACCCAAGACCACTCTAACGTAACGTTATAGAAACACAAAAGGTTCTGAGTCCTCCCAGGAGGGCTCAGAAGACAAGACAGGAGCCACCAGTGTGTGAGAGATTTAAACCAATTTCTGGAATATGGAAAACAGGTGGGAGAGAAGAACTGACTTAGCAAAGAGGCAAAAACTGCATTCTAAAATTAGTTGAGTAGGGGATACTGGAAGAAAACAGGTGACTTCATTCATAGAGTCCATAAAACTCTTTGGAGAGTCTGGTCTTGAAAGCATCAGGTCCCACAGAAAGTGGGAGGCAAGCTGGGGGCTGCAAAAAGGCTACAGGAGCACAGACTTCATCCAGAGTTGGGGGTCTCCAGATTGATCTAGCCTGACCTCTGCTCCATGTATAAAGTTGCAGGTTTATATTACAGACAGATTAGATAGAAGGAGTTCTGGTCTTGAACATTTTAGGCACAATGAGGTGGTGTGGTACAGGGATGAAAATGGGTATGAAATGAAGCTCTGCATCCTTCTGCTCTCTTCCCTGGCTCTGCTCACAGTATGCCCCCAGCCACACACAAGGACGTGATTTGGAAAATTCTGACCCAGAGAAAATAGCTCCATTCATTGAAACCTGGAGGTGCCCAAGTGTGGCAGCTGCTGCTTGACAAGTCTTGGCTGTGTACTTTGAGCCTGCAGTCATCTTCTTAGTGCCCCTAAGACTCTGAAACATACATGGGCAGTCAACTTTCATCAGACATTTGGGGGAAGGGTCCAAAACAAACATAAGAAACCAGGTAAGAAATTATGCAGGGCAGACGAGAAACCTTCAAAAATACTGTAGCACTGATGTCTCCAAAGAGGTGAGAGGTGACATTGCATTCATACAATAAGAACCTCATTCTCAGAAAAAAAAAATCAGACAACAATAAAAGCTCTTGGAAATTTGAAGTAGCACAGCAGAATAAACATTAGAGGAAGACTGGGAAATACAATTGAGAAAATCTTCCAAAATGTAAAGATGTCATGCAAAGATATGGAAAATCGTAGAGAAACAATAAGAACATTTATATATGTATATGTATGTGTGTGTGTGTGTGTGTGTATATATATGTTTTCTTTTTTTTTTTTTTTTTGAAATAGAGTCTCACTCTGTCTCCCAGGCTGGAGTGCAGTGATGCAATCTCGGCTCACTGCAACCTCCGCCTCCCGGGTTCAAGTGATTCTCCTGCCTCAGCCTCCAAGTAGCTGAGATTACAGACATGCACCACCACACCTGGCTAATTTTTGTAATTTTAGTAGAGATGGGTTGTCACCATGTTGGCCAGGCTGGTCTTGAACTCCTGACCTCAGGTGATCCACCCTCCTCAGCCTCCCAAAGTGTTGGGATTACAGGCGTGAGCCACTGTGCCTGGCCTAAAGGATCTATTTAAAAAAAACAAAATTCATCTAATAGGAGATCCAGAGGAAATGAAGAGGAGGAAATTATCTGAGACATGGTACAAGAAGACTTTCTAGAACTGAAGGACATGACAGTCCAGGTAATAAGAGATAAGCAAGGATCAAAAACTATTACAAGTAAAACAAACAAAATGAACAAATAAAAACAACAACAACAAGCTCATGACAAGTCTATCTTTTATGAAATTTCAGAACAATAGGAATTAAGAAAAGACACTGAAAGATGAAAGAGGGAAACCGGGTCTCATAAAGAAAGAATTAGGAATCAGTGTGGTTTCACACAACCTTGGAAGGCAGAAGGAAAAATATTTTCAAACTAGAATTTAATAATGAGACAAATAGCTAATCAAGTGTATAAGTGAAGAATAATGACATTTTTAGATATACAATTATTTGCCACATAAACACATTCCAGTCAACAATGAACCTGCATATAACAGAGGTCCCATAGGATTATAATCGAGGTGAAAAGTTCGTATTACCTAATGGCATCATAGTCTTTGTAATGTCATAGCACAACATATTACTCATGCAAACCTATGATAAAAAAGTAAACCAGGCAAATCACTATGAACATATTTATGAAAAGAGTGACACTTCCTCCAAAAGAGCTTCAGGCAGGTCCTGCAGGAAGTGTTCCAGAAGAAGACATTGTTATCATAGGAGATGACAGCTCCCTGTGTGTTAGTGCCCCTGAGGACCTTCTAGTGGGATAAGACATGGATATGGAGAACAATGATATTGATGATCCTGACCCTGTGTAGGCCTAGGCTAATGTGTGTGTTTGTATCTTAGTTTTTACAAACAAGTTTAAAAAGTAAAAAATTAAAAATGGAAAATAGCTTATAAAATAAGGATATAAAGATAGAGAATTTTTTTTTTTTTTTGAGGCAGAGTTTTGCTCTTGTTGCCCAGGCTGGAGTGCAATGGTGCAATCTCGGCTCACTGCAACCTTCGCCTCCCACGTTCAAGTGATTCCTCTGCCTCAGCCTCCCGAGTAGCTGGGATTACAGGCATGCACCACCATGCCTGGCTAATTTTGTATTTTTAGTAGAGATGGGGTTTCTCCTTGTTGGTCAAGCTGGTCTCGAACTCCCAACCTCAGGTGATCCACCCACCTCGGCCTCCCAAAGTACTGGGATTGCAGGTGCGAGCCACCACACCTGGCCAAGAATATTTTTATATAGCTGTACAATGTGTTTGTGTTTTTAGTGTTGTTATAAAAAGTTTAAAAACAGTGAAGCGTATAAAGTAAAAAAAAAAATTAACAGTAAGCTAAGGTTAATTTATTATTATTATTTTATTTATTTACTTATTTTTGAGACGGAGTCTCTCGCTCTTGTCGCCCAGGCTGGAGTGCAGTGGCGCGATCTCAGCTCACTGCAAGCTCTGCCTCCTGGGTTCACGCTGTTCTCCTGCCTCAGCCTCCTGAGTAGCTGGGACAACAGGCGCCCGCCACCACGCCCAGCTAATTTTTTTGTATTTTTTAGTAGAGACAGGGTTTCACTGTATTAGCCAGGATGGTCTCGATCTCCTGACCTCGTGATCTGCCCGCCTCGGCCTCCCAAAATGCTGGGATTACAGGCGTGAGCCACCGCACCCGGCCGGTTAATTTATTATTGAAGAAAAAAATTGTTTGAATGAATTTAGTGTAGCCGAAGTGTAGAGTGTTTATAAAGTCTGCAGTCATGTACACCAATGTTCTAGGGCTTCACGTTGACCCACCACTCACTCATCAACTTACCCAGAGCAATTTCCAGTCCTGTAGGCTCCATTCATAGTAAGTGCCCTGTACAGGTATACCATTTGAAATCTTTTATACCAATTTTTACCGTACAGTTTCTGTTTTTAGATATGTTTAGATACAAAAATGCTTACCATTGTGTGACAATTGCCTGCAGTATTCAGTATGATCACCTGCTATACAGGTTTGTGGCCTGGGAGCAATAGACTAGACCATATAGCCCAGGGGTGTAGCAGGCTGTACCATCTAGGTTTGTGTATGTCACTCTGAGATGTTCTCACAAGGACGAAATCACCCAGCGACACATTTCTCAGAACCTATCCCTGTCGTTAAGCAATGGATGATTCTACAGGAAATCGCAAATTTTACTGACCACAAACCTTTGCATAGGCTGCTATAAGGATTTATTCCACTAAAATGGGAGAAAAACAACAAACATTAAGAAGGCAAGGGAGCCAAGAAACAGGGTATTTAATAGAGAAAAAAAAAAAAAGGCAAATGGAAATCCCTGGATGTAATCTGTGTAGAGTCCTAATGAGCAGCCAGTCTTGAGAACTTGGGGGGACAAAAATGGAATTCACAGATGATCCGATACATTGAGCATATGGAACACATGGCTCGCAGGCGTGCAGCAGATGTGAACAAAATGGAACAGAGTCATATAAGGAAATTATGTGAAGAAAAAATAAGCAAGTAAAAATATGCAAGTTTAAATATTTTAATATATTAAAACTACTACTTGGCTTTGCAGTGAACAATATTTGCTTAATTGAAATCATGTAAACATCGATTAATGTATAATAAATTTCTTGGTAATAAAATTCTACAGTAAGAATTCATGGATGGGAGAGTGGTCCTGAAGATGTAAGATGCAAATATCATCAGTTACTATTGCAGGACATCAACAAATCACACAAAATTGGCCCATTAATTAACAGGTAGAACTGGGAGGTGAAAAGAGATGGGTAAAGGAACTGCTTTTCATTATTATAAATCTTTTCTTATAATTTTATTTTTGGGCCGGGCGCAGTAGCTCATGCCTGTAATCCCAGCACTCTGGGAGGCTGAGGCAGGCAGATGACTTGAGGTCAGGGGTTCGAGACCAGCCTGACCAACATGGTGAAACCCCATCTCTACTAAAAATACAAAATTAGCCCGGCAAGGTGGTGCATGCCTGTAATGCCAGCTACTTGGGAGGCTGAGGCAGAATTGCTTGAACCTGGGAGGCGGTGGTTGCAGTGAGCCGAGATCATGCCATTGCACTCCAGCCTGGGCAACAAGAGTGTAAAAAAAAAAAAAATAAATAAAAGAATTTTATTTTTAAACTTTTTATAAACATGTAAAAGATAATTCAAGATAAGAATATTTATTAATGTATTTCACCTTATTAACCAAATAAAAGTTAAAAATCAAATGTGTATGCTAAAAAGACATTTGAAATATTCAATATGTAATCTTGCTGAAAACTCTTAGGAAAATGGGAATTGGTGAATACTTACTCTATCGGGGGACCCCAACCCCTGGTTGTGGGGGTACCGGTCTGCAGCCTGTTAGGAACCAGGCCTCAGAGCAGGAGGTGAGTGGTGGGCGAGCGAGCATTACCACCTGAGATCAGCAGCGCCATTAGATTCCCAAAGGAGGGCGAACCCTATTGGGAACCTTGCATGCAAGGGATCTGGGTTGCATGCTCCTGATGAGAATATAATGCTGATGATCTGAGTTGGAACACTTCCATTCCCAAAGCATCACATCCCCCCCACTCCCCATTCGTGGAAAAATTGTCTTCCAGGAAACTGGTCCCTCATGCCAAAAAGGTTGAGGACCACTGCAGATGATAAAATATATTAAATCCACCCTCACACCTAAGAGGATGCATGCATATTGGTTCAGTGCACAGACTTGGGGCTAAATGTTTCCAGATTGTGGCACACACAGAATATGGGCTTCTCAGGCTGGCTCAGTCCCACTGGTCACCCTGGGGCCAGAGGTCAGTACCCATTTGCAACTCTGTGGCTCACTGGGTGGGAAACGCTGGTATAAAGAATGACAAACAAACAAACAACAACAAAAGACCAGCAACTCAGCAGAAAAGCAGACAAAGGATATGAACAGACAATTGATAAAAGAAAATAGAAATAGGCTTTAATATACTCAAGCTCATTAATTATAAGAGAATAATAAATGCAACTACCTATCATATTGCCAAAATTCCAAAAGTTGAATGACACATAATGTTGGTCACGGGTGGGGAAACATACATTTAATTCAATCCCAATTATATTGTTAACAAATTTGGAGGGAGCGGCAGGTGCAGGCAGGACCAGGAAATCCTAGAGGGAAATCAAACTGAAACAGTGTCTTTAGGGGGGAAACAGAATAGATATCAACATTATGAATGCACACTCCCGTGATACAGAAATTCTACTTCCAGAAACTTACTCTACAAATGTTTACGTAGATTTGTAACGTAATTTTAAAGTTTGAAAACAATCTAAATATCTTTCAACATGGCAGGTTAAATAAATTATGACACCAATAAAAAGAATGAGGCTGCTTTATACACTTCAATGGGAAAAGACTATCAGTCTGTGTGAGAATAAAGAAAGATTCGGAGTAGTATGTAGAGAACACTAATAATTGTGTGAAATATGTAAATAAATAAATACTTATCAGGCTATCTCTGGAAAGACTTAAAAGAACTGATAAAAAAAATTGCCTTCTCCATTCAAACTGGGTGGATAGTGGGCAGGGAGACAGCTACATTTTGGATTTTGTACTATGCACATTTCTTTTTGAGGTAGAGTCTTGCTCTGTCGCCCAGGCTGGAGTGCAGTGGCACGATCTCGGCTCACTGCAAGCTCCACTTCCTGAGTTCACACCATTCTCGTGTCTCAGCCTCCAGAGTAGCTGGGACTACAGGCACCTGCCACCACGCCCAGCTAATTTTTTGTATTTTTAGTAGAGACGGGGCTTCACTGCATTAGCCAGGATGGTCTCGATCTCCTGACCTCGTGATCCACCTGCCTCGGCCTCTGACCGTGCCTGGCCAGAATATCATTTTAAAAGTCCATTAGAATGACAGAAAGAGAAAACAGACTGTTAATGGTGCTCACCTTTGAGGAAGGGGGTGAGAAAGGAGGGGGAGTAATGAGAAAGTTGTTAGATTTTCTTCCACGAGCTGATGTGTCACTTGACTTGCTACAAGGAGGATACAGACATGTGCTAAGTTTAAATTTAAAAAGAATTAAAAAGTCACATAGCCAGGTTATTCAAGACAAGGCACCCTCTAAGTGCTCTTTAAACACAGTTTACTCTACTCAGTGTTGTGTTTTGTGTGGTTCAAGTCTGAGGTCACCTGGTATTTCCTTATTACCCTGAAGTTTATTTCAAAGTGAGCCGACACTTCATCCTCCTGTCATTTCCAGCTAGATCTGCATCTAGTTTGCATTGGGACCTCTTTTTGTGGAGGATTTCTTCAAGAAGCTTGTCCACACATTGATAAATCTGAAAGTTCAGAGCAAAGCCTAGATGTCCATCCCCAGGTGTGAAGATGATGAACTCCCACACAGTCTTGATACCAACAAGTGAAGCTCACGCGTGCTCCACGAAAGCCACATTAGATTGGGCTGGGAATGTTCCACCCTGGAGTCAGAGTACCTGGGTTCGGGTCTAGATTCTTCCAATTGTGTGGTTTTAAGCAACTTGTTGAACGTCTCTAAGCTTTACTTGGGTTTCCTCATTTGGAAAGAAATGGGATTGAACTGGATGATTTTTAGTTTCCTTTGATTTCTAATATTCTTTGCTTTGTGGAACAAGAGGAAGAGGTCAGCGATTAATCTTTCCCAGAAAATAAAAGTGCAAGCATGTATACTTTTCACTTCCTGGGGAACAAAATAGTCATGCCAGGATAAAACATTAATAAAAATAAAGCCACTTGGCCTCCTTTCCAGATCTAAAAGTCTATTATTCTTTCTATTGTGTGAATAATCATTGACACTAAATAGAGGGTTGCCTATGTGTGCTGCTATTGTGAGATAGAACTAAGTTGAGAAAAAATGTTCTAATTATCAAAATGTTCTCATTATCATCTTCCTTGAAGTCCTGAAATGACTATTCTGTGGCATCCAGAGCCCCCCCGCCAATGAAGCTAGCCGACACTGAGGCAACTGTACTAAATATATTACTCATTAATATTAGCTAATATTGGCTGGGCGTGTGGCTCACGCCTGTAATCCCAGCACTTTGGGAGGCCGAGGAGAGCGGATCACCTGAGGTCAGGAGTTCGAGACCAGCCTAGCCAACATGGTGAAAACCCATCTTTACTAAAAAATACAAAAAACTAGCCAGGTATGGTGGCAAGCCCTTGTAATCTCAGCTACTTGGGAGGCTGAGGCAGGAGAACTGCTTGAACCCGGGTAGCGGAGGTTGCAGTGAGCCAAGATTGCGCCACTGCACTCCAGCCTGGGTGACAGAGTGAGACTCCATCTCAAAACAAACAAACAAAAAGTTAGTTAATATTTAATTCAAAAACATGTTCTTAAATATTATTTGTAGCCAAGCAAACACACTTGAGCAGAAAAGCAGGCAAAGTGCCCTCTGCCTCAATATATGCAAACTCTGAGCCTCTGATATTTCCTAGGTCATGTTAGTCCCTGTAGATTGGTGTTGCCACTTGGAGCCCTGTGTAAGAAGGAAACTGTAGGCCGGGCGCAGTGGCTCATGCCTATAATCTTAGCAGTTTGGGAGGCCAAGGCGGGTGGAATGCCTGAGCTCAGGAGTTCGAGACCAGCGTGGGCAACATGGCGAAACCCCGTCTCTACTAAAATACAAAAAATTAACCGGGTGTGGCAGCATGCGCCTGTAGTCCCAGCTACTTGGGGGGCTGAGCCAGGAGAATTGCTAGAACCCAGGAGGTGGAGATTGCAGTGAGCTGAGATGGTGCCACTGCACTCCAGCCTGAGCGACAGAGTGAGACTCCGTCTCAAAAAAAAAAAAAAAAAAAAAAAGGAACCTGTAGTCTTTGGTGTACAGGTTTTTCACATTCTCAGTTAAATTATTCCTGGGTATTTTATTCTTTTGGATGCTATCATAAATGGAATTGTTCTCTTAATTTTCTTTCAGATTGTTCATTGCTGGTATATAGAAGCATAATGGGTTTTTGAGTGTTGATCACACATGCAATTTTGCAGAATTGATTTATTTGCTCCAATAGGTTTTCTTTGGATCCTACATACAGGGACCTGAGATTTTCTATATATATAGGATCATGTTACCTGTGAATAGAAATAGTTTTGTTACTTCCTTTTTACTTGGCTGCCTTTTATCTCTTTTTCTTGCCTAATTGCTGTGGCCAGGACTTCCAGTACAGAGTTGAGCATCAATGGTGAAAGTAGGCATTCTTGTCTTTTTCCTGATCTTAGGAGGAAAGCTTTCAGTCTTTCACCGTTGAATATGATGCTAGCAATGGGCTTTCCACAAATATCCTTTATCCTATTGGGAAGTTACCCTTTATTTCTAGTGTTCTGAGCGTTTTTACCAAGAAAATGTATTGTATTTTGTCAAATGTTTTTTAAGCATCAATTCAAATGATCATGTGGATTTTTTCCTTTCATTTTACTAATGCAATGAATTATCTCTATTGTCTTTTAAAAAAATGTTGAACCACCCTTGAATTCCTGGGAGGAATCCCTCGTAATCATGGTGTATAATCCTTTCAGTATACTGTTGGGTTTGGTTTGCTAGTACCATATTGAGGATTGTTGCATCTATATTCATGAAAGACACTGATCTGTAGTCTTCTTTTCTTGTGACACACACACACAGATTTTACGTGTTATATGTGTTTGTGCACACAGATACTCTAACACATTTATGATTTACCAAAAATCCAAGCTGCTCCAAACATTCTGTCATTTGAAACAGAATGTTTGTCCAAATAAGCATATTATTGTAAGACATCCCAGCAAGTATGGCAACTGAGGGCCTAGCAGAACTTTTCAAACCTTCCCTCTGGAGGTGTGCCACGAATGTGATCTCATTTCCCTTGCCGTTATTGTTTCTTAGTTAAGATTCTCAATGAAGACTGTGGTTGGCACAATTTTCTTCAAGTCCCGCTCACCCTGAATCTAATGAGCTAAATCTAGAACAGTGATGCCATGTTGTCAAGTGCTTCTCAAACCTTAATGTGCATGCAACTCACCTACTGGTATTGTTAGAATTCTGAGCATTGGCCTGGCGCGGTGGCTGACGCTTGTAAACCCAGCACTTTGGGAGGCCAAGGCGGGTGGATCACGAGGTTAGGAGATCGAGACCACGGTGAAATCCCGCCTCTATAAAAATGCAAAAAAGCTGGGCGTGGTGGCAGGTGCCTGTAGTCCCAGCTACTTGGGAGGCTGAGGGAGGAGAATGATGTGAACCCGGGATGCGGAGCTTGCAGTGAGCCAAGATCTCGCCACTGCACTCCAGCCTGGGCGACAGAGCGAGACTCCGTCTCAAAAAAAAAAAAAAAAAAAATTCTGAGTATTTAGATCTGTCATCAAGGCAGAATCTCAAGTTCTGCAGTTCTTATGAGCTCTTAGGTGACCCCATTGCTGCTGGTCCATGAACCACACTTTAAGTAGAAAGAATGTGGCCATGGGGCTGGGCATGGTTCCATTATTGAAGGCAGAACAGGGGAGTTGCTTTAAAAATCAGGACCTAGGCTGGGCGCAGTGGCTCATGCCTGTCATCCCAGCACTTTGGGAGGCCGAGGCTGGTGGATCACAAGGTCAGGCATTCGAGATGAGCCTGGCCAACATAGTGAAACTCTGTCTCTACTAAAAATACAAAAAAAAAAAAAAGAAAAAAAAGAAAAACAATTAGCTGGGCGTGGTGGTGGGTGCCTGTTCTCAGGAGGTTGAGGCGGAAGAATTGCTTGAACCTGGAAGGCGGAGGTTGCAGTGAGCCGAGATTGTGCCACTGCACTCCAGCCTGGGAGACAGTGTGAGACTCTGTCTCAAAAAAAAAATAAATAAATAAATAAAAATAATCAGGGCCTACGCAGGTATCCCAAGGGGTATCTACCACAGTCAGGGAATATCTGTACTATTATTTGTATTAATATCATTATTTCTAAATTTTCTGATGCTTTGATTACTAAGTTACTTGTGAACAAAGTTTTCTAATCATGAAGGCAGCTACATGAAAGTGAAATTCTTCAGAATCCATGTGTGGACTATGAACAGGTATGTATGCCCATGTGCTGTGTAAGAAGAGCAAATATTTCATAATATAGTATACTTGTGACTCAGTGCATGACCTAAGCCACCAGTCTGTACAATTTCTACTTTCTTCAACCCAGTTGAGAACACAGAGGGCCAGGCCTCAGCAATCCAGCTGACAAAGTTTTCCTCCAGCATCTCCAGCTTCTGCTTTTGGTGGCCTATTTTGGTAAATGAAGGCCCCTCCCTGACCTCACGAGGCTCAGGGACTCCTGCCTGATACTTCCAGCTCCTTTCTCAACATTGGGATGGGTCTGCTGCCAGCCGGTTGCATTCGCTCTAATATCCACTTTTTGGCAGGGGTTTACAACTTTGTGGCATACTCCTGCCCAGTTTCAGGCATGAAGTTTTGTCCTGGACCCATGTTTGTTTCCCTTCAAGTTGGACAAGGATCTTATGGTGATGGACATGCAGTTGTCCTTACAGGTCAAAAGGGAGTCCTGACCCATGGTGACACTGGGGAGAGGGCAGGCTTCTCTGCAGGTGCTGGAGCCCCTGAGTGTGGGTGGAGGAGGGACACATAGGCGTTGTGAACACCTCTGTCTCTTCTCTCTCTGCTCTAGTTCCCACCCAAGCACAGGTGGGTGCCACCTACCTTCTCCCTGCCCCTGAGTAATCTTTTTTTTTTTTTTTTTTGAGACAGAGTCTTGCTCTCTCACCCAGGCTGGAGTGCAGTGGCGTGATCTTGGCTCATTGCAAGCTCTGCCTCCTGGGTTCAACTGATTCTCCTGCCTCAGCCTCCCAAGCAGCTGGGATTACAAGCGCACACCACCATGCCCAGCTAATTTTTGTATTTTTAGTAGAGACGGGGTTTCACCATATTGGCCAGGCTGGTCTCGAACTCCTGACCTCGTGATCCACTCACCTTGGCCTCCCAAAGTGCTGGGATTACAGGCATGAACCACTGTGCCCGGCCCTGAGTAATCTTTTCTGCTACCCCAGATGGAGCTCATGTTTCCTAGGAACTACCCTTGTTTTATCTAAGACCTGCACGACATTTTTGTCACCTATCTTATCTCAAAGTTATGCCTTGAAAAGCAGCCTCGCAACCACACATATTATTTCTACCTTTTGTGGAAAGATATTGACCAATTAGTATAATGTGAAAATGTGTCTTCTTCATGAATAGGATATTCCTGGGCTGCCATCAAGTCACAGAATGGTAATCAGTTGCCTCAAGGTAGAAAGCTAGGATGTGAACCCAAGTTCCTTGGGAGGCAGGAACAGGAGCAGCAGGGACAGGAAGAGCCAGGTCACCATTATCTGGGTACGTGAGAACTGCAGTCTTCAAAGTTTTGGGCTCTTGTCAACTTAAGAATTTTGCAAAGCTTCACATTCTCTTTTACTTTTAAAAATTTGTTTACATTGTTTAAATTTCTGTGGATACATAGTAAGTGCATACATTTATGGGGCACATGAGATATTTTGGTACAGATCTCCTTAAGCATTTATCCTTTGTGTTACAAACAATCCAATTACTCTCTTTTAGTTAGTTTTAAATATATAATTAAATTATTATTGATTGTAGTCCCCCTACTGTGCCATCAAATACTAGGTCTTATTCATTCTTCCTAACTATGCTTTCAGTTCTTAGAGTTGACATGTAAACATTTTTTTGTAAGTTTAAGTCGTTACAGAGGAATCATTTTCTATGTTCTGGAAATATTGGTATTTAAAAGTAAAGCTGTTACATTATTCTTTTCAATGTATTCAGCTACATAGCATAGTGAATGATACCTACCACCATCCAATTAAAAATAAAGGACCTCCTGTAATCCCAGCACTTTGGGAGGCCAAGGCGGGCTGCTCACGAGGTCAATAGATTGAGACCATCCTGGCTAACACGGTGAAACCCCATCTCTACTAAAAATACACAAAATTAGCCGGGCATGGTGGCGGGCGCCTGTAGTCCCAGCTACTCAGGAGGCTGAGGCAGGAGAATGGCGTGAACCAGGGGGGCGGAGCTTGCAGTGAACCGAGATGGCGCCACTGCACTCCAGCCTGGGCGACAGCGAGACTCCGTCTCAAAATAAATAAATAAATAAATAAATAACCCAGCTTTTCTTAGTAGTCAAAGTTTTACATCATTCTTTGAATTTACTTTCTTATTCTACTTCCACCACAGAATTTCATCTTAATGAAATATATATTTAGGCTTGAAAATCTGCCATTGAACAACCTATCATAATTCTCTGCTACAAAAATATGTATATAAAAAAATTCAAAAACATTTAATTCTAAAAAAAGAATTTTAAACAGGAGTCTTTAATAGGACTTTAAGTAAGGGTCTAAGTGCAACAATTTAATATTTTTCATGTTCAGTATATTCTGATCTAAAAAACATAAATTTATTTTATTAATAAATTCCGAAGGCAAAATTGTATTATTTACATGCCTCTCAATAAGATGGATGAGACATTCATGAATTTACTTATCAAAGTGTTGTAACATATATCTCTAAACTACTGTTGCTAAACTGAGCTGTGTTTCAGTATCAATTCCACCCCAATGCCTTACTTTTGTAGATGTTGGTGCTTTGAAACTGCATTCAAACAGATCAGTAGACAGAAAGCAGTATTATTATGTCAATGCTACTCAATTTAAAATATAACTCCTTCTGAGTTTTATGCCCCAAATAACAAGATCATCTATTGTCAAAAATTATTTCATGAAAGGACAACTGTCTAGGTCTTCCTTCTATTTTGTAGAAAACAAAGTAGAAACCACTTCACTGGCAAAAGAATTCGTAACTAGTCATGAGAGTGATATACTTTCTGAACCCATCACTAAGTTTTTGAATTGTCCCTTTGTTTGTCACCCAGGAATGTTTTACACCTGAGGGCAACTTGTGACCATAAGTGGGAAGTAGAGCTTTTGTGACAGGGACAGAGAACCAGGGAGACTCCTGACTCTGCTTCTCCTGAGGCAGATTAGATGTAGGAATGGATATGTACTGAAGCAAAACTGTTGCTCCCGAACCTTCCCAGTGCCCATAGGTCCCTTGGAAGGTGTTCCAGTACCTCCAATGGCCTTGTCCTATAGCTTAGTAGTCTCCACTGGGCTGGAGAAGGGACCTGCACTGTGTCTCAGATGATGTCCCAGACCTAGCTGAGACTGCTCCCCTTTCTTCTCACTGCCCTGCAGTTTCTAACAACCACCCTCAAAGTCAAGGCAGGCTCATCGTGCCTCTGACCTTTGCAGTCTTTTCTTGGGGACTCTGGATAAAGGGTATAGTAGTGGATAAATGAAACCTCCTGGGTATATATGTCAGGAATCAAGTGGTATGTTTCTATTACTATTTATAAGCTGTATGCTTGGAAGTGCATACAAACTTTAAGAATATAGAACTGGGGGAAGAAAGATCAGCTATGTGACTCACAATAGACCCAGATGTAAATTAGACCTTGGGCCAATCTGCCTTAAGCCGAGAGAAGAGAGAGGAAAGTGTTTTATTTTTAAAAGTCTAGGTATTTAAAAATAGTTGTCACCTTTCAAGAATCCCTGGGTCATTTTCTGTAAGAACCGATGAGCTCATCCAATGTTGCGGCTACACTGCAGCCACGTATAATTAAGTTCTGTCTTGCCATGGTTCAGCAGCGAGATGACACAGCCTCTCCTTCCCGCCACACTGCCGTGGGAGGAGGAGACCAGTAGAAAATAGTTGCTGTATGTGGCTGTGTAGGTTCACAAACATCCCCCTCCCCACCCCAGTTATTCTTTTTTTCCATGGGAACAACAATATGCTTTACCTAGAGGAAGAGAGAGATTATTTCGCCTGTCTTCTTATTTCATTTGCATAGCAACTTGTGATGTTGGTATCAGTATCACAATTTTATGGATAAGGAAACTGAGTCTCAGAGGTTTTTTTTTTTGTATTTATTTTTGCCTTTATTTTGAGTGATAATTTAGGTATAAACTTTTATGTTAACAGCACTTCAGTGGTTTTCTGCCAACTATTTTTATTGATAAGAATATTGCTCATTATTTAACTTTTTCTTCTAAACATTCTATTTTTCTGCCTTCTTTATAGATTTTTTCTTTTTATGTATATGTATGTATATATATATATATATATATATATATATATATATATATATATATATTATACTTTAAGTCCTAGGGTACATGTGCACAACATGCAGGTTTGTTACATATCTATACATGTGCCATGTTGGTGTGCTGCACCCATTAACTCAAAATTTACTTTAGGTATATCTCCTAATGCTATCACTCCCCCCTCCCCCCACCCCACAACAGGCCCCGGTGTGTGATGTTCCACTTCCTGTGTCCAAGTGTTCTCATTGTTTAATTCCCACCTATGAGTGAGAACATGTGGTGTTTGGTTTTTTCGTCCTTGTGATAGTTTGCTGAGGATGATGGTTTCCAGCTTCATCCATGTCCCTACAAAGGACATGAACTCATCATTTTTTATGGCTGCATAGTATTCCACGGTGTATATGTGCCACATTTTCTTAATCCAGTCTATCATTGTTGGACATTTGGGTTGGTTCCAAGTCTTTGCTATTGTGAATAGTGCCGCAATAAACATATGTGTGCATGTGTCTTTATAGCAGCATGATTTATAATCCTTTGGGTATATACCCAGTAATGGGATTGCTGGGTCAAATGGTATTTCTAGTTCTAGATCCCTGAGGAATCACCACACTGTCTTCCACAATGGTTGAACTAGTTTACAGTCCCACCAACAGTGTAAAAGTGTTCCTATTTCTCCACATCCTCTCCAGCACCTGTTGTTTCCTGACTTTTTAATGATCGCCATTCTAACTGGTGTGAGATGGTATCTCACTGTGCTTTTGATTTGCACTTCTCTGATGGCCAGTGATGATGAGCATTTTTTCATGTGTCTTTTGGCTGCATAAATGTTTTCTTTTGAGAAGCATCTGTTCATATCCTTTGCCCACTTATTGATGGGGTTGTTTGTTTTTTTCTTGTAAATTTGTTTGAGTTCTTTGCAGATTCTGGATATTAGCCCCTTGTCAGATGAGTAGATTGCAAAAATTTTCTCCCATTTTGTAGGTTGCCTGTTCACTCTGATGGTAGCTTCTTTTGCTATGCAGAAGCTCTTTAGTTTAGTTAGATCCCATTTGTCAATTTTGGCTTTTGTTGCCATTGCTTTTGGTGTTTTAGACATGAAGTCCTTGCCCATGCCTGTGTCCTGAATGGTATTGCCTAGGTTTTCTTCTAGGGTTTTTATGGTTTTAGGTCTAACATTTAAGTCTTTAATCCATCTTGAATTAATTTTTGTATAAGGTGTAAGGAAGGGATCCAGTTTCAGCTTTCTACATATGGCTAGTCAGTTTTCCCAGCATCATTTGTTAAATAGGGAATGCTTTCCCCATTTCTTGTTTTTGTCAGGTTTGTCAAAGATCAGATAGTTGTAGATGTGTGGTATTATTTCTGAGGGCTCTGTTCTGTTCCATTGGTCTATATCTCTGTTTTGGTACCAGTACCATGCTGTTTTGGTTACTGTAGCCTTGTAGAATAGTTTGAAGTCAGGTAGCGTGATGCCTCCAGCTTTGTTCTTTTGGCTTAGGATTGACTTGGCAATGCAGGCTCTTTTTTTGTTCCTTATAAACTTTAAAGTAGTTTTTTCCAGTTCTGTGAAGAAAGTCATTGGTAGCTTGATGGGGATGGCATTGAATCTATAAATTACCTTGGGCAGTATGGCCATTTTCACAATATTGATTCTTCCTATCCATGAGCATGGAATGTTCTTCCATTTGTTTGTGTCCTCTTTTATTTCGTTGAGCAGTGGTTTGTAGTTCTCCTTGAAGAGGTCCTTCACATCCCTTGTAAGTTGGATTCTTAGGTATTTTACTCTCTTTGAAGCAATTGTGAATGGGAGTTCACTCATGATTTGGCTCTCTGTTTGTCTGTTATTGGTGTATAAGAATGCTTGTGATTTTTGCACATTGATTTTGTATCCTGAGACTTTGCTGAAGTTGCTTATCAATCAGCTTAAGGAAATTTTGGGCTGATATGATGGGGTTTTCTAGATATACAATCATTTCATCTGCAAACAGGGACAATTTGACTTCCTCTTTTCCTAATTGAATACCCTTTATTTCTTTCTCCTGCCTGATTGCCTTGGCCAGAACTTCCAACACTGTGTTGAATACGAGTGGTGAGAGAGGGCATCCCTGTCTTGTGCCACTTTTCAAAGGGAATGCTTCCAGTTTTTGCCCATTCAGTATGATATTGGCTGTGGGTTTGTCATAAATAGCTCTTACTATTTTGAGATACGTCCCATCAATACCTAATTTATTGAGAGTTTTTAGCATGAAGGGCTGTTGAATTTTGTCAAAGGCCTTTTCTGCATCTATTGAGATAATCACGTGGTTTTTGTCTTTGGTTCTGTTTATATGCTGGATTACATTTATTGATTTGCTATGTTGAACCAGCCTTCCATCCCAGGGATGAAGCCCACTTGATCATGGTGGATAAGCTTTTTGATGTGCTACTGGATTCGCTTTGCCAGTATTTTATTGAGGATTTTCGCATCGATGTTCATCAGGGATACTGGTCTAAAATTCTCTTTTTTTGTTGCGTCTCTGCCAGGCTTCGGTGTCAGGATGATGCTGGCCTCATAAAATGAGTTAGGGAGGATTCCCTCTTTTTCTATATGATTGGAATAGTTTCAGAAGGAATGGTACCAGCTCCTTCTTGTACCTCTGGTAGAATTTGGCTGTGAATCCGTCTGGTCCTGGACTTTTTTTGGTTGGTAAGCTATTAATTATTGCCTCAATTTCAGAGCCTGTTATTGGTCTATTCAGAGATTCAACTTCCTCCCGGTTTAGTCGTGGGAGGTTGTATGTGTCGAGGAATTTATCCATTTCTTCTAGATTTTCTAGTTTATTTGTGTAAAGGTGTTTATAGTACTCTCTGATGGTAGTTTGTATTTCTGTGGGATCGGTGGTGATATCCCCTTTATCATTTTTTATTGCGTCTATTTGATTCTTCTCTCTTTTCTTATTTATTAGTCTTGCTAGCAGTCTATCAATTTTGTTGATCTTTTCAAAAAACCAGCTCCTGGATTCATTGATTTTTTGAAGGTTTTTTTTGTGTCTCTATCTCCTTCAGTTCTGCTCTGATCTTAGTTATTTCTTGCCTTCTGCTAGCTTTTGAATGTGTTTGCTCTTGCTTCTCTCGTTCTTTTAATTGTGATGTTAGGGTGTTAATTTTAGATCTTTCCTGCTTTCTCTTATGGGCATTTAGTGCTATAAATTTCCCTCTACACACTGCTTTAAATGTGTCCCAGAGATTCTGGTATGTTGTGCCTTTGTTCTCGTTGGTTTCAAAGAGCATCTTTACTTCTGCCTTCATTTCATTATGTACCCAGTAGTCATTCAGGAGCAGGTTGTTCAGTTTCCATGTAGTTGAGTGGTTTTGAGTGAGTTTCTTAATTCTGAGTTCTTCTATGATTGCACTGTGGTCTGAGAGGCAGTTTGTTATAATTTCTGTTCTTTTACATTTGCTGAAGAGTGCTTTACTTCCAACTATGTGGTCAGTTTTGGAATAAGTGCTATTTGGTGCTGAGAAGAATGTATATTCTGTTGATTTGGGGTGGAGAGTTCTGTAGATGTCTATTAGGTCCACTTGGTGCAGAGCTGAGTTCAATTCCTGGATATGCTTGTTAACTTTCTGTCTCATGGATCAGCCTAATGTTGACAGTGGGGTGTTAAAGTCTCCCATTATTATTGTGTGGGAGTCTAAGTCTCTTTGTAGGTCACTCAGGACTTGCCTTATGAATCTGGGTGCTCTTGTATTGGATGCATATATATTTAGGATAGTTAGCTCTTCTTGTTGAATTGATCCCTTTACTGTTATGTAATGGCCTTCTTTGTCTCTTTTGATCTTTGTTGGTTTAAAGTCTGTTTTATCAGAGACTAGGATTGCAACCCCTGCCTTTTGTTGTTTTCCTTTGCTTGGTGGATCTTCCTCCATCCCTTTATTTTGAGCCTATGTGTGTCTCTACACGTGAGATGGGTCTCCTGAATACAGCACACTGATGGGTCTTGACTCTTTATCCAATATGCCAGTTTGTGTCTTTTAATAGGAGCATTTAGCCCACTTACATTTAAGGTTAATATTGTTATGTGTGAATTTGATCCTGTCATTTTGATGTTAGCTGGTTATTTTGCTTGTTAGTTGATGCAGTTTCTTCCTAGCATCAATGGTCTTTACAATTTGGCATGTTTTTGCAGTGGCTGGTACCGGTTGTTCCTTTCCATGTTTAGTGCTTCCTTCAGGAGCTCTTGTAGGGCAGGCCTGGTGGTGACAAAATCTCTCAGCATTTGCTTGTCTGTAAAGGATTTGATTTCTCCTTCACTTATGAAGCTTAGTTTGGCTGGATATGAAATTCTGGATTGAAAATTCTTTTCTTTAAGAATGTTGAATATTGGCCCCCACTCTCTTCTGGCTTGTAGAATTTCTGCTGAGAGATCAGCTGTTAGTCTGATTGGCTTCCCTTTGTGGGTAACCCAACCTTTTTCTCTGGCTGCCCTTAACATTTTTTCCTTCATTTCAACTTTGGTGAATCTGACAATTATGTGTCTTGGAGTTGCTCTTCTCGAGGAGTATCTTTGTGGCATTCTCTGTATTTCCTGAATTTGAATGTTGGCCTGCCTTGCTAGGTTGGGGAAGTTCTCCTGGATAATATCCTGCAGAGTGTTTTCCAACTTAGTTCCATTCTCCTCGTCACTTTCAGGTACACCAATCAGATGTAGATTTGGTCTTTTCACATAGTCCCATATTTCTTGGAGGCTTTGTTCATTTCTTTTTATTCTTTTTTCTCTAAACTTCTCTTCTCACTTCATTTCATTCATTTGATCTTCAATCACTGATACCCTTTCTTCCAGCTGACCAAATTGGCTACTGAAGCTTGTGCATTCGTCACATAGTTCTCCTGCCATGGTTTTCAGCTCCATCAGGTCATTTAAGGCCTTCTCTACATTGGTAATTCTAGTTAGCCATTCGTCTAATCTTTTTTCAAGGTTTTTAACTTCTTTGCGATGGCTCGAACTTCCTCCTTTAGCTCGGAGAAGTTTGTCCATCTGAAGCCTTCTTCTCTCAACTCGTCAAAGTCATTCTCTGTCCAGCCTTGTTCTGTTGCTGGTGAGGAGCTGTGTTCCTTTGGAGGAGGAGAGGCACTCTGATTTTTAGAATTTTCAGTTTTTCTGCTCTGTTTTTTCCCCATTTTGTGGTTTTATCTACCTTTGGTCTTTCATGATGGTGATGTACACATGGGGTTTTGGTGTGGATGTCCCTTCTGTTTGTTAGTTTTCCTTCTAACAGTCAGGACCCTCAGCTGCAGGTCTGTTGGAGTTTGCTGGAGACCCACTCCAGACCCTGTTTGCCTGGGTATCAGCAGTGGAGGCTGCAGAACAGCAAATGTTGCTGTCTGATCGTTCCTCTGGAAGTTTTGTCTCAGAGGGGTACCCAGCCGTGTGAGGTGTCAGTCTGCCCCCACTGGGGAGTGCCTCCCAGTTAGGCTACTCGGGGGTCAGGGACCCAATTGAGGAAGCAGTCTGTCCGTTCTCAGATCTCAAACTCCGTGCTGGGAGAACCATTACTCTCTTCAAAGCTCAGCTGGAAATGCAGAAATCACCCGTTTTCTGCGTCTCTCATGCTGGGAGCTGTAGACTGGAGCTGCTCCTATTCGGCCATCTTGGAACCGCCTCAGAGAGGTTAAAATGGTTTGTTCAATGTCTTGCATGAGTAGGGGGCAAAACCAAGGCTACCAATGCAGCAGGTCTGTCTCATTCCTGAGCCTGTGTTCTTTCCTCTGTGCCATGGGAGCCACCTTAGATAGAAAAACGTCTCCTGCCACTCTCGTCCTGCTGGAGCACACAGCTCCCTCGCTGCAGTGGGGACCCCAGATGGGGGATTGGGGAGCTGCTACAGCAGGTAACTGTGGCCCTCAGGAATGCTTAGTAGATGCACATCCTGGGCAGCACTTCCCAGCCCTTTCCACACCATGGCACATGGAGAAAAGGAAACATTTAGTTGGCAGGGTGGGTTATACAGAAAAGAAGAAGCGTTCAAAACTGGGAGCAAAGGGTTGACCATGACCTGGCTACTGAACAACTGGGGCATCCATAAGTCAACCCACTTGTCACCTGCCCAAAGCATGGAAGCTGGGGCTCTGACACATGGCAGAGGGCAGAGTGCACATGAACCTCAGACACTGTCTCACGGGGGCAGACACTGTCATGTCTGGGCCTCTGCAGTACCAGATTTCTACAGGGGCTAAGCAGTAGATGATCCCTTTTGGAATTCACATCAATGACACACCTAGTGTCCTCAGAGCATCGGTGACTTTGAAGGGTTGGGTAGAAGCAAGGGGAATGGCACTTGGCTTGTGGGCAGCTATGAGTAATCTGCTTGGCCCTGGACATGGAGAGGTGCACACGATTGCCTACAGAGCATCACAGTGCCCACTGTGTTTTCTGTTTATTTTTCAGTTGAATGACAATCCAAAGGTGGTTGTGCTGGATGAGATAAGAAGAACCAATACAGTGTGGAGTTTATGACTCTTACTTTGGACTCAGACAAATAATTTACAGGGAAGTAGAGATATACATGTAGATATGTAGGTATGTAAGTGTGTGTATATGCGTATATATGTATATATCAATACCTACAGTATTTATATAAATACCTTTTATGTATGTATATATAAAGAGAATGTCTAGGTAGATATGCTCAGCAGATATGTGTAAGCAGGCCCCAGAGATTTAGGTAAGTGAGAAACATTACGGTATTTTGAGGCATGATGAAATTTGCTTTTTTTTTTTTAACTTAGAATTTTGAAGTTTCTTCCTTAAGGAAGTCTATAGGCAGTGGCGGATAGATCCTTTGTAGCAGATGGGAGATGGAGCTGCCTAGATGGGGTGATTTCAGGGATAGCGCACTCATATCTGCTCAATTTGGCCAGAAAGTGCTGTTTGCAGAATGGCACCAGAAATAAAATTCCAATGAGAATATTCGCACCAGGCCTCCCGGGTATAAGGGAGAGACCAAACGATGTTGGAGATACTTGTCTCAAGCACTTGGCTGACTTTGGGCAAATCAATTAAACTTTTTGGCCTCAATTTTCTCATCTAATGAGGGGGCTGAACTGGGGAGCTATTAAAATCCCTCTAGGTTTCACTTTCTGTGATTTGACTAACTTCAATTCCATTATCTGAAACCTCTTCTCAAAGAAAATGTGTGCTTCATAGAGCAGATGAGGGAGGAACAGGAGAGATTTGAAGGTTCCTCTTAGAGACTTTAAAACATTTAAAGTTAAATTAGACCTATAAATAACTACTTTTAAAATCTCACTAGCCAAAAATTGGCAGCTGTTTATAATATAGCTTATGAACGCATAAAAATATGCACCTCAAACAAAGGAAATCAATAAAGAAGATAGTTTCTTTGCCTTTAAAAAGCCTTAAGATTAACATACAGTAAGATCATCTGTATAAAATTTAAGATCTAGTATCATTGCTCAAATCCAAGTAAACTGCTCATTTGTAATAAAGTTTGTATGGGTTCGCAGACCTCATCCTTGGCTTACTGAATCAGTTCCTCTTGGGATGAGACCCTGAAATCTACATTTTAAAAGCTCTCTGGGCAATTTTGATGTGTCTTGTCCTGCACTAGGGAATGTACTAGCAGAGGAGATATGTCTGTGTAGTGTGACTCTGATGAGCTAATTATTGGCTTTTGAGGAGCACTTAGGATTTTTATGAGTATTTCAGAGAAGTGCAGAGTGGGAGAGGGGGAGGTGATGTTGATTCCAGGCAAACATGAATTGTATTTGTTTGCATTTGCTTGTGGCTATAAAATATTGACCTTCCATTTTCAATATGGAGAATTGTAGAGTTGGTACCTCTCATCTCCATACCCTACCTGGCCTGATACCCCAAAGATTGTTCGACCTGCATTTCTGAACAAAATATCTGCCCTGAATTCCTGTCTCTTTTTTGCCCCTAGTGATCTGGGCTGGGTCAAAAGCTCCTTTTTAATCTAGATAGAGAACAAGCCCTAAACAGCATGCCTCAGTTTCTGGTCTAGCCTGATTCTTTCATCACTAGAACTAAAGTGCTTTCTTGAGTAAAAGACATTGAAAGACTTAAAAGGCAACTGTAAACTCAAGGGCTCCAACACTCCTAGTATATAGACTCTTCCCTCATTGTTTCTACTATCTGCTCCCCAACTTGATAGCCCCATCTTGGCTGCTGCAAATGAGAGGAAGACAGAAGATATGGAAGACAAAAGGAGGTTCAGCTGCTTTTTCTACCTCAGGTAAGAACACTAGTCTGCTTCCTTTCAGCTTTTTAATATCTCAAATAGATTCCCTCATCTTCATTATCCAACTTATATGAATGCTAATTTGGCTCCATGTTGCTTCTACTCAAATCATTATGGCCTCTTTGATAATTTTCAGGGCCCTTTCCCTAAATAATTCAGCAATAAATGGCCAGAAAATTAGGTCCCTCAATGAGGTGATTCCTAGCTTGTATTTTAGGCTTTTTGAGGACCAGAGACATCCCATTACCTTGAGTAATGAGGATTATAGGAAGGAATCACATAGAATTAAGAAATGCCATGGAAATGGGAGCATGTTTGCAAACGACAAAGTCCTTCAGAATGTAAGAAGGCTCCAGTGAGAGTTATCTCATTGCTTCTTGGCAGATCGAGTCGTGAATCTCAGCCAGAGTTTTGCAATATCAAATATGATGACTCAGTCACTCTCTATATGACTCAATATCAAACCCCATGAGAGAGAGGATCTGCCTAGGTTGGCACTTGAGCTATGCCACCTCAATCCACTGGCCAGTCCACAGAGGGGCCACCTTTGAGCTGGGTGTTTACCTGTGGTCCAAACATTCATGGCCAATAAATGGGGGTGGGGAACACACCACATAAAACATGGCCACTGTCTTAGGTCAGGTTCACCAGAAGAAGACTCCAAGGATTAGTGTGAAAGTGATTTATCAAGAAATGTTCTACTGGGAAAAACTGGGAAAGAAATGGGGAAGTAGGATCTATTATAGAAGGGAAGTTGGGAGATGCAGGAATGTGGTATCCAGCAAAGTCCCAGGAGGGTAACTTTGGTTCATTCCCACAGGAGGAGCTCTGGAAACAGGGTAGGTCATGCCTCAGAGGGTCACGCCTCAGGAGAAGAGCATCTGGGGTATTTATACCCCAGAACTCATTAGTCTTTGGTTATGGATTGGCCTGAGGCACAAATTCCCAAGCACTTCCAGGCTTTCTTGCCTAAGCAAAGTAGATTCTGGCAGCCTGAGGACAGTTCATCTTCAAGGAGATGTAAGAATAAGCATACGGGGAGTCTGTGCTCAGGAAAATGATCAAAGGGTCCGAGGAGACATGGGTTGAAGTGTGGACAGCGTCTGCTATAGCTTCGTAAAGAGATAGCTAGAGAGGCTTCCTTCCCCAGGGGCCCACAGTCAGCACGCACACCCTAAGCTGAATAGATTCTTCCCTATATAGCCTGACAAGCTGTGTTGGAAGCTTGCGCTAAGGTTGTGGAAGACTCAGCCCGCTATCTGCCACCTTCATCTCCACAGCCTGGCAACCTCATAACTGGCTGACTGAAGCGAACGTAAATTAGACAAAGACCAGCACAAATCAGACTCAAGTTAACACACGCCAGACTCTGGCTGTTTCTGGTTTATAAACAAAAGATAAACTATTTCCAACAATGTCAACAAAAATAAATTAACTTTCTTATTAAATCACTGAGAAATGACATTTCAAATATTTTATAAAAATACAGCACATCTATCTATATCCAACTCTGCTTTTGTTTCCACAAACTCTTGTCAGTTTAAAGATCTACACAATTTTCTCTGTAGCCCGTAAATGAAAACTTTCAGTTTTTCCTGGCTGGCAGTGCTTTTTCCTCTTCTGAGCTCCGAAGAGACTGGGTTTCTTTCTGATGGCTTTGACCACACCAGAGCCTGCACTGTAGGATTTTTGCCCACGTCCCACCAAATGTTAACCTCTTAAGGACAGAAACAGGGGCCCATTCACAGTGATACAAACATTTAACAGCTGAATCTCTGGGGAAAAATGTATGTATCTGTACATAATGTTTATTATATTTTAATGATATTAAACAATTCTTAGCTTATAATTTATAAATAGTAATAAAATATACAAATACTCTGTATTATAAATTCCATATAGCCAGTTGGTTTTTACAGAATTATTTTGTTGATTTTTGCCAAACTCTTGTATTTCTAACCAACCTGTAGTTGCAATTAATGAATAAGAGGAGTCCAACATGAATGTTGGTTGACAGCTCCGTTCACATTAACAAGACAAAAATGAAGATGTATATGGAAACTTTAATGACACGAATGACTTCTTTGCTGAATCAGATAATTATTTTCAAATAGTGGGAGAATGTAGCTTCAATTTGTGTGTGTGTGTGTGTGTGTGCCTGTCACAATTTCATGGCTACAAACAGGAGATACTTTAATGTGCATTATACTTTCCATCACTTTCTTGAGTTTAGACAATCAACAAAACTATAAATCAAGCCTTGCTTTGTGGCTATTGATCATTTCCATAATGTAAATACTCCCACTGTAGTCATTTTCAAGCTACCAATGTTGCTGATGTCAGAGTTGGGAAGAGATGCTCAGTAGTACATCACGATAAAGTGTTTCCATTATAAAGATACAATAGATGAAAATAAACTTCAAGACATAAAACAATAAAATATTGTGAAATAATTAGAAGGTGATAAATTTTGGGTATCTGTTGCCATTGTTTTAATATAATTTACTAAACAGTAAATTTATATAATGTAGTTTTTAATAAAGGCTGTGCTTAATGAGCTTGCAAAATTCTTGAAAATTTAACAATAGTCTTGCAAGCCAGTATGACCCAGTTCCAGTACACCACTGTCACTCACATTTCATAATTCATTGTCTTGCATGCTACTGAGAGTTACAAATTGTTCAGTGATTGCATGACTGATGGTAAATTAGAGATGTTGACTCTCTGATTCTGTTTGACATGCTCTGTCTTCCTCTTAAGAAGATTCTAACTTCTTACTAGTGGTAGTAGCTGAGCTCAAAAGGTAATTGTTCTAAACTAATAAAGGTCCTATTGGCTTATCTGGATGAAACACCATGTACCTCTGATAAGATATCAGCCTCCTTAGACCAGTTTGTGTCCTTCTGTTAGTAGTAGTCAATGTTTCTTTATAATACTCGGTTTCTACAGAATCATAGAGAGCATATTATAAATGCCCTCAGATCTTAAAATGTCAGATCTTTTTAGGTAGCCTTGGTATAGTTCCCCGTTTTTTAAATACATAGTACAAAATACAATCTATAACACAACACTATCCATAATCCAATGGTTACCATTTAATGACTCTTAACAACATTAAACCAAGCATTTTTCCCCACTCTAAGTATCCCATCTGTGTTTCTATCTGCTTCTTTAGGTTATAAGGATCTCCCTATAATGCTTAATATGAGTCATTTTTGTTGTTGATGATGATTAATTTATGACATAGGACTGTCGGTGAATAATACCAGGACCTTATAAGTGAAACTTTAAGGTTAAAGTTCAGGGTAGTCCCAGATGATACAAGAAAGTCTTCAGGCACGAAGACTGATTGATTGTCTAGCCATCTTGGCTGCTGGGGAGGTTGTTGATTACTCACAATGCATCTCACCTGATAACTCCAACCTTGATTTCTTTTCCCTTGAGTTACATTTCTCCCAGGACAAAAAGAGGAGCAGACAGTTCCTATAGAAATAGGTTCCATGCCTGATGGGCTCTCCAAGAACCATTTACAAGCGAGCATCCCAGCTTCAGTCTGTTTTCTGGAAAAGACTTCGATAGAGCATCTGATTCATTATCTTCCCTTCGGACTAGTGAGGCATTATTGTTTTCTTCTTATGGAGAGATCCAGTTGATCTGGGGGTTTGCCCAATACCACACCACCAGTAAGTTCCAGGAGGAAAGCTGGTCATTGTTTCCCAAGTTATGATTCTCATCCATCCATGCATTCATTCAATAAACACATAGCAGAAGTGCACCACAGGCCTAGCCCGATGGTCAGTCAGTGCTAAGGACTAACAAGGAGAATGCACAGGAAAAATGTACAGCCATTTGAGGTAGGGGAAAGATCACAGGCTTTGGGGTCAGACATCCTAGGTTGAATTCCAGCTGTATCACCTTCTAGCTAATGTGGCCTTGGTCAAGTTACCTAACCTCTAAGTCTCTGTAAAAGAGAAGTACTGTTATAAATCTCATGGGGTTAGTCTGAGAGATATAAATGAGGTATATGAGGCTTGCACAGAGCAGGTGCTTCAAAAATGGTTCCTGTGATGAAGGCTGGAAAAACACTGTCCTTATTCTCATGGGACTCATAGTCTAACAGGAGTGGCAATCTGTGAAAACATACAACAATAACATAATGGCTCTCAGAGAAGCTAAAGAGAGCACTGTGGAAACCCACCACTTTCTACTTGGTCAGGAGACTGATCATGAGCAAAAATGTGACTGTGACCTTGGGCATATCACTTAACCTCTTGAATCATAGCTCTTCCATCTACTAAACACGGGATAGATATTCAGATAAGAATAATCCTGGCTGAGTTTACACATCTTGGCTCTCTGGAAGCATTCCCAGCAAGGCGTGCCCTGCAATTTCATGCTCTGAAAAAGTCTATTCAATTGAAAAAGCTGACAGTGATACACACCCCTTTTAATAGCTTAGTAACATAAGCAAAACACAGCCGTGACAACTGGTATCACCTTGCCGTTGTAAGTGATAAAAATTCTCAATGAATGCATTACACACCCAGCTGAGGTTCCTAACCAATCTTCCATGAAGCCCTTTTATGTAAATATTAATGTCATATTCTACCCGTTAAGTCCATTCAGATCCCACATCCAGTTCATAGATTGACATTGCTGTTTCTAAAAGTACAGATTCCCAGTGCAGAAATCAAGGAAAATAATACCATTGATATTGATGATGAAAATTTGAGTAAAATACCACTTTTTTCTAAGTGATTTGCAACAACAGTGAAAAAACACGTCTAGAAACTATATTACTATAAAATTGAGATGGAAGACATTTCTGTTACCTCTCCTACAATGCAAATATTACCAATTTCTCTGTTTACATAGCTATAAATGTAAGTATGGACTTAAAAGGTTTTAGAAGAAATCAGCAGGTTAGAGACAGTTTGGCTATAAAGGCAGCGTTTTCTTTTTCCACTTCCTAACATTCCCCTTCCACTCCTCACTCACACCCCCACATACCATCAGCCCTCCCCTTCCACTCCTCACTCACACCCCCACATACCATCAGCCCTCCCCTTCCACTCCTCACTCACACCCCCATATACCATCAGCCCTCCCCTCCACTCCTCACTCACATCCCCATATACCATCAGCCCTCCCCTTCCACTCCTCACTCACATCCCCATATACCATCAGCCCTCCATATCTATAGATTCCACATCCTTGGATTCACCAACTGTGGATAGAAAATATTTTTAAAAAATAAAGACAACAATCCAACAATAAAACATAATACAAATAAAAAAATAAAGTATAACAACTATTTACATGGCATTTACATTGTATTAGGTATTATAAGTAATTTAGAGGTGATTTAAACTATATGGGAGGATATATGTGGGTTATGTGCAAATACTATGTTATTTTTATATAAGGGATTTGAGCATCTGAGAATTTGATATTTATGGGGTCCTGGAACCAGTTCCCCAAGGATACCAAAGGACAACTATACCTCTTTCACCTCTCTTACTCTTTTTTTCTTTACTTTTCCATGAATCACCTTCATGCACACACACACCCACACACACACACACACATTTCTAGACAAGATACTTAATAGGGAAACTGTCATCAAATCACAATGGAGTTTTCTATACTGAATACACAGATAAGTCAGTTATTTCTATATTGCTTTAGAGAATGTCTGAAATAAGCTAGATATGGGCAAAAATTTTTCTTTTTCTGACTGAAATATATTTTTAGGGCACGTTAATGCTAAAATTTGGAATTGCTGCATTATGCTAAAGCAGGTTCCCCAAACTGTGTTCCATGAGTGTCCTGGGGGATGTTAAAATGTTCTGAGTTTTAAAAACTCTGTGGTTAGAATTCCATGGGAAAATACAAATTGGCACATTACAGACTCGGAGGATTCTTGTGTTAAAGAAAGGTATTTAACTTTTTTTGTGTTAGAAATTCACAAATATATTTGCTGATGGAACTATTATTTTATTAACGATTGATTGATTGAATAGTTCAGGGAACACACTTCCGGAAACACCAAACTAATGCAGTAAGAATTTTCTTTTTTGTGTGCTGCAGAGCTGAAGAGTGGAACTCGCTGACTCCATTTCAGCCCCGAGTGCCGCCCCTCTTCTGATGGAAGCAGACTGTGCTGGCACTACCTGCTTGCTTTCTCATCCACTTGCGTGTCTAACAAGCTTCCCATTCACTGTCTCCTGCTCTGCCATCCAGAATGAGCAGAAGTTTTTCCATTGCCCTATTATAATCTTGCAGATCTTTAAAGGATCTCACAAAGTAGTTGTGAGCACCTTCAGCTGTCTCAGCCAGTACTCTTGTGGTACCATTGGACTTTGTGCTAACAGCAAACATCGCCTGTAAGGACTCCAGTCCTAGAATCTTGGGCGGCAGCGGGGCGGGACTCGGGGGTGGGGGGGCGGTGGGGTGGGGGCGGGGTTTGTTTAAACTCTCTTGGACCAGCCACCTGCTCTGTGGCCACTCTGTGGACCACTCACTCTCCTCTCTGGAGAGTGTCATTATTCTGACTGCCTTTTTAAAGGTTTTCATCCCTACAAAAGTTGACTTTAGGACCTCCTAACAGGGGACCTCTGTCCCAGTACTGGCTTTGTCTGCTGTTGTCAGTCTCACACAAAGTAATTCAACAAGCCATTAGTATTTGTTGACTAGGTGCTGGTGCAGTAATACCTGCCTCTCAGGGCTGGTGAAAGAGGTGGAGGAGTTCATGGATGGAATGAGTGGTTCCTGACATGGCATAATCATTAAAAGCTACTTCTTCATGGTTGGTACTTTGTGCTTGTAGTATAGAGGTGAGGAGCACAGAATTGAAAGCCAGAAAGAACTGGATTGAAAGCGCAGCTCTTCCTCTTGTTGTCTGTGTGGCACTGGTCAAGCTACCTAACCTCTCCAATGGAATCCCCACTTCATTTAGACAACGGAAATGATAATGGCCTATCCCATTGTGGTATGAGGAGCCATAAATGAAATACTGTATGTAAAGCTAGCATAATATATGATATATGGCACAGAGTGAGGGTTTAATAAATAGTAACTATGATTTGTATTAGTGCAGAGCAATGGTGGGGTGTGTATGTCTGTGTGCAGATGCAAGGACTGCTCAGTCTATGGAGTCAGAAACATCAGTAAGTAAGCATAACATCAAGTGGATTGTACATGCTACACAAATATACACAGGGAAAGTAAATTAATTTTGACAGACAAAACAAACAGTATTTTGGAGGTAGCATTTGACATTGACATGAAAACATGAGTAGATTCTATAAATTTGGGGCAATATTAAGGAGGAAGAAGATGCTAGGTACAGGGAACAGCATGAGCAAGTCAGGGATCAGAAAAATCACAGGATGTTAGAGGCAGGGTTGTGTGTTCACTCATGTTTGGGATCATGGAGTGGGGAGTGTGGACACGGGGCTGCACTGCCAGGCTAGGACCAGATCATGGAGAGCTCTGGATGCTGATCTGAGGAGTTGAGACCTCCTTTTTTAAACCCTGAGGAACCAGCAAAGGTTGGAAGAGGATAATTATAAGATTCATCCCTGAATGAACTTGCTCCCCATCTCAGCAGCAGCGCTGTCGTGGAGCCACTGGGGTTGTGACCCCACTTTGTTTCCATTCCAGCACTTGGCAAAGGGCCAGACATGTAGCAAGGACATCAAATAAATGTATAGGGGGCTCCCATCAGAACATTTGGGTTTTGGGAACACTGGAGTGGCTGTGACAGAGCCGGGAGCTTTCCTCTCATCATCCACATCAGGGTTTGGAACTAGAAAGTCTGGCATCTAATCCCTCTGTTGAATTGTGAGCGCAGCTGTGGGAGAGGTGTTTTTGGTTTTGTGTTTTTGTTTTAATCCCCCTTAGGAGCTGTCAGAGGTGCAATGGGCCTCCTCACAGTACTCTGCCCTCCTCAGCACCAGCAGGTGAACTGCTGAGTTTTCAGTGGTGAGCAAAACAGTCCTGCTTCCTTCCCTCCCCTCCCCTGTTGACACTCATATTCTGGAAGGGAACTTAGATGTTAATTAAATAATCACACAAAATAAATAACTGGAAACTGGAATGACACAAATGCATGTGCAAAGGCCCTGAGGTGGCAAAGAGCTTAGAGCATCAAGAAACCTGAATAAGAGCCAGTGTAGGCTGGGTGTGGTGGCTCACACCTGTAATCCCAGCACTTTGGGAAGCCAGGACGGGCAGATCACCTGAGGTCGGGAGTACGAGACCAGCCTGATCAAAATGGTGAAACCCCGTCTCCACTAAAAATACAAAATTAGCGGGGCATGGTGGCACATGCCTGTAATCCCAGCTACTCGAGAGGCTGAGACAGGAGAATCACTTGAACCTGGGAGGCAGAATTTGCGGTGAGCAGAGATCGCACCACCATTGCACTCCAGCATGGGCAACAAGAGTGAAACTCCATCTCAAAAACAAACAAACAAACAAACAAACAAAAAAAGCCAGTGTAGCTAGTACGCAGTGAGTGAGGGGGAGAGAGGCATGGGGTGAGGTCAGGGGAATAGGAAGAATGTGATGATTAACTTTAGTGCTGGAGGAGAAATGGAGAAAGCAGGCTGTGGACGTGAGTCACTGTGAGGATGGGAACGGGGGTGGAAGTCCAGGGGTGAAGATGGCTAGGCCCACACTTGATTTCTGATAAGGATAGACAGCTCAAAGGGGCTGATAGCATCTTGATGAAGGGCGATGGTTGAGTGATAGGAAGGCTCAGAAAGACTGGAGAGGAGGTTTGGTGACTCTAAATAGAGTGAAAATGTAGCAGCTAAGGAAGTTATAAAAATGACTTCAAGTTATGAAAATGACTAAGGCAAAGTTATAAAATAGGCAAAGTCTGCTTTATTGCTTCTCCACTTCTGTATCTTTGATAGTTTCCTACCCCACTAAACATCACACTTCATGCTTTCATTTAACAAACATTGACTGAGTCCCTCTTTCATGGCAGGTAGGAAGCCCCATGCTGGGGATACAGAGATGAACAGAAACAGACACATTCCTGAACTTGTGGAGCTGCTGAGAAAGTAAGGTTGAATAGCTGAATCCTAGTGGTCTTGCTTTATTTTTTTTAATAAGCATTGTAGGAGGTCTCTATCGTACTGTAAAACTGAAGGGCAAGCATTAACCTCAATTCTGGCAAAGACTTGATAATCATGAGACAATTTTTTTTGAGAGGGTATCTAAATTATTTCCAAAACATCATTCAATCCTTTCTATGGAGAACAGAGTTGATCAATTTAACCTGAAATTTTAATCAGGAGGTTTTTGAAATTCACTGACTCAATGTATCATTGAAAAGATCAAATTCTGCTATAATTTCACCTGTTTATTTTTAAATCAGACATTGAATGAATTTTGTCTTCAATTAGCAATGCTATTGGGCATCTAGATGTGTGCAAAGCACAAAGACTGCTCATCATCTTTAAAGAGTTTGTGGGCAATCAGATCTACTTTAGAACAGTTGCCAGTCTTTTGGCCCAAAGAACAAACATGGCATCATTTGCTGCATTGTCTACGGATTCTAGGCATCTGCAAAGCCCGTGCTGAATACTGAAAATACAAAATGCAGAACACTATGCATGAGAAAAAAGTAATAAAAAAAGACAGCTCAGAGTGAAATGTTTCTTAGGCCGAATGTAGAAAAAGTTGCTGATAAGGAACATAGTGGGAAAACTAGTCAGGATTTGCAGTGCCCTGGTGTCGGGTATGGGAGCCTTGTCTAGTCTTGTGTCTAGGCAAATGAGTAGCCTCTGAGCACTGGGTGTTTTCTGTGGTTTTCCTCTTTGGGGAAAATACTCTGGGCTCATCTCCACAGTTAGAGGGGTCGTGTTGCTTAATGTAAACACTTGAGGCAGCATTCTAACTTTTCTAGATTAGGTTCCCATGAGTTCGGTTGGCCTGAGTCAGCCTCTAATAAACTCGGGACACTGGCATAACCAAGAGTCTGAATTGGCAAAGCTGAGGACCAGCCCCCGACTTGAAGTCACTTCATTGAGGTCTCCTAGGGGCTGGGCAGCCTGCCTTATCCTGGCAAGTCCCTCCGCCTCGTCCTTGGGTGGAGTGCCACACAGTGATTCCCAGAAAAGCCAAAAATAATTAACTGAGGGCTTTATTTTCTTTAGCATTACTAGTTACCAAAGTAACTCGGTGAATTCTCTTGCTGCTCACACGGTTAGACTGCTGCCTCATGGAAAGATGCCTTGAAGTTTGACTGATTTGAGTTTTAGTGTTAGCTCTGCCACTGAGTCACATTGTCTAAGTCAATTAACTTCTCGAACTTCAGTTTCTTCATCTGTACAATATAAACCCCTCTTACAGGTTTGGAAAGAGGTTGCATGGATGAGCAATGATGTATGTATGTAAAAATGTGGGCCAGCACCTGGAAGAAACAGTACGGGCTGCTGTTTACGGAAATATTTGCTGAAGAGAGAGAGGGAAAGCCCAAACCATTTTCTTAGAGTGAGGAAGCAGGGAAGGAACACTAGATAATTCTGTCACAGGAGAAGCTCTGCTGGAGAGAAGAGAGGCTGGTCAGGAAAGGTGGGGGCTTGTCAACACCTAGGCAGGTGTTAGGGTTCCAGGCAGCCCTGATGTGCCTTAGAATCGGCCAAGTTCTTCGCAGCTGGAAGAGTTCCGAATCAGGCTTCACAGGAGAGGTCGGGAAATCACCGAGGCCTCTCCCTTGGGCTACTCTTCACCCCTTTCACCTCCCAAACCAAGGAGGTCTCCCGGAGGGCGGGGAGCCTCGGTTACTAAGCGTGAGCGCGTCCATAGTAACCGCCGCCCGACGGGTTTCCCTCCTGGCCTGACAGCTCCCGCCTCTCCTATAACTGGCCAGTCAGCTCCGGCGAGCCGGCCGGGGCGGCCGCTGAGTGGCCCTCAGGCGCTGCTATCGTCACAGATAGGAAAGGCGGGGCCAGGGCCAGACTGGTCTGGGCCCCAGTCGAGGGCTGCAGGTGGTAGGCTGCGACCCCTTCCTCCCACAGCCCCTTCCCGCCCCTCGCCGGGCATCCGCCGACAGGTGAGTGGTCTCGCTGACTCTAGCCTGCCTCTAGGACTACCCCAAAGGATCCCCCTTCGCCAACCAGGACTCCAACTTCTCGCCTCAGGATCGCGGGAGGTCGCGGACACCCTGCAATTCCTCCCCGCGATCTTCACTTTTCCTTCCAAATAAAAACCGTACAAATCCACAGGCACCTCCCACCCAGACGTTGGTTTCCTCGTAATTTACCTTTCTGATGCTTTTCAAGGGTTTTCAAGGGATGCCCAGGGAAGGGGCATCCGAACCCCCGACACTGTGCTAATTCGTTTAATTTCTTAATTCTAATAATTACCCGTTAGCAGCGCTGTGCCTTTCCACTGCGGTGCTGGCCGCCCCGCACGCTGTTCCTCGTCCCCCTCTGCTTCAATAGCCGAGCCTTCAGATCTGCAGCCACGGGGAGGAGAGTTCAATCACCTGGTCTTGTAGACCGAGCTCCTTAAATTCAGATCAAAGCTGTTCTCTCACCGCCCAAAGTCGTTTCTGTTTAGCTTGGCTGCAAAGCTTTCGCTTGTGTTTGGGCAGTTTAGACCAAACCCCTTTATGTTTTCTCCTGGATGTATATAGTATTGTAGAGAAATAAACATCCTGGAAATGGGTAAAATTATTTGTTTGATTATTGTGAAAAAAATATACAGTTTTACTAACAGGCGAAAATGTTTTGAGGTAACTGACAAAATATTCTACTTTTTTCTTCTTTAAAATAAAATACTTCACACAATAAGTAGAGTGAACCCAGGGGTGAATCCATGTACCCAGTCCAAACTTAAACCAACAAAAAATCGATTACAGGCACAATTAAGGTCTGTTATGTAACCCTTGGAAATCCCATTCCCCTCTCTCCTTACCTATCCCTATTAACCAACAGAATTTAGCATTTACTTATATTCTGCATATTTTTATACTTTTACTACTCATATGTTTATCCTAAACCAATGTATACTTTTTTTTTGAGACGGAGTCTCGCTCTTGTCGCCCAGGCTGGAGTGCAATGGCATGATCTCAGCTCACCGGAACCTCCGCCTCCCAGATTCAAGCGATTCTCCTGCCTCAGCCCCCTGAGTAGCTGGGATTACAGGTGCCTGCCACCACAACTGGCCAATTTTTTTTTTTTTTTTTTGTATTTTTAGTAGAGAGGGGGTTTCACCAAGTTGGCCAGGCTGGTCTCGAACTCCTGACCTCGTGATCCTCCCAAAGTGCTGGGATTACAGGCATGAGGACCGCGCCCGGCCTACTGTTACTTTTTAAGTTGATAGAATGGTTATGCTGTACGTGTTGCAGGTCATTCATTTGAACTGTTGTGTGGTGATTCTTGCATGAATTTACCACATATTATGTATGCATCCTCCTGTTGATGGACTTTTAGTTTGCTCCCTTTAAAAATACTAGAAAGGAATTCTTGTACATTCTAATTGTAAACATATTTGCATTTCTCTAGGTACATACCAAGAAATTGAATTGCTGAGTCACAGGTAATTTGCCATTTCAACTTTACTGGATACCACCATCTAGCTCTCCAAAGTGTAATAATTTATATACCATCGATGAATAGAGTTCCTTAACCAAACTTTTTTTTTTGAAGAGATGAAGTTTTCCTGTATTCTTATGTAATATATGCATAAAGAGAAATTAAACATTGATGTCTGATATGATTTCTTCTACTTCTGGTATTTGTTAGTGTATTGGCAGCGCTGTTTTATTTCCGCTCCTATTTAGAACTGTAATTAAGTGGCTACAAAGGAACTAAAGGGGTTTGTATGTGAGCCCTTCAAGCCTATGCTTGCCCCTGATCTAAGGCAGGGTGTGGGGCAAGTCATGTAAACTTGTGTCTTCTGCAGAAAATGGTCTGTAGATTTTTGTACTTTAAAATATTTATGATCTTCCAGTCTTGCTTAAATATGCTA